>NC_000004.12:45623833-45933257 GCF_000001405.40 Homo sapiens | reverse complement strand
ATCTTCAAACTTTCCCTTTGACATCCTTGCTATTACAAAGCCAGGAGCTTCAGTAAGTTCTGAACCCCTGAAAATCTATATTTTTGCTTTTCAGTCAAATATCAGAATATTTAAAAATCTACATGAGATTTTAGGCTCCTGAAAAGTATATAGGTTTTCTTTTTTTCCTTACAAGTTGTCAATTTCCAAATTTCATTTTCCATCTTTTACGCTCCTTCCTGAGTAAAGTTTAAAACTGAGTCATGGGGTAATGATTTCTGCCAGTGTTCACCACTACCCATTTTAGGCATAATTCAATTGGATCCTGTGCATCAGTTGATGAGTACAAATGATGTTACAGACAGTGTAGTAAGGGAGAATGATAACGGACTAAGCACTAGTCCGGTTTAACCAGGGAAATAATTTATCTAGGTCACTCATGATGTTCACGACTCATTTAAACATAGATAAAATTACATGCTCAATTATTTCTGTCCTAGAAAATCTGCAAGTTAAGAGAATTTCTATATAAAAGTAGAAGGAAATTAATAACTAACAAAAAGTATAGGCTGATATGAGAAACAAGGTATAATTGTGGTAGTCATGAGGACATACTACTCAATCTGGTCTTCAAGAGAAGCTGCTAGAAAGAAAGTGCCAGCTGACATTCTGCAGCTGCTACACATAGGGATTTACTTTGGAGCCTGTGTTGCATCCCCTTGATTCTTCGGGGTGTTTCAGCCAATAATTGAGCATGTTTAGTGTACTAGAGTGGGGCTATTTCTGCCATCTGCTGAACCTTTCTATAAGGCAATTTTTGCTAGGGGACACCCTGTTGCCCTGAATAATATCTCATGGCTGCTCAACTCTTTTAGTTATTTTGTCAGTAGAAACTGTGTCTAGAGGACATATGTGATTATAATATTGAATTTAAGGTACATACATGAAGCAGTGCTTTTCTATGATTTCATGAAATAAACCCAAAATAGCAGCAGAGTTGGAGTTTTGAGCAGAGAATCAGTGGCTATTTTGATTGTTGTTTTCATCTGTTTAGGTTTTTCATTCCCCCATATTGCAGAAGTCCTAGTATATCCTTACTGTCAGGTATTAATCTCAGTAAAGCTGGAGAGGAGTTAAGGCATTAGAAATTAGAGTGGCAAATGTCTGATGGTGCAATTAGAAAATAATATGAAATACTCTCTTAAACACTTCTAGTGCGTTGTGTATTATTGTAGAAGTCTGAAATTAATAGTTCATGGTACAACAATGACGGCTCACTCTTTTTGTAAGCTTACATGGGTGAATAAGTGTTTTCAATTTTGCAGTTTTAAATACATAGGAATTTCTTCAGCACTGATATAATTGTCACTTCTTTTGTGTTTAGGGTTGCTTTTCAGTTAAAATCAAAAGTATCATTCATATTTGAACAGTCATTACTTTCTATAGTTCTGTTAAACGTCATCTCCAAGAATATTGTACAGATGGCATCTGTTGCATGAATACTAAGCAAAATTGTATTGCTTTCACTCGCACTTTGCCTACTAGAATTTGCATCATAAATATCATAAATGTAGAGCCTAGATATCACACAATGCGAAGAGATTTGTGAACACACTGATGCTTTTACTCCACCAAATGACAGACTCGACAATTTCATTTTCATTACTTCAGGTCTAGATAACTGGCTTTTGTTGTCCTGAGAATATGAATCTTTTTTATCTCTTCTATTTATAGGATTGAAATTGGTATCTTAGATTTGAACGTGAAATTATGGTAATATGAGGTTAAATGATTATTTGTTAACTTGCTAGGATTTTAAGAACATCTGTTTGTCTATTGCATGTAAGCACAGGTGTCTAGATAAAACTTACAGCTTTTCAAGTCACAGGGCAGAGCTTCACCCACTGTTGTGACCACATGACTCATGCCAGAACTGTGCCTACATGGAGACAGCTTACTCACAAAGATGAGCTCATTGATATGACAAATCCTGGATAGTTTTATTTCAGATTATTGGTTGGATAATAGTCAAAACTTCACATTACATCATATTTATATCAATGTATATTTTGTACTGAAAAGTGTAGTAATTCTTGAGAGTAGATATTTCTGCATCTATATAGCTTAAATATCAGGAGTAAGAATGGAGACTATCTTCATCAACATGACTATATTATTTGTTCGAGAAAACTCTTTCTGGGAGATGAGACTATAAACCAGTAAATAACTTTATGAATGCTTTAGAAATTTAGTGAATATTAATTTATCTGAATAATAGATTACTATATCAGCCTCCTTTTCAGGACAATGGATCACTCAACTGGGCAAGCCAGCTTTTTATCTAACAAGTGTTTTCTTGTCAACATTCAAATTTTGGCCTCCTTGTGTCCACCAATCCTATGCTGTCACCAATATGACAAATCTCAACTAAAGCTCCACAAGGAAGGACGCACCATAAATCACTGGACCGCAGACACCAACATCTTCTATCTGCCCTAAATGCCCCCTTTTGGAGATACTATTAAGACTCTGTCAAGCTGGTGCCCTTCTCTATGCATTAGAAAATAAGTTCAGCTTTGCATGATCAATAGGTAACTCTGGTACACTTAGAGAAGTTGTCCAACATATCACTTTTACATTTTGATAATTCTAAAGCATTTACAAAGTGCTTGCATGTTTATATTATTTTTAAATCCTACATTCATTAATCCTGTGAACCATACATTTATATCCACATTTTAGATGCAAGAAAACTGAGGCAGACAGGAGCTTATTGCTTGTCCAAGTTCACATAGTAAGTGGTAAAGATACACCTTGATCCTAGATAAAGATACACTATGATCCTAGATTTTCTAAGCAGGTCTGTTTCTTACATTTGTGTGTTTTGTGTGTGGCCAGCTACATAGATTGCAGGGCCTACAGCAATATGAACATGCAGATCTCTTTGTTCAAAAAGCAAAGAAATATGTTCTTAAAGCTACAAACATATAAAATTTTTAGTTTAAAAATATTCTATTACTCATAAAATGTAATAGAATAATAGGGGTACATGTAAAGGAAAGAAACTATAAATTAAAGAAATAATATTTTTGATGTCATAATTTTATACAATACCATGAAGAATAATACTTACTAATATTCTGTGTTGAATGATCTTTAGATTTGTGTGGATTACTTTTCCCAAAATGTATTTGTTTGATCATCAAAATTTATATTTTTAGCAATCTTATTTTTAACAGATAAATTGAAAACCACATTGGTTACTCTTGGTAAATTATTAATGTAAGTCACAAATACTTTTATAATCTTTTACTTCTGAAATGATCTTTCTGTGGTTGCAAATGCTACTGGAACTGGTGAGTATTTTTTAGGTTGTGACAACGTTAAGATAAATTTCTGACACTTTTTTTGAAACATGTTTTTCTGCATCTAGAACTTATTATTTTCACAGAATAATTATTCTTAAAATACTTAACTCTTCAAATGACTCAGTTTTGTGTAAAGCTAAATTTAATTTTAAATGTAAATTTATATAATGAATTGTAACATTTCCTTTGACATTTTCTGTAAGTCATAGGAGTCATACATGACATTGAAAGTGGCTTTATAATTTGAACAAAATTTGAAATACCTGTTTATGTATTTATTGGTGTATCTTTCATCACAAGGGAAACAATGATTTTAAGATTGCCTTTCTTGTCAGTAATTGCTTTATCCAAACTTCATTTGAAAGTAGTATTCTTTTCTATCAAACGTGACACCTTACATTTAATTCCTATTTCTAAGTCTGCAGATATACTTATTTTGTGATGTAACATTCCTTAAAACCTAACTGCCCAATATGCTTTACTGCAACCTACATGTTTGTGCTTTTATTTTTAAATAATTTATTGACAAAATTTACTGTCTGAGCACCAGAAATTCCCATCCTAGCACTCTGAAATAGAATAGATATTTGTGCAGATGCTGTAGAGATAGGAGTGGGGTATAGAAAAAGCTGGACTTAGACTGCAGATTCTGTGGGTGCCAGTGTCACCTCCATGCAGAGCCTCTCCTCCCTTTCCTGTGGCTGTGCAGCTGCTGCTTCTGTTTATGTGGGTGTCGTTGCCACTGCCAACATTGTAGGTCATTTGTTGAATGTGGACACCTTTCTTTTGGGATTTATGCTATACCAAATTCTTTCTGAGGCCACAAAGACTCCTGACTGAATAAAGGAAAGGTCATGTAGTAGGAAATATGAAAAGCAAATGTACATTAAAACTTCTCAGCATATTTTCTTACTACCAATTGTTGGCTATGATTTCATGATAGCAGGAGACTATAAACCCTGTGGACCTGGGGAAGCAGAAGTATAATAGAGCCTTTCTCCTACCTCATTCCTAGCTGAGAGTGACTTGCTTGATATTTTTCTGATTTTTAATGTGGAAAAAAATTGAAATAGCTACCAGAGACTATTTTTTTTTAAATTTGTAACATGTCTAGAGGATATCTAGACTTTGTTTTATTTTGTATTTTTATCCCAAGTACCTAGCACAATAACTGGAACATACAGGCACACAATACATAACGTTGAATGAATAAAGAGCTCATGACAATTTGATTGTGCTAATCATTACACAATGTCTACATATATCCAATAATCACATTGTATACCTTAAATATATGCAATCTTTATTTGCTAATGAATTTTTTTAATTTAAAAGTGTGTGAGTAGGCAGCTACTTAAATTGAACTGTTTAAGGAACCACAGTAACAGGAACATGTTGCAAACTCTAGAGAGCACCATTCAAATTCTTTTCTGTGGGATGATACTTCCTGTAGCAAAGTTCAGGGGAGAGCAATTTATATAAAATAAAATGTTCTTGTAGTCCCTGAAATTCTGCAATGGGCCCTGTGTGAAGTCTAGTCTCTGTTCCAAAAACCATTCCACTGTCCCAATGCCTAAGAGTCTAACATTCTTTCATCTGAATTTGGTTTTATTTTGTTTTGTTCTAAAATTATAGCTCCCTTAACAGAATGAAGATATATCTCTGTACATCTGGGTTACATGAAAGTTTTAGGTTCTTACAAATTTACCTCTGCTGAGAATAGTACTCCTGAAATGGGACCTAGAAAACCCATGAAACAAATGACTTTGGAACAGGGAAGAGAGTCAGTGAAAAAACAAACAGTAATAGGTCCCCCAAATACAAAAATTCCTCAATTTTATTTCTCTTCTTTGTGATAAAATTCCCTTAAGGAATACATTTTCCTTCAAGTTTCTAAACTATAAAGCACTTTAAACTCAGAGAAAGTATTTTATGTGAGTAGAACAGAGAAAGGCATGTTCTGTTTACACAGATGGGTAGGAGAAAAGGTGTACTGGCTGCTCCAAGGAATAGTTATTTATGCTCAGAAATCCTTGCTCCCATCTGCTGTTGTCAGTGGTGCTGTCAGAAGAAGGAGACTCAAATTCCAAGCAGCCAAGGCACATCAGTCGTATTTAGATGACTGAGACAGCCACTTTTCTGGGGAGCTGCTCATATGGCTTGCTTCTCAGTCTCCTTCTTGCTTATTGGTCCCATAGCACTACCTGTTAAATGCCTTCTGAGAATTCCACCATATCCACAAATTTGTACCTATAACTAGAGGGACCTTCAGAGTGTGTTAATTGCAGGCACACAAACAACTCAAATAGTTTTGAGAAAGCCCTAAATGGTACTACCAATGATAATAGAATTGCAAAGAGATCTCAGGAACTCTTCCAGAAATCTCTTACAGAGTCAGAGTACTGAAGCCCTAAGCATTCTGCAGATGTAATCTGAAGCAACCATTAGGAGCGCTCTCACCAGTACCCTAGCTTAACACACAACAACGTGATAACTTCAAGATCTTTAATCTGCTAATGGGCCTACTAGTGTCAATCTCAGCATGCGAGTGTATTTAACATAAGTAATTACTATCCATTTGCATTAAAATATAGTACTAATATCCAGCATGAATTGAACACTTAATATAAAAATTTACTTTTGCTTAAGCACTTTACATTCTTTGCCTTATAGAATACAGAAACTGGCAAGGTTGGTGCACTTATCTCCATTCTATAGTGGAATTAATTAAGGTTTCCAGAAATAAAATAAGTTTTGCAAGACCAAAAAATTGCTAAGTAGTGATCTAGAATTAGAGCTTCATTCATCCAACCCTAGAGCTTGACTTCTAACAAACGACATATTAGACTGATGCTATTAGCACTTCTTCAGATGTCTTTTTTTCTCTGACTAGTGGTTTGGGGCTTATACTAACAAATGTGCTTTCAGTCAATGCTCAAGGTAGCCAATTGCATTTTTTTTTTGTCTTCATGGTATTTGCTCTATGAAAAAGTCTTCTGGTCCAGAAATACTACCCAACAGAATTATATTGAATTAGATGGTTTCTGGGCACTAGCTATGTCTGCTGGCATCATTCTTGAGTCTTGATTTCCCATTTCTGAGTTAATTATATATTATCTCTATTTTTCATCCCATGATTTCTTCCAGTGGATTCTAAACTCTCACTAAAAACTATTAAAATTACTACCTTAAAATGGACATTTGTATGTTTCCTATTCAGAATGCTGTTTGAGAACCAATTTTCCCTTTACTGGACATGAATGAGGAAATATATAGCTTTAATTATTGTGGATCATCATCATCTTATTCATCTACAAGATGAGACAGTTTTAGGATAAAGCTAATATTATGGTTGTCAGAGCAAAAGAGAATAAGAAACTAGATCTTTGATGCCATTATTGAGCTTCTGGATCCACAAACTCTGTAGTGCATCCTATCTCTTATTTCCAGTTATGTGAGTAAATAAATTTCCTTATTGTTTATAACAATTTGAGAGGCATGAATTCAATATGCAAATGTAGGGGTACTAATTGATATAAGGTTTGGCATCAGACTGTGATGGGTTAACTGGGCAGGAAGTACAGGGTAGAGAACCGTCAGAATTGATCTTCAGGCTGGGAAGCTGATGATCTTTTTTAGGTGATGTGCAATGGCTTGCATTTTTACCTTTGCTTATTAGGACATAAAACATGGCTTGGAAGGGTACAGTATTGGGAGACTGTGAGAAAAATTCATGCTGTTGGAGAGTACTGATTACTTCCTCTGGCGTTCAGTGGGGTCTGACAAGCAGAGTAAGTTCAGGCTAAAAATGAACTGAATACCCACAGAGAGGAAAAAAAGAAGCACTGTTTTGCTAAGCAAGACCCTCCCTCTTATAGTCTGTATTCTTAGTTTAAAAATGATGCAATAATGTTGATCATGTTTGAATTTAAAAAGTAAAATTTCCTCCCTCATATTCAGTGTTATACAAAGAGAATTGGGAAGTAAGAGACTTAACAAAACATACAATCAGAACTAGACCAAGAAAGAACACCTCTGCCTTAGTATTCTCAACAAGACTCCTAACATTTACAGTTTGAACTGGCTTGCTAACTCTACCACTGGTCCATTATCACTGTGACCAGAGAAATGAAATGTTCAGAATGACTTAAATTAACCAGATCTTAATCCCTGGGCATATGAACAGACCAATGGATATTCATTGAATATGCAGATAGCCTTTGATAAAGGGGTGAGAGGATGAATTCTGGATCTATAATCAATACAGTTCTGCCACAGTTCACCACAGTGACTAACCAGCATCTATAAGCAACATTATTATCATATAAACATTTTCAAAAATTCCCTACTTCCTTTCCCCATAGAGACCATACAAAGTCTCATACCTGACCTGCTTCCAGCTACCCACATGAAGTATTGATCCCTAACTTGGAAAATGCATTAATTGTTCTTCTGAATATCAGCACAACTACTTACCTGGAAGGGCAGCAGAAAAGGCTGGCCCAAGAGATTTTGTGTGGTCATTTGTAAGGTCTGTGTAGTGTGAGAAAAGGCTATGGCAAGGGATACTAATTTAAAGCAAAGAGGAGCAAAAAGAGCCAGAGAGATAAACCAAACTTAATATTTTAAGGAAAGTCTAAACACTAAATACACACACACACACACACACACACACACACACACACACAGCCAAAATCAAAGCTAGAGGATATACTTAGTCAAAATTGCAGAAACGGGAAGTAAGACATTCAGAATAAAAGGCTGATAGAGACATGCCAACAGTTCCTTGAGGGATGCCCCACACTGTTGTTCAAACTCATTGAGCAGTGAGTGGTTTCCATCTCACCTAGAGCTATAGATGATCTAGAAATCTCTCTACTGCTGTCTTTCACCAGTCCATCTTCTACTCTCCCTACCACATACTTTACTCCAACCACTGACTTTCTTGTTGCTCTTGGCTTGGCTTGATTCCATCTCAAGGACTTTGCATTGTCTGCTTCCTATGTCTATATAATTCTGTTTACTTAGAGGTCTACATGGCTTGTTCCTGGATTGTCTTTAGATCTTCAATCCAAAGTCAGTTCATCAAAGAGGCCTAACCCTAGCCATTCTCTCAAATTTTTAATCATCTACCTCTCCATATTTCATGTCTTCTTTCACTAGTTCATCTGTTCCTTCCTTAGTTTTTACCACATATATTTTGCCTATTTTTAGTCTTTATTGCCAGTCTTCACCTCTAGAATGAGATCCATGAGGGATTTTTGTCTGTTTTGCTCACTTTTTTGTTCTTAAAACCTGAATTATGTTTACGCACAGTTAAACAGCACTCAATAAAAATGCATTGAATGGCCGGGCTCGGTGGCTCATGCCTGTAATCCCAGCACTTTGGGAGGCCGAGGTAAGCGGATTGCCTGAGCTCAGGAGCTCCAGACCAGCCTGGGCAACACGGTGAAACACTGTCTCTACTAAAATACAAAAAGTTAGCCAGACGTGGTGGCTTGCACTTGTAGTCTCAGCTACTGGGGAGGCTGAGGCAGAATTGTTTGAACCCGGGAGGGAGAGGTTGCAGTGAGCCGAGATCGCGCCACGGCACCCCAGCCTGGGCGACAGAAGGAGACTCTGTCTCAAAAAGCAAAAACAAACAAACAAACAAAAAATACATTGAATGAATGGATGAGTGAGCCAAGAGAGCAAAAGGAGCCAGAGGCAGGAAAAGTATTCCTTGATCTGCGATCACAGTGATCTCCTTCCAGAGAGAAGTAGCTACCAAAGGTGCCACTTCCTCAGAGGTATTCCATGTTACCCATTGTGATGTGCCGGTTGTAGCTCATTCAATAACTAAAAGAACATACAATAAACACTAAAACTATACAATATACAATAATTGTGGAGGAGTAATTATGAATTATGACAGAATTGTGAGAGAATAATTGTGGTGGGGAAGAAGTAGTCAGTAGTGGCAGTACCATCAAGAGAAACGCACTGTGTGAGGAAGACCAGAGTGTATCTATTTCTTGTACCATTATAGCTCTTTGTAATGCAGGCTCAGTACTTTAAAAGAATTCTCCACCCACCCATTAACATGAAAGAGGAGAACTTATTAAAGGAAATTCAGTCACTTCACTGAACTTTGCAGCCCAGAAATAATATCAACTCTACAACAGAGGGAAGGAGACAGAGCCCTGTCTTATGTCCTACCAACTTGAAAGTGCATTCATGTCCTCTCTTTGTCTAGTCTCTATGTCAGAGGATATGCCAGGCACTGTCTAGCCTCCCTTTCATTGCTGGAGACAGAATTCCTTATGTGATCCCAAGTCTGCTGGACACTCACTTTTCCACTCTGTAATTCCAAAACTGTAAGTAGCCCCTTTCTTTCAAAAAGATTTCCTGAGCCTCAAACTTTCCTCACTCCCTCCTTTCCACCCATAATGAACCTGGACTTGAATTTAATTTATGACAGTATAAAGAAGACTTGACTTAATTGTCACAGTGTTCTGAGGAGCCTCCAACAATGGTGGTGTCTACAACAAAACAAAAGGTTCAAAGCTGCTATAATTCCAACATCTTCTCTTAGTTCTAGGCCTGGTTCACTTTCAGTATGCTCTGTGGTATTTTTTGGTAGGGCATAGAAATCATTTTCTGTTTTCAAGGAAGACCCCAAAGGGAAAATCAGAAAATATAGAAAGCTAATGAGCATATTGACTAACAGTATTCAAGGTCCTCTCAAAGGAGAGGTGAAATGCAGGGAGGTAACTTTGTTCTTTTGCATGTAATTATTTTTGTTTCTATATCTTAAAAAAAGGTTTAAAGGGTTTAAAATTGGCCTTCATCTTGACTTATAAATTAATTTTGTCATTGCAGGCTCTTGAAGTACACAAGCTGCCTGCTTTTGTCTCTAGGCTCTGAGCTTGGAAAACATTCACATAAGGAGTATGCCTCTGCTCTCTTCCAACTTGTCATTCTATACTGGCCCAATGAAATTCTACTGTTGATGTTTTGAGGTACACAGTAAAGCTATTTTTGTCAAAGGCATAAAATTCTCATTATTTTTTTCTTTGTATGAGAGTAGCTTTGCTTTAAGTAGGAAGGTGAGGCTTTTAACCTGATGCAAACTTAATACTCTTCCAGACTTTAAAATTTAGAAAATTGTTTCAATTGATCAATTTATTTGATCAATTTCTTTGATCATAAGAATTCCAAGGATACAGATTCTCAGGTTCTACTTCTAGAGATTCTGATTCAGGAGGTCAGGTATGGGGTCTGAGGATCTGAATATTACCAGAGATCTAGGTCATAAGTTAGAAGACTTTGACCTCTAGAGCATATCAGAATGGAGCATGTAAAGTGAGAAATAATAAGGTATTTTTATTATATTTGTGTAACTCTTTTTACATAGGATTTTACTGTGTCCTTAACACAAACTTTTTCTCTTATAGTTCTGGAGGTCAAAAGCCCAAAATGGGTATCAGCAAGACCTTCTGAAGGCTCTTGGGAAAAAACTTTTTTCTTGCCTTTTCCAGCCTCTAGAGGATGCCCTCATTTTTTGGCTTGAGGCCCCCTTCCACCTTCAAAACTAGTAATGGCTGGTCTTTCTTATGCTGCATCACTCTGCCACTGTTATACAGGATATTAAAAAACACATACACAAAGTTAATACTTTCTGTTTGCAAGAGTGTGGAGAAACCAGTATAGTTATTGTAGTTAAGAGAGTCACTGGTACAGTCTCTACGGAAAGAAATCTGGTAGATCAAAGGAGTGAGCTAACACCCTAAAGAGAGCTATGAAAAATAAGTACATAAGTAAAAGGAAATAAAGTTTTGTTGACAACATTTTGTATTTAACTGATCTTGAAACTGAAGAAGTATATATCTCTTTTATGTGAGATAATAAATTACTTCACTAAGTGATTATAAATCATTTTCATTGATAGTTGAAAGCATACTAACTGATACAAATTAAAAAATATGATGAAATGTTTATATATGTGTGTTTGTGCACATGTAAATTTGGTGCTTCAAAAAACATATGCATTGTTATCATAATCATAAAATGAACAAAGTCAAAAATGTGGGATGTTTCAGTTTTCTTTTGTGAATGAGAATTCAGTTTGATTTAGATTCAAGAGCCATGCTTTTTTAATTTTTTAACTGTATGCCAAAAATGCAATTACAAAACATAATAATTCTGATGTCTTTAATAATTCTGGTGTCTTTAGTGATAAAAAAAACTGTCATCTAAATACCTCTGAACCATCTCTCTGACAGATAATATTTGGAGAACTAGAAGCTCAAAATGGAACATTATATAAAATGTTCCAGAATGAATGTTTTATATAGATATAGAGCATACTGGATATTGTCTCCTGATACCTTTGACATGGTTTGAAAAGCTAGGGTACTATGAAAAAGGCACCATCTGCTTTCTTTTTTGGGGTTCTAAACTTAGTTGGAAAAGTAATTAGAGACAAAGTGTATTTGCTGGGAAAAAAAAAAAAAAAAAGAACAAGAAGAATACATGATACTTCCAGACAAAGTATTTTTCTCTCAAGTAGTAAAAAGAACAAAAGATTTAAGATCAGAATATTGTGGCTTGAGTTGGCACTCTTCCACTCAGTAGGTGGCAGACAACAGTTAAGACAGTTAAAATGTAAGGCTGACTCCCTATAGGGCAACATGCGTAAAACATTTTTAAATAGTAATGTCTCGAACCAATTTCTGAACCTTAATGTAAGTGGAATTTCAAATGCTGTTTTGCATTATATTATGTATACCTTGATTCAAAATATTGTGACTTTTTGATATAAACAAAAATGATTAAATGAGTTAAGTAACTAGAAAGCAGATGGTGCTGTGAGACAAATTGGCCCATTATTGTTCCAAAATGCATAAAGCGTGCTTGTGTTTTCTATGAATATTGACATCCCTTATGACTTTACCAGTGGATAATTTTAGGATAGGAATCTGCAACAAAATATAATAAGAATGTTCTCATGTCCATAGTTACAGGCAAAATTTAAGGAGTTGGTTTTACCCTGCATAACTCCATACCTATCACTTATGCTAGGAATGGTCTTTCCTTAGGTACTTTGCATTAAATATTCCTACTTATCACCAACGAAAACAACAACACCACTTCCCAACAAGACCTATCACCCCTCATATTCTTATCACCCTTCATATTCTTTTCACCTTCTAACATGCTACATGCTTTACAAATCTTTATTTTCATTGTTTCACATGTATTTCCCGTACTATAATTCAAGCTCCATGAAGACAAAGAGGTTTGTCTGTTTTGTTCATTGAAATTTCTAAAACACCTAGAATAGTACCTCACACATATTGTTCCTCAGTAAATATTTGCTGAATGTTCAATATATGAACAACTCTTTTGATAAGCAGATATGTTACTAAAACATATTCCTGTGTTTTTGCATATATGTAGAAATGATAAAATATATCCAGGGAGAAATACAGTAATGGTGAATTTATATTAATGTAGATAAAAGTAGTAAAACATTGTATACAGAATTAGGATACCACAACCTGAAAAGCTTCACCTTCTTGTTTGCATGTTTGCATATACATGCATAGGTATATCTTTTAGGAAACAGAGGTATTCATATGTTGTGGGTCAGACTGATATTAGTTAATGACTATCCTATGACTTAACACATCCCTTCACCAGTTTATGCCTACTTGCATTTAGTAGAATGCCCAAAATGAGACATGTTCTTTAAGTGAATTATTTAATACATGAATGTTTTGTCTTCCAAATATGAAGAGAGTAAGTATAGATGATCCCTATATCCTTCCCAACTTATGAAATTATGTTTTTTCCAAGACCTTTTTTTCTGTTATGAAAGCATGTTTTCAAATTAATGCATTGAGTTTGGAGGTTATTTGGTTGGAAATATCGTACAATTATGTTTCTGCAATAAACAAGTTCCAGGGTGGGCTCAAAATCTGCCCTTTTTGAAAGTCAAGGTCCTGTGATGACTAGAATAAGGCTTTGGAACCAGATAAACCTGGATTAAAAACTCACTTTTGTCATTAACAATCTATGGACCTTCCTGATTCTCAATTTTCTCAATTATAAATGACCTATTTAAGAGCTGTGACAAAGGTTTATAGTGAAAATTAAATGAGATAGTGCATGCAAAGTACCTAATCTAAAAGTTGGGCACACAGTAAGTGCTAGATAAATGTTAGACTCTCTCTTCTCTTTTTCATATCCCTAATTCATTGTCATAAGCTATTTCTGTTTCTAGACAATTGATGCTGATTGATTCTTATTGAAAATGAGCAATCTCTATTGAAAATCTGAAACATGTCCCTAAATCACTGGAAGCATATTACCGTAATTGTAATAAAGCAAGGCTTAATCAGTTCTAATAATTACATCCTGGGCTATTTGAAACAGGGAATCATTATATTTCTCTTGGATGCCTTTTAAACATAATTATCCTACTTGTATCAACTAACATATTCAGACAAAAAAGACTTGTCTGCTCATGTATTGATGCAATCCAATTTACTTCTTACGTACAACAAATTGGATGTAAAAACAGTCATTTTTCTTAAGTGTTAACAGTGTGGTACCTAACTCATGGACAATGACTTGTGATTTTGTTGCTATATTTGGACTAAAGAAACTGCCATTAATACACAGTCAGGGAGCTACTTGCATATTCACTGACAGCTTTCTAAATTACAGGATAATTCTTTTGGCCTTGACTTATTTGTTTTTCCCTTTTCTTTTTGCCTCATATATTGAATGGTGCTATAGCCTAAGTGTTTATGTCCTCACAAAATTCATATGTTGACACCTAATCTCTAATATGGTGGTATTAGGAGGTAGGGCCTGTGGGAATTAATTAAGTCATGAGGCTAGAGAACTATTCATGGATGGTTTTAGTACTCATAAAAGAGGCCCCAGAGTGCTGCTTTGTCTCCCTCCACTTTGTGAGGACACATCGAGAAGGGCCAATCTGAACTTGGAAGCAGGTCTTCACCAGACATTGAATCTGCCAGCACCTTGATCTTGGACTTCTCAGCTTCCAGAACTGTGAGGAGTAAATTTCTGTTGTTTATAAGCCACCCAGTTCATGGTAGTTTGTTATAGCCCCTCAAATGGACTAAGACAAATGATATTCATTTTTTATCTATTGTCCCAAATTTGACAATCTGTATGTCTTCAGGATTCTAAGTATGTTTAAAGTCACCAGACTACAATTTACGTCTGAGTACACTAAAATGGCTATGAAAGACATGAGATGACATAACAAATATTATTTTGTAAGAACACTGTAGGAGCAGATGGATTTAAATTGATAATTCTATACTTCCTTATATCCTTTAATATTGACAAGAGTGAGCACATGGATAAGGATGTATAGTTTACCTAAGACTTGCTTACAGTGCTTATATATTACCTTTATATGATTTGCATCTCATTCATCCCTGAGGTCAACAGCATCATTATCCCATTGTACATGTAAAGAAAACTGACTCTCAAATAAATAAAATGGTGGCTTAGCTTATTTGTCGTGTAAGTGATAAAGTTAGGACTAGAGCTCATTTATTTAATGCCACATATTATCATGTTTAAATTATTAACTATTCTCTCTACTCTGTCCATCTCAGGACACTACATTGACTTGTATCAGTAGTCTTCTTCCATTAAAAAAAATTAGAGAAGGACACTGTAAAAGCTATTGAATTTTTATCATCATTTGTTAAGACAAGAAAAATGTTTAAACTATAATAATTCTGTCCCAAATGAGGAGTACAACTGTGTAATAGAAAACTCTATTTAATAATAAAGCAAAAATTAGAATTGTTTAAAATTGATTATGGAAGGGTGTTTTTCAGTTGCAAATACTAAGCTATACAATATTTCAACATCACTTTTCTACTGCTCACCATACTCTTACACCTACCTGCTTTAACTACCGCTGGTCAGTCCTTAGGAATACACGGCCAGTCCTTAGGAATGTTTAGCTCTCTATATACTTTGATTAGCAGGAATATAGGGCAGAGGTTTACTATGGGTTCTGCCGATAGATTTACTTGTATTCCTGGCTCTAGTATTTACTAGTTGTTTTGTTTAGGGAGGATCTCAGACATTTCTAGTTGAGCAGACTTTCCAGGGGTGACCTTTCCCCTTCCATTCAATTTGTGCCAAAGATGAAGCTCTGATACTGCCTGATTTTCAGGTAGCTTATTCTGGCAATTCTCCTACAGGATGGATAGCAGGAGCAGGCCAGGGGCATGGGCTAGATACTGTGAGCGGGTCAGATGACAACGAGCCAGGAGGGACCCCATCTGGAGCTTATTCTCTGAGTTTGATAAATTATTATTATTATTATTATTATTATTTTAATTATATTATAAGTTCTAGGGTACATGTCCACAACGTGCAGGTTTGTTACATATGTATACATGTGCCATGTTGGTGTGCTGCACCCATTAACTCGTCATTTACATTAGGTATATCTCCTAATGCTATCCCTCACCCCTCCCCCCACCCCACAACAGGCCCCGGTGTGTGATGGTCCCCTTCCTGTGTCCAAGTGTTCTCATTGTTCAATTCCCACCTATGAGTGAGAACATGCGGTGTTTGGTTTTTTGTCCTTGTGATAGTTTGCTGAGAATGATGGTTTCCAATTTCATCCATGTCCCTACAAAGGACATGAACTCATCATTTTTTATGGCTGCATAATATTCCATGGTGTATATGTGCCACATTTTCTTAATCCAGTCTATCATTGTTGGACATATGGGTTGGTTCCAAGTCTTTGCTATTGTGAATAATGCCACAATAAACATACGTGTGCATGTGTCTTGAGAGCAGCATGATTTATAATCTTTTGGGTATATACCCAGTAATGGGATGGCTGGGTCAAATGGTATTTCTAGTTCTAGATCCCTGAGGAATCACCACACTGACTTCCACAATGGTTGAACTAGTTTACAGTCCCACCAACAGTGTAAAAGTGTTCCTATTTCTCCATATCCTCTCCAGCACCTGTTGTTTCCTGACTTTTCAATGATCGCCATTCTAACTGGTGTGAGATCGCATCTCATTGTGGTTTTGATTTGCATTTCTCTGAAGGCCAGTGATCATGAGCATTTTTTCACGTGTCTGTTGGCTGCATAAATGTCTTCTTTTGAGAAGTGTCTGTTCATATCCTTCGCCCACTTTTTGGTGGGGTTGTTTGGTTTTTTTCTTGTAAGTTTGTTTAAGCTCTTTGTAGATTCTGGATATTAGCCCTTTGTCAGATGAGTAGGTTGCAAAAATTTTCTCCCATTCTGTAGGTTGCCTGTTCACTCTGATGGTAGTTTCTTTTGTTGTGTGGAAGCTCTTTAGTTTAATTAGATCCCATTTGTCAATTTTGGCTTTTGTTGCCATTGCTTTTGGTGTTTTAGAGATGAAGTCCTTGCCCATGCCTATGTCCTGAATGGTGTTGCCTAGGTTTTCTTCTAGGGTTTTTATGGTTTTAGGTCTAACATTGAAGTCTTTAATCCACCTTGAATTAATTTTTGTATAAGGTGTAAGGAAGGGATCCAGTTTCAGCTTTCTATGTATGGCTAGCCAGTTTTCCCAGCACCATTTAACTCAGCTCTGCACCAAGCGGACCTAATAGACATCTACAGAACTCTCCACCCCAAATCAACCGAATATACATTCTTCTCAGCACCACTTCACACTTATTCCAAAATTGACTACATAGTTGGAAGTAAAGCACTCCTCAGCAAATGTAAAAGAACAGAAATTATAACAAACTGTCTCTCAGACCACAGTGCAATCAATTAAGAAACTCACTCAAAACCGCTCAACTACATGGAAACTGAACAACCTGCTCCTGAATGACTACTGGGTACATAATGAAACGAAGGCAGAAATAAAGATGTTCTTTGAAACAAATGAGAACAAAGACACAACATACCAGAATCTCTGGGACACATTTAAAGCAGTGTGTAGAGGGAAATTGATAGCACTAAATGCCCACAAGAGAAAGCAGGAAAGATCTAAAATTGACACCCTAACATCACAATTAAAAGAACTAGAGAAGCAAGAGCAAACACATTCAAAAGCTAGCAGAAGGCAAGAAATAACTAAGATCAGAGCAGAACTGAAGGAGATAGGCACACAAAAAACCCTTCAAAAAATCAATGAATCCGGGAGCTGGATCTTTGAAAAGATCAACAAAATTGATAGATCGCTAGCAAGAATAATAAAGAAGAAAAGAGAGAAGAATCAAATAGACGCAAGAAAAAATGATAAAGGGGATATCACCACCGATCCCACAGAAATACAAACTATCATCAGAGATTACTATAAACACCTCTACGCAAATAAACTAGAAAATCTAGGAGAAATTATTTTTCTATTTCTATACCTGTTATTCAGACCTGGTCAGTTACCAAGTGTTTCTTTCACGAAGAAAGTTTAAGCTATTCTTGAAAGTTTTGTTTTAAGGTTTATGAGCATTATGTCCCCAGGCCAGGTTGCATCGTGCTGCTAAGTGACCTGTGGTGTAGGCCTTGCAAGATGATTGAGTGGAACCTATGGCCGTCATTAATCTTATAGCCATGATATGTCTCTTGTAGTGTACTGCTCTAGTACAATGTTCTTAGGCAATCTGCTTGAGCTCTGTATGTCCCATTTTCATCTTCTGCAAGAAAGCAATAATAAATGTATCTCTAAGATTTCTGTCAAAAACACAAAAAAGGTAGCCAGTTTAAGAAGAAAGATTTAAGATGCTTATAAAATCTATTAAATAAAAAAAGGAAACAGGTTTAGGTTGAACTTTCAGAAACCAGTCAAGCCCCAGAATTTTCCTGTGTCTCCTACGTTTCTCCATTATGTGGAAAACTGATATGGAGGTATAGTAAACCACGGCATTAGAAAGGTTCTGCCCTCTGACCCATGTGATGGATGCCACCAAAATATAAGCCTTGTACCTTGCCACTCTCCCATATAATTCTGAGTTCTAATTATGTGCAAATGCATCAAATTGACAAACTCTCAAAAAAATGGAAAAAAACGATTTCAAGGGAGCTCCAAAAAAGTAACATTTCAGCTTCCCAAAGAAAGCACAATAAAGAGAAATAAGAATTGCTGTCAAAGCAGCCAATCTATGGCATCTACCACCACAACAGTGCATACTGTGAAGTTCTGTTTGGCTTCTCACATGAGATAATACATATGACATTCTTGAGCCATGGTTTATGTAAAGTCCTAAAAGTTTCTAGCTATTATCATTAATATTAAAAATATTATTGCTTTTGGCCAACTAGCCATATATGTCCACTCACTAGTTTCTTTTTGCAGAGCCTAAATAGACTTTTCAAAAATCACTGTACTAAACCATAAGGGAATAATACAGAAATGATGGTTACAGAGACTATCAGATACACAAACCAAAAATACAGCTTATTTTTTAAAGCAAAAGTAAACACAACTTTTACCATCTACTCCTTGGCTCCATAAGCTTCATAAGCATTATGGCTCATTTCTGTTCTGTCCCAACACCTAGCTTTCCTCCAGTATGGAATCTAAAAAGTCAAACTCATAGAAGCAGAGAATAGAATGATGGTTACCACGGCCTGATGGGAAGGCGGAATTGAAGAGATATTGGTCAAAGGATGCAGCATTTCATTTAGAAGGAATGAGTTCTAGTTTTGCTTGTTCTTAAACATTACATTAATGAAATCATACAACATAGAGAGAGTGTGTATGTATGTGTGTGTGGCTGGCTTCCTTTTTAAATCAACATAATACTTTTAAAATTAATCCATATTCTGTATATATCATTAGTGTATTCCTTTTTTGCTGATTAGCATTGCATTCTATAAATATACAATATTCTATTATTTATTTACCTTTTAATTTTCATGGAGTTGTTTCCAACCCAAATTATAAACAACTATTGTAAAGAAAGATACTGTCAATATTCTTGTATACTCATTTTTGTAAACGTGTTTCACAAGCTTATTTTGTGTAAATACTGAGAAATTGAATTACTGGATTATAAAATAAGGAACAAATTTATAGGAAATGGAAGACCAAACTAATTTCTAATGTGATTTTGCCATTGGGTACTTCCACCAGCAATGTATGATGATTTTTGGCTGCTCAACATTTTTACCAACTTTTGTTGTCACTATTACTTTTAATTATTGCTGATCTAGTGGCTTTGAAATTATACCTCATTGTGATTTCCAATTTGCAATACTAAGATGATTAATAATACTGATCACTATTTTATGAACTTAACCATTAAGTATATATTGTCTGTGAAGTTTCTGCCTACTGTAGAATTTTTGAGTTGTTTATCTCATTTAAAGAGTTTTAAAGAATATGTTCTACAGAAATACATAAATACAAGTTCTTTGTCAGATACTTGCATTATAAATCATTTCTCCCAGTCTGTGTCTTGAATTTTCATTTCCTTAAACATGTCTCTCGATGAGCATAAGTTCTTAATTTTATGAAATTCAATTGATCATTTTCTTATCTTTCATTTCATTGCTGTTTTCTGTCTGAGAAATCTTGCCTACCACAAGGCAATAAACTTATTATTTTATGTATTTTTCTAGCAGTGTTATATATGAGCTTTTAAATTCAAGTTTAAGGTAAACAATAAATTAATATTTTTATGTGCAGGGCGAGGTAGAATTTCAAAGTTTAATTTTTCAATTTCTCTCCCACCATTTGTTGAATATACTCTTCCTTTTGCCTTAATTTTCATGAAACTTTTGTTAAAATTAATTGACCATATATATGTGATTATTTTTCTGGACACTTTCTTCTGTTTCAATAATTTATTTTCCAGTAAATCAACTTACACCAACATCATGTATTAAAAGTAAGTATAGAAATGAAAGATCAAGTCTTTCAAATATATTCCTCTTTTAAAAGTTATTTTTGCTATTGTAAGTCACTTGTATTTCTTTATTAAAAACATTCAGTTTCAATAAAAAGACCCACTGGAATTTATATTAAGATTGCATGACATCCATAGATCAATTATAAGATAGCCCTCAATGATCCATGCCCTTGTATAATCACCAAACCTTGAGTGTGGGTGAGACCAGCATGTTAGAAGGAATATCAATGTCATGCGTATGGAATATTGCAAAAGTAAAAAAAAAAAAAAAAAAAAAAAAAACAAGAAATTAAGATCCCTAGTCAGTTGACTTCGAGTTAATCAAAAAAGATATTATGCTAGGTGGGGCTACCTAATCAGGCCTGCATTTTTATAAAGAGACTGGAGCCTTCATTTAGGTCAAAGAGATTTGCCTGTTGGTCTGGAAATAAGCAAGTCAACATGGAAATAAGCAAGTCAACATCAGTTTTATAACTGCAAGGAAGTTAATTCTGCCAACAGTCACGAGTTTAGATGATGGCTCTTAACTCAGATGAGACCACAGCCCTGGCTGAGACCTTTTTTGAACCTTTTCCTTTTTTTTTTCTTTGAGTCAATATTTTGCTCTACTACCCAGTTTGAAGTGCAGTAGGGGCGATCATGGCTCACTGCAGTCTTAAACTCCTGGACTCAAGCAATCCTCCTGCTTCAGCCTCCTGAGTACCTGCGACTACAATCATGCACAACCTTGCATTTGAAGTGCAGTTTGAAGTGCGGTAGGGGCGATCATGGCTCAGTGCAGTCTTAAACTCCTGGACTCAA
The DNA here is from genome assembly GCF_000001405.40 of Homo sapiens. Lineage (NCBI taxonomy): Eukaryota > Metazoa > Chordata > Mammalia > Primates > Hominidae > Homo > Homo sapiens. The sequence continues at coordinate 45,912,215 of NC_000004.12, read as the reverse complement.
GCAATCCTCCTGCTTCAGCCTCCTGAGTACCTGTGACTACAATCGTGCACAACCTTGCCCTGCTTCTTTATTACAGCTTTATGAGACCCTGTGAAAAAGATCTATTTCGGGTATGCCAAGACACTGACTCATGGAAGCAGGATATTACGTGTTATGTTGTTTTAAGGTGGTAAGGTTGTGGTAATTTGTTCTGCAGCAGTAGAAAATTAATAGAAGTAATTGTCTTAACAGGAATATAGAAATTTTTAAATGGTAATAACTAGGCAAGAAGGCAGGATCATGGGAATTCCACACAATATCAAGAGGTGTAGTTGAAGAATTAAATTGGCAAAACTTTTCCTAAAGGTCAATAAAAATAAAAAAAAAAAAAAAAAAAAAAAAAAAAAACCATAAACCAAGAGTCTAAAGTTAGGTGAAAAATCATAGAGCAAATTGAAAGCCAAGAACAAGAAAAACTAATGAGATCTTAGTGAGCAATTAGGTAAACTGGGTAAAAAAAAAAAATCAGAAAAAGTAAGCATGCTTTGGCATCTGTGTTTTTAGCCTATAATGTGCTCATGAACAAGAAGATGGCAGGTAGTCATCCTACAGCGCAATTACCCCAGGCTCTACAATGAAAAGAACAGTCAGTTTTAGAATATTATTCATAGATGGACACTGCAGCAGAGGAAGACAGAGCTACAGGAAACACCATACATGATAGATACGTGGATGAACAATCTAAGAAATATGCTAGAAAAGAGAAGCAAAATGGTGAAGAGGTAGAAAACAATGAAGGTTTGGAAAAATACAGACAATAGAATTCAAATATCTTGGAAATATGATTTGCCTGAGAAAACATCATACAGAGGTAAATCAGAAGTGTGATAGAATAGCATTTATCAAAAGTGATTAAAGATATGAGTTTGAAGCTAGAAGAACCCATTCAAATTCCAAGATTATAGCCAAGATTAACTATAGGAAATTCTTTACTATAGTGTTTAAACAGAAAGCATAAAACAGGACTCCAACAGATATGTAGTCTGAAAACCTTACATTAGCTACCAAAGAAAACTATTTAGTCTTCTCAAGCATTCCCTCAACAAAATTAAATATTATTGATTGGGAGATATGAGAAATATATTTCTGTCTCTACACCCAGTTGTTAGATTTGGTCAGTAAGAATAACATTTATTTTTGTCCCCTCTCCTATTTTGATGAATATTGAAAAGGAAACTTTTCTCTCTCTAACCCTATCATTTTACTTGCTCTTGCATGCAAAAAGAATTTTCAATATTAGTTGTCAGAATGTGACATACATTCTTCCTTATTTTTCAGTTGAGCCACTGTGTATTAAAATTTAGTGCTCATAAAAAAAACCCAGAACTTCTAACCCTCTTCTGTGTGGATACTGAATGAGAGCCAGACCCTTCTAAGTAATCTGACTCTTGTTAGTGTCTGAAGCTACACATGACACTCATGCTGTTTCCTGCCTCATATAAGATTAAAAAGATTAAGGTCTCCCTCATGTCCCACTGCCACCACCCCTCACCATGCCCTAATCCTATACACAGACAGAAGCTCAGAGGCCTCTTTCTTGCTGTCTTTGTCTAACTACACTGACTTAAGCAGCACAAGCCAAAACATGGATAGCCAGTCTTTTAACACCTCAGAAGGTATGCAGACAAACAAGCTTTCTTGTAGTCTATATAAAACTTTTCATTTAATGTTTTTGCAAACAAATATTTTATTTACATATTTTTGAATGGATGATATGCTCACTTGGTTCACAATTCAATTGAATTTGAATACATTCAAATTTATTAGGAATAAAATACCAGGCACTCACCCATTCTCCCCCATTATTCAGATCCCCTTCATAGAACCACATCATACATTATGCCATTAGTGTCTCTTTTACACTATCATAGATATTTTATGTAAATTCAGGCAAACACACACTCATAAATTTATCTGAATATGATTTTCTACCTTTGTTTCTAAAAATTATGACACTCTGATACTCTTCTGCATTGTGCTTTGTTTCCCTCTTTTTTACTTATACATGCATACAGACATGCACACACAAGTTGGCTGTTTGTCAACTAGTAGTTTCCTTTTTAAATAGCACAAAATTGGATTGTATATGATTTTTTTAAGTAACCCTATGGATTATTATTTAGATTATTTCCCAACTTAGTTATAACTAAAAAACATAGTTATTAATACATAATTTTACATAAATGTAAGTGTATTTGTAGTATAAATGTATAGAAATTGAATTTCCTGGTAAAATAAATTTGCATTTGTAAGTTTGATAGATCCTACCAGATTTCTTTCTCCAGAGACTATTCCAATTCACTGTCTTAACCACAATAGCTATACTTGTTTATCTTTCCGGCTGCAAACACAGTATTATCTTGTTATAAAAATTAGCATTTTAATAAAATGATTTATCTTAATATAATTTGTACTTGTCTTATTAGAATTGAGGCTGAGCTTTTGAAAATATGTTTAAGAGTCATTTATACTTTGTTTTATCTGAACTCTCCTTTGCCAATTCTCTCTTGGGTATTTTTGTTATTAATTTGTAAGAACATTTTATATATTAAAGGTATTATTTCTTTATTGTATAATTAGCAAATGTTTTCTTATTTTGTCATTTATCTTTTTACTTTTTATGTTATGGTTTTGAGCAATGTTATTTTTTTAATTGGTCAAATTTATCAATTTTATCTTCTATAATTCATAACATTCGTGTCATACTTTCGCCGTGATTTCCTCCCATTTTTCTTCCCCAAATTTCATCTCTCATGATTTCTTCAAGTTTTGTTATAAAGTCATATTTTACAACTGAAATTGATCCATTGGAGTTATTTTTGTGTTGGGTATAGGGGAAGGGTGAAGATTTAATCTTTTCACTGAATTAGCTACTTTGTTTATCTAATAAAATTGTTATATAAACCATAATTTTCTCACTTTTTTTAAAAGAAACTCCTCTTATTGGTTAGAGGAATTACAACAAAATACCATGACTCAGTGGCTTATAAACAACAGAAGTTTATATCAGACCTAAACACCTACAAAAGGCCCTAACGTCTATACTACACATTCATACAACATTAGATTATGTTTCAACATATGAATTTTGAGAAATACAAACATTCATATCATAGCATGGACCTTCTGTATGGTAAGTGTAAATTTCATTTACTTCTAGACATTCTTTTCTGTTTTTTTTTTTTGTCTCTATGTCTGTACATACACCAGAACCAAACTGCAAATATGACATTAAAATATTTTTTATTTCTAAGTTTTATGGATGCATAATAGTTGGAAATATTTAAGGTGAATGTGGTATTTTGATAAGATGTGAAATGATCAAATCAGGGTAATTAGGATATTTATTACTTCAAACAGATATCATTTCTGTGTGTTAGGAACATACCAATTCTACTCTTCTTTTTATTTGGAAATATACAATAAGTTGTTAACTATAGTTGCACTATTATGCTACCAATCATTAGATCTTATTCCTTCTATCTAATTGCATTTTTGTAACTTTTGCATTACCCAGCCCTTCTTTATTTCTCCATCCCCATTTACCCTTTCCAGCCTCAGGTAACCATAATTCTGCTCTCTAGCTCCATGAGATCAATTTTTTTAGCTCCCACATATGAGTGAAAACATGAGGCATTTTTCTTTCTGTGTCTGACTGGTTTTACTTATCATAACGTCCTCCAGTTCCAACCATGCTGTAGCAAATGACAGAATTTCATTATTTTTTATGCATGACTGATATTTCACTGTGTATAATGTACCACATTTTCTTTATACATTCATTGTTGAGGCATTCCATATCTTTTTATGGAATATCCATTGTTGAGGTTGATTCCATATTTTCGCTCTTTTGAATAGTGCTGAATAAACATGGGTGTGTAAATATATCTTCAGTATACTGATTTTCTTTCTTTTGGATATATATCCATTTGGGAGATGGGTGGATCATATGGTAGTTCTACTTGTAGTTTTTGAGGAGTGTCCATAGTGGTAATACTAATTCACACTCCCACCAACAGTGTATGAGCATTCCCCTTTCTCTGCATCCTTGCCAGATTTTTTTTTTGTATTTTTGGTAATAGCTATTTTACACAGGGAGAGATGATATCTCATTGTAGTTTAGATTTGCATTTCTCTGATTATTAGTGATACTGAGCATTTTTCATATCCCCTTTGGCCAATTGTATGTCTTCTTTGAAAAAAAATTTTGAAAAAAGTCTATTCTTTTTTTTTCAATTTTTTAATCAGTTTTTTTTTTTTTTTTTTTTTTTTTTTTGCTATTGAGTTGTTTGAATTCTTTACATATCCTGGTTACTAATCCTTTGTCAGTTGAATAGTTTGCAAATATTTTCTCCTCTTCTGTGAGTTGTCTCTTCACTTTGTTAATTGTTTCCTTTGCTGTGCAAAAGCATTTTACATGATGTAATTTCATGTGACCATTTTTGCTTTGGTTGCCTGTGCTTTTCAGATCTTACTCAATAAATCTTTTCCCAGCACAATGTCCTGGAACATTTCTCCAAATGTTTTCTTCTAATAGTTCCAAAATTTGAGGTCTTACATTTAGGCCTTTAATCCATTCTGATTTGACGTTTTTAATGTGACAAGAGATAGTTGTCTAGTTTTATCCTTCTGTATATGGATATGTAGTTTTCCCAGCACCACTTACTGAAGAGACTGTTCTTTCCCCAATTTATAATATTGGTGCCTTTGTTGAAAATGAGTTGGCTGCATGTGTGTTATTAAAATGTCAGGGATCAAGTCTAGGTCCCATTGTTTGCCACACAGAATGCCAATTACGGAGACAACAAATATTGCCAGAGAAGAATAACTGATTGAGTGCTGCAGCTATAGAGAATGAGGGTTCAGTCTCAAATCTTTCTCTCTGACTGCCTAAAATTGGGGGATATAGATAGCAGGGGAAAGAGGGAAACAGGAATTAGGGAGAGGTAAGGAAGTAATAATGATGGAGGGATCTGGCATCTCATTGCCTGGATGTGGTGCTCTGATGAGTTTTAATTCCGTGCCTGAGGGTTGGTTTTCTGAAGAAGGAACACAGATGAGACAAATGTTAAGTTTTAAGACTCAAAGGGTCAATCATTACGTTTGTCCAAAAACCCATAAATTTTGCTTTTATGGGACACTTGAGCCAGTTTCATATCTGTGGATTATTTAATGGGTTTCTATTCTGTTCCATTGATCTATAGGTCTGTTTTTAGGCCAGTACAATGGTGTTTTAATTACTATAGCTCTGTAGTATAATTTGAAGGCAAGTAATGTAATGCCTACTGCTTGGCTTTTATTGCTCAGAATTGATTTCGCTATTCTGGTTCTTTGGTTAATCTATATAATTGTCATATATGGACTTTGTCATGTTCTTTGGTTGATCTATATAATTTTAGAATTATTGTTTCTGTAAAGAATATCATTGGTACATTGGTAGGGATTGCATTGAAACTGTAGATTGCTTGGGGTAGTATGGACATTTTAACAATATTGGCTTTTTCTAAACCATGAACATGGACTATCTTTCCATTTGTGTCCTCTTTAGTTTCTTTCATCAATGTTTTACAATTTTCATTATAGTGATCTTTGACTTTTTTGGTTTATTTCTAGTTTTTTTGTAGTTATTGTAAATATTATTAATTTCTTGGTTTCTTTTTTAGATTCCTTGCTGCTGACATATAGAAATGCTACTGATGTTTCTTTGTTGATTTTGTATCCTGCAAATTTAGTGAATTTTTTATATTAGTTCAGATAGATTTTTGTCTTTAGGATTTTAAAATATAAGATTATATTATTTGCAAACAAGGATAATTTGAGTTATTTCATTCTTATTTGGATGCCCATTTTCTGTCTCTTGCCTAATTATTTTGGATAGAACTTCCAGCATGAGGTTGAATAAAACTGGTGAAAGTGGGCATCCTTTTCTTGTTCAAGATCTTAGACAAAAGGCTTTAAATTTTTTTCCTATTCAGTTGATACTAACTGTGGGTTTGTAAAATATGGCCTTTATTAACTTGAGGCATGTTCCATCTTTAAACAGTTTGTTGAGAGTTTTTATCATGAAGGGATAACTTTTACTGAATGCTTTTCTGATATCGATTGAAGTGATCACATGTTACTTTTCTTCATTTTGTTGATGTGATGTATTCAATTTATTGACTGGAATATGTTGAAACATCTTTGCACTGCTGAAATGAATCCCAATTGATCATCATGAATGATCTTTTTAATGTGTTATTCAATTTTCTAGTATTTTTGTTGAGGGTTTTTCCATCTGTGTTCATTAGAGATATTGGCCTGTAACTCTATCTATCTATATCCCCCAATTTTAGGCAGTCAGAGAGATTTTTTTCGTTGTTGCATTTTTGTCTACTTTTTGTATCAGAGAGATACTGGCCTCATAGAATGAGTTTAAAAGTATTTGCTATTTGATTTTTTGAAATAGTTTGAGAAGGATTGGCCTTAATTCATCTTTAAATGTTTGCTAAAATTCAGTAGTGAAGTGATCAGGTCTTGTGCTTTTCTTTGATAGAAGAATTTTTATTTTTGTTTCATTACTTCTTATTGTTGTATTCAGATTTTATATTTCTTCAAACTTGCTGCATTGTGTGAGTCTAGAAACACATACATTTCTTCTAGGTTTTCCAGTTTATTGACATATGATTGCTTATAATTTTCTCGAATGATCCTTTCAATTTCTGTTGTGTCAGTTGTAAGCTCTCCTTTTTGCTTCTGATTTTACTGATTTGGGTCTTTTACCTTTTTTATTTAGGTGGACTGGCTAAAAAATTTGTTGAATGATATGGTTTGGCTCATGTCCCACCCAAATCTCATGTTAAATTGTGACCCTGACTGTTGGAGGTGGGGCCTGGTGGGAGGTGATTAGATCATAAGGGTGGATTCTAATGGTTCAGCACCATCGCCTTAGTGCTGTCTCTTGATAGTGTTCTCATGAGATTTGGTTGTTTAAAAGTGTGTAGCAACTCCACCATTGTTCTCTTCCTGCTGTTCCAGCCACGTACGATGTACCAGCTTCCCTTTTGCTTTCTGCTATGATTCTAAGTTTCCTGAGGCCTCCCCAGCTATGCTTCCTGTATAGCCTGCAGAACTATGAGCCAATTAAACCTCTTTCTTTATAAATTACCCAGTTTCAGGTAGTTCTTTATAGCAGTGTGAGAGTGAACTAATACAGAAAACTGGTACCAGAGAAGTGGGGCATTGCCACAAAAGATACCTGAAAATGTGGAAGCAGAAGTTGGAATGGTATGGAGGGTGCAGAAGAACACATAAAGATGAGGGAAAGTTTGGAACTTTCTAGAGATTTATTGACTGGTTTTTACCAAAATGCTGATAGTGATACGGATAATAAAGTCCAGGCTAAAGAGGTCTCAGATTGAGATAAGAAACTTATTGGGAACTGGAGCAAAGGTAACTCTTGCTGTGCTTTAGCAAAGAAACTGGTAGCATTGTGTCCCTTCTCTAAAGATCTGTGGAAATTTGAACCTGGAAGAGATGATGAAGGGCATCTGTTGGAAGACCTTTCCTAGCAGCAAAGTGTCTGAGATATGCCCTGGCTGCTTTTAGCAGTGTATACTCATATGTGTTCACAAAGAGATGGTCTGAAATTGGAACTTACATTTAAAAGGGAAGCAGAGCATACAAATTTGAAAAATTTCCAGCCTGACCATGTGGTATAAAAGAAAAATCCATTTTCTGGGGAGAAATTCAAGCCAGCTGCAGAAATTTGCATGAGCAAAGAGGAGCCAAATGTTAATAGCCAAGACAATGGGGAAAATGCCTCCAGAGCATTTTAGAGATCTTTGTGGACGCCCCTCTCATCACAGACCTGGAGGCCTAAGAGGGAAAAATAGTTTTGTGGGTGGGGCCAGGATGCTGCCTTGTGCAGCCTTGGGACATGGCACCCCACATCTCATCTGCTCCATTTCCAGCCATGGCTAAACAGGCTCCAGATATGTCTCAGGCCTCTGATCCAGAGGGTGCAAGCCATAAGAAACCTTGGCAGCTTCCATGGGATATGTTGTTGGGCCTGTGGGTGCACAGAGGGCAAGAGTTGAGGCTTGGGAGCATCTGCCTAGATTTCAGAGGATGTATGGAAACACCTGGATGTCTAGGCTGCAGGAGTGGAGCTCTCATGAGAACCTCTCTAAGGCAGTGCAGAAGAGAAATGTAAGGATTGAGCCCCCACAGAGAATCCCCACTGCCTAGTGGAGTGTGAGAAGAGGGCCACCATCCTCCAGACCCCAGAATAGTAGATCCACCAACAGCTTGCACAGTGTGCCTGGAAAAGCCACAGGCACTCAATGCCTGCTGGTGAAAGCAGCTGTGGGGTCTGCGTGCTGCAGATCCACAGAGGCAGAGCTGTCCAAGCCCTTGGGAGCCCATACCATGCATCAGCATGTCCTGGATGTGGGACATGGAATCAAAGGAGGTTGTTTTAGAGCTTTAAGATTTAATGACTTCCCTGCTGGCTTTCGGACTTGCATGGGGCCTGTATAAAGTTTTGGTATGTTGTGTTTCCATTTTAATTTGTCTTAATAAAATGCTAAATTTCTTTTTTAAATTCTAAATTAATGCAACGGTTATTCAGGAGCATACTGCTTAATTTCCATGTATTTGTATAGTTCCAAAACCCCTGTTGATATCAGTTTCTAACTTTATTCCATTGTGGTTAGAAAGGATACTTGGTATAATTTTGTTTTATTTTTTTGAATTTGTAGAGACTTGGTTTGTGGCCTAACATATGGTCTTTATGAATGTTTCATGTGTTTATGAGAAGAGTATGTATTCTGCAGCTGTACAATATTATGTTCTGCAAATGTTTATTAGTTCAATTTGGTGAATAGTTCAGATTAAGTTTGGTGCTTTATTGTTGATTTGATTTCTTGATGATCTAACCAATGGTGAAAGTGGGGTGTTAACATATCTAACTTTTATTGTTTTGGACTCTACCTCTCTCTTTTGAGACAGTTAACTCTTGTTGCCCAGGCTGGAGTACAATGGCACAATCTTGGCTCACTACAACCTCCGCCTCCTGGGTTCAAGTGATTCTCCTGCTTCAGCCTCCTGAGTAGCTGGGATTACAGGTGCCTGCTACCATGCCCAGCTAATTTTTTGTATTTTTAGTAGATATAGGATTTCACTGTGTTGGCCAGGCTGGTCTCAAACTGTCTGCACAGTATTCCACAGTGTATATGTAACACATTTTCTTTATCCAGTCTATCATTTTTGGGCATTAAGGTTGATTCCACATCTTTGTTATCATTAATAGTGCTGCAATAAACAAATGTATGCATGTGATTTTTATACTTGAATGATTTGTATTTCTTTAGGTATATACCACCTAATGGGATTGCTGGGTTAAATGGTATTTTTGACTTTTGCTGTTTGAGGAATTGCCACACTTTCTTCCATAATGGTTGAACTTTTACACTTCCACTTTTTTTCCCCACAGCCTCACCAAGAGCTGTTATTTTTTTGACATTTTAACAATAGCCATTCTGACTCCTGTAAGATGTTTTCTCATTGTGGTTTTGATCTGTACTGATCTTTAACGATCAGTGATATTGAGCTTTTTCTCATATGCTTCTTGGCCACATGTATGTATTCTTTTGAAAAGTGTCTGTTCATGTCTTTTGCCCACTTTTTGATTTTTTTTCCTTGTAAATTCATTTAAGTTCATTATAGATCCTGGATATTAGACCTTTGTTGAATGTACAGTTTGCAAAAAAATTTCCTCCCATTCTGTAGGTTGTATGTTTACTTTGGCTGAGCTGATGCTCTTTAGTTTAATGAAATTCCATTTGTCAGCTAAATACTTAAATGTAAAACCCAATACTACAAAAAGACCTGAAAGAAAATGTAGTCAATACCATTCAGGACATAGACACAGCCAAAGATTTCATGACAAAGATGTCTCCTTCATGTTTCAAGGATAAGTTTGCTGGATATATCATATAAGTTGAAAATGTTTATTCCTTCATCAGTTTCAATATATCATGCTATCTCCTCTTGACATATAAGGTTTACACTGAGAATTTTGCTGCCAGGTGTGTTGGAACTCCATTAAATGTTAGTTGCTTCTTTTCTCTTCCTGCATTTAGGTACTTTTCTTTGTCCTTGACCTTTGAGAGTTGTATTATTATATGTCTTGAAGTGGTTTTATTTGGGTTGAACCTGCTTGGTGTTGATTAATGTTCTTATACATGGATAGTCATCTTTCTCTCTAGGTTGGGAAAGTTCTCTTTTATTATATATTTGAATTAATTTGCAACCCTCATTTCTTTTTATACATCCTCTCAAAGGCCAGTAACTCCTAGATTTGCCATTTCATGGCTATTTTCTAGATCTTGTAGGCATACTTTGTTTTTATTATTGTTTCATGTAGCATGTCTTTGAGATCACTAATCCTTTCTTCTGCTTGGTCAGTTCTGATTTTGAGACACCATGACACAATTTTTTAGTTTGTAAATTAAATTTTTCAGCTCCAGAAGTTTTGCTTTTTTTTTTTTTAATATTACTTGCATCTGTTTGTTAAATTTATCTGACAGAATTCTCAATTCCTTTTCCAAGTTATCTTAAAATTTGTTGCACTTCCTCAAGACAGCTATTTTGTATTCCCTGTCTGAGAAGTCACATAGCTCTGTCTCACCAGGGTTGATGGCTCGTGGCTTTAGTACATTTTCTGAGGTCACATTTTCTTTGATGTTTTTAATATTTGTAGATGATTGTTGATGGCTAGCATTGTAGAGTTAGGTATTTAGTCCAATCTTCACAATGTAGGCTTGTCTGTACCCATCCTTCTTGAGAACGCTTTCTCAGAATTCAGAAAGAACTGAGTGTTGTCAACTAAGACTGTTTTCACTGTAGCTGTTTCAGCATGAGAGGAGGAGAGGTTCACTAAGCCAGGAATACTGTGACTCTTGCCAATTCCTAGACACACATCTTTCATGAACTTGGTGAAGATAAGGGAGAATTCCCTGAGTTTCAAGTCAAAGTCTTTCTTTCTCTCTCTTCCCTCTCTTTTCCCCAAGCAGAAGAGGTCTCTCTCTCTATGCTTGGCTGCCTGGAATTGGAGGAGGGATGATGCAAGCACTCCAGTGGCCACCACAACTGGCACCAGGCTGGGTCACACCTGAAGCTCACAGCCTTCCAGACCAGAACAGTACTGGAGCTCACCAAAGGCCCATGGCTGTGACTGCCTGGCTGTGGCTGATGCTTATTCAAGGAAGAAGGCCACATTAGTCAGCAGGTGGTGAATTCTGCTGGGCTTTGATCCATTCCTTCAGGAACACAGATGACTTTCTGACCCAGGATGAATCTACAAACACCACATAGGAACAAAGTCCTGGAATCTGGATCTTTAGAAATATCCTGGTACTTTATTTTACTGTAGCTGAGCTGGTACCCAGTTGTAAGACAAAGTCCTCTGTACTCTTGCCTCTCCTGTCCTCAAGTGGTAGGAGTCCCTCGCTCGGCTGCACTACCTGGAGGGAAACTATCTTTGCAAACATTATGACAATGAAAGAAATATAGCATGGTTGATTCCATCTTGCTTCTAGACTCACAGCCTGGCTGTTCTTGCTCATTCCTGGACATAAACCAAGCTAACCATGAGAGGAATTTAGTTTATGTTTTATCTTGGAAACAAGAATAACAATAGTTCCTCTCTAAAACTAACCCCCTCTTTGCTCAGGGACTAAAACTAATGAAAGCCTATAAGATTAGGATTATGGGAGAGGCTTGAATTCTGCTATGATGTAGGCATAGTTTTTATAATCCCTGACTGCTCGGGAGTCATATGACCAGAGGTCACAACATTTGTCACTTCTGTAATTGCTCCTATAGATAACATCACTACTACAGAACCTAAGATTGGTCTTTTGAGAAGTTTTTCAGAAATTTGCATTGTGGCAGTGACTGACCCCATCCAGTCCCATGACTTATGACTGGACTGGTCCTGCAGCCTTGATTCAGAGACAGACTCAGTGCACAAGGACCGTTTTCCACATCTCTTCGATTTCATCCCCAGTCAGTGGCACCCATTCGCTAGCCCTCTTCCTACAAAATTATCTGTAAAAACTCTAGCCTCTGAGTTCTTAGGGAGACTAATTTGAGTAATAACTCCATCTTCAACATTGCTAGCCTACTGTTAATTAAACTCTGCCTTTACAGTGATATCATGGTCTCAGTGAATTTGTTTTGTCTGTGCAGCAGGCAGGAAGAACCCATTGGGATTACAGGAGATGGAAAAGGGATGACACACACATTTCCATGGCCACCACTTCCGTTGTCAAACTGGGTTGCACCTCAAGTTTGTTGCCTCTGAGACCAGCATAGTACTCGGGCTTCCCAGATACTGCAGTTACTGAGTTCTCACTGCCACTCAAATTTATTCTGGGCCTGAGGCCCCTTTATTCTGCTAATGATGCAGCTGACTAAAACTTGGGGTCCTCCTGCTGGAGTAGAGGATTCCCATCTGGCTCGGTACTGGTCTAAATGCTCCTTTCATGGGCACTGGCAGAAATCTGCCCTATGTTGTGTTCCACTGTGACAAGGCAACGTTTGTTTCCAGTGCAAAGTCCCACAGTCATTTTGCTCTTCCTCCACCAGTCAAACAGATTTTCTCCACTCTGTGTTGCCTGGGGTTGGGGAAAGGTGATGTAGGCAATATAGGACTATCTTTTCTACACTATTCAATGCCTGTTTCTTTTTTATTATGTTAAAACTAAGTGCTTAATAACTTAATAACTCACCTGATAATTTGGTTCTTTTTTTTTTTTTCAGACGGAGTCTTGCTCAGTCTCCCAGGCTTGGAGTGCAGTGGCGCTATCCGCTCACTGCAAGCTCTGCCTCCTGGGTTCACACCATTCTCCTGCCTCAGCCTCCCGAGTGGCTGGGACTACAGGGGCCCGCCACCACGTCCGGCCAGTTTTTTTTTTTTGTATTTTTAGTAGAGACAGGGTTTCACCATGTTAGCCAGGATGGTCTTGAGATAATTTGGTTCTTATGAATATGCTTTGTTGACTGGATATTTGTTCAATTTGGTGTTCTGGCAGAGGTACAATAGCTTGAGGGTTCTGTTTACACATCTTTCTCCACTTCGTCTCCCAAATGTAACTTCTATGTAAGATTCTTTATCCATATGTATATTGCTTTTAAAAACCCAAGTAGGTTGATGGAAGGTTTTTATCATCAGCCTAGCGTTTCAAAAGGAGATTTCAAGCTTTTTAAATCTCAAGATGCACATTTTGTTATCTAGAAATATACTTTGAAGGTGACTTTATCTGAAATCTGTGTGTAGTACCCTCTCCGTGACTCCTTTTTTTCTCCAGTTCATGTCCTTGCTTTTGAAAGCAGTGGTAGCTCTTTCAATTATTTTATTGTTTAGACTTTCATGTATCACATAGTTTCATTAAAATAGTTTCTGCATAAGTATTTATTTTATATACTGATTCTGTTTGATTTCCTGAAAGACAAGAAAATGATGGCTCTACACTAATATCTGTTTACCAGTACTGCTCTGAATTGGTCTTTCTTTTCATGACAGGTACATGTCCCCAGTTATAGTTACTAGATGATGAAATAGGCACAAGCCGAAAGTCTTATCATTAAAACAAAAGTTCTACTATTTTGAGATGATAATACCATCTACAACAATAGATACTGAGTTAGTACCTAACATTCAGGAAAAGACATTGTTTTAATTTCAGATAAGGTTCCTCTCAAAACACACAGTGCTCCTGTGTACAGGCTTTTGAGGTTCACCAAATTGAAAAAGTTTCACTACTAGTTAGTCTCCTCCTCAACCTTATCCAGTTTCTTATCCAGTAGTATAGGGTAATATTAAACTAAAAATAAAACGGATTACCAGCTAAAATTGAAAATTTGGGGAGCTTTCAGACAAATTGTACTTTTATGAGTAGACAGAGTTACATTGGCCACTTCCAGTGTTCCTCTTTTTCAAGTTTGATGCGTATTCAGGGGGATAAAGAAGGAAACTAGAAAGTCTGCTCTGTAGTAGTCCTGCCTTCTCTGCAGTTTCACTTTCCACAGCTATAGTTACCCATAGTGAACTTCAGTTCAAAAATATTACATAACAATTTTCAGAAATAAACAATGTATAAGTTTTAAATTGGTTGCTGTTCTGAGTATATATGCTACCTGCCTCTTAGTCCCTTAGTAGTTGTATCGGTTATGAGATTATCAAGGTATCTCAGTGGCTATGTTCAAGTAATCTTTATTTTACTTAATAATAGTCTCAAAGTACAAGAGTAGCAATGCTGGCAATTTGGATATAACAAAGTGAAATTGTAAAGTGCTTCCTTTAAGTAAAAAAAAAAAAAGAAAGAAAGTTTTTAATTTAATAAGTAAAGAAAAAAAAAACGTATGCTGAATTTGCTAAGGCCCATGGTAAGAACAAACCTTCTATCCATGAAATTATGAAGAAGAAAACATACTTTTGTGCTAGTTTTTCATTCACACCTCAGACTGCAAAAGTTAGGGCCACAGTGTGTGATTTGTACTTTGTCAATATGAAAAAGGGATTAAATTTGTGGGGGAAAGACATGAACAGAAATGCATTCTGATTGACAAGTGATCAGGTTTGGTTTTACCTATGGTTTCAGGCACCCACTGAGGGTCTTGGAATGTATTCCCTGAGGATAAGGTGGAACTACTGTACTTCATTTTTCCCAACATACAACATCAATAGGTTTTGGGCTGCACTTTATATAGACCTGCTTATGTCTGCAGACTTCAATGGCCTAGAATGTGAACCAATAGTAGTAAGTGGGTTATTCTATCAGTGAGTATATGAAGAGGAACGAAGACCTTTTTATGAGAGGAATATTTCATCTTTGCCTTTGAGGCAAAGATAATAAAACACTAAAAACTTTTACAAATTCAAAAGATAAGAAATAAAAGGACAATACTGGAAAATACTGCCTTTAAATACCAGACATACTCAAATGATACAGATAAGGTATGGCACTTGCCTCCCACCATTTCATGCCCCACTGGGGATCTCTACTGCAAGATGATGGGAGAGTTCCAGAGTCCCGTGGCCAGTGCAGACCCTAACCAGATCATCCAGACTTTGTACTCTAAATCTTGCACAAGGCATCACACTGACTGATGGCAGGGCCTTGAGGAAGCTAAAATAAGCAGCTACCACCATAAATCTTACTCAAGAGAAGAAGCCCTAACTCCCACATGTGTGCAAGGCTGGGAGAATGACCAATCTTTAAACTTGGCTTCATTATAATACTAAGAATCACACCCAGGATGGAGATTTAACATGCTAATAAAACATGCAATGCATGTGCTTAAAAGTTCCCTGCTCTACGTGCCTGAACATCACTCCTTTTCCACCAGAGCCACTTTAAAACAACTGCCTTCCCAACTCCTTTGGAGGGGGCAAGCCAGATAAATCTCTCTTTTGCTGCCTCCCTTATGACAAGGCATAAGCTCCAATAAAGCCTTGTTTGGAAAAACTCTTTGGGCCATGTTTCAATTTCTACTGGATTCAGAGCTAAAGAACCCATAGTTGGTAACACAGAGACTCTAGAAATTAGGCTAGTTTATAAAATTCAATGTTTCAAAATTGAAGTCTATTGAGGCTAAAGCAACCCCATTTTGGAAGGTAATCTGCCATGTTGACTTCTGATCAACTCTGGTTCCTGGAATGCCTCTGAGACATTGAGTTTATTGTTCCTTGTGTAAGTGCATGTATTTACAATAAATCCTTCCCTTAGGGCAAATTCCTACCTATTTCCTCTGAAACATGGGTGCCCCTCACCTATAGTATATAATCCCTGGATCTGGGGGTAATGGTGCAGGGATCCATTATCTTTTCTTGCCACCATCTGAGACACAGATATAGCTTCTGTTCCTAAGTCTCTATTAAAAAGTGGCTTCATAAGAACCTGAATTTGACAACCTCTTTCTTTGGTCTCTCAGCTTGCTGGGACTTTGAGGTAGGCTGGCATAGACCTGCCTGCTGGTAAAAAACATCTGATTAGAAAGAGTGTTGATGTGAGAGAAATACAAAAGAAGGTGCTATGGTCTGAATGTTGCTGTCTCCATAAAATTTATATGTTGAAAATCCATAATGTAATGACATTAGCAAGAGAGTTCTTTAGGAGTTGATTAGGTCATGAGGGCAGAGCCATCATGAATAGAATTAGTGCCCTTACAAAAGACGCTTCAGGGAGTCTGTTTCTCTTTTCTCCCTGTGGGGACATACAGAAGACACCATCTTTGAAGTAGAGAGCAAGTCCTCCACAGGCAATGAATCTGCTAGCACCTTGATCTTGGACTTCACGGCCTCTAGAATCATGAGCAATAAATTTTTCTTATTTATAAATAACCTATTGTAAAATATTTTGTTGTGAAGGTCAGGAGGAACCTTACAAATGGATTCAGAGAATGGAGTGCTGCTGTAACCAATACCTAAAAATGTAGAAGCTGCTTTGGAACTGGGTAATCTGTAGAGGCTGGAAGAGTTTGGAGATCAATGGTAAAAAATCTACACTGTCATGGTTGGAACATTCGGAGATATTCTGGTGAAAACTCAGAAGATGTGAGCTTTAGAGAAAGCCCCAATCTTCTTAGTGATTACCTAAGTTGTTATAATCAGAATGTGTGGAAACATGGATGATAAAGGCCATTTTGATATGGGCTCAGTTGCAAATGAGGAACATATTATTGGAAACTGAAGAAAAGGCAGTCTTTGTTAGGAGGTGGCAAAGAACTTGTCTGAATAGTATTTGTGTCCTATTGTTCTGTGGAAAGTAGAACTCTGAGCAATAAAATATTTGGTGAAAAAATATCTAAGCAAAGTATTGAGGGAGTGGCTTAGCTTTCTTGAATGTTTATGCTAAAACGCAAGAACAGAGAAATGAATAAAAGCAGAATTTATAATTAAAAGAGAAATAGGACTTAAAGGATTGAAAAATTCTCACCCTGGGCCATGTTGAAAAGAATGAAAAAGCATGCTTAGGAGAGAACATTTTGAAGATTGCTGGACTACCTCTCTCAGAACAAGCCCAGAAAGCCAGGGCTTAGAGTGAAGAATAATTTTAAGACTTCAGACTCTTCATTCTGGTACAACATTCCTTGGCTTCCCCATCTGTGGCTCAAGCAGCTTCAGGTGCAGATGGGGCCACTCATCTAGAAGAAAGGCACACATGATAAGATTAGGCAGCATCTTCTTTGTGCTATCTCTGTCAGGGTGCAGAAGATAGGAGTTGTGAGGGCATGGCTACTTTCACTTAGATTTCAAAAGATGCCAGCAGAGTTTCAAGGTCCAGACGGAACTGCAGCAGGTGAGATAGAGCAGGGATCTCCCTGTTCAGGGGGTCTGTGGGCCACATCATTGAAAAAAAAAAATCTAAGTTCCTTCAAGAGAAATTCCAGGCCCTGAGAAGTAAATATGTAATCTGTTAAAGAAGGTAATAGCTTGAAACAGTAGCTAAAGAAATTAGGGTCCCAGAGATGTTTGTTTTCCCTATAAAAACTAAACACAAAATCATAATATATCTCCCTGAGTTTTCTTTCATGGGCTCCAACCCCTACTTGAGGACCCCATAGACAAGATAAGGAGGAGGTGAAGACTAAACTTTATTGTCTTTTTTTCTAAGTTTCTTCCTGAGGTACTTAGACTAAGTTACCCCACTGTAACCGTTAACCAGTTCTACTGACTCTAAATTTTTAAACAAAGCTTCTCTTTATCAACTAATTGCAAATCAGAAAATCTTTAAATATATCTATAACCTGTAAGCCCCTGCTTCAGGATATCACAAACTTTTAGGCCAAAACCAGTGTGTAACCTCCAAGTATTGATTTATAATTTTGCCTGTAGCTTCTGCTTTCCTGAAATTTACCCCTGACTGAAAAAACTCTTACCTGCTATTCATTGGGGAGTTCAAGTCTTAAGGATGAGCCACGCTGATTCTCTTTGCTTGGTGCCCTGCAATAAACACCTTCCTTTCTATCACTGCAAAAATCTTGTGGCGGGTATCTGGTTTTACTGTGCCAGGCAATGGGACCCCAGTTCAGCTCTATAACACAGAGGCAGGGTCAGAGCAGGGAGCCTCCGCTAGGAAAATGCCTAGAGGAGCTGTAGTTTTGGGGCTGCCTGCGGGATCCCAGACCTGAAGAGCCTTAAGCAAGTGACTCCAGCCTGGGAGAACTGCCATGTAGGCTGACACAACAAGGCAATGTTTTAGGGACACCTAGAACCTTGGAGGCCCAACCCCTATGCCAGTGTGTTCAGAAGGTGGGATACAGAATCCAGGAAGGTTATTCTCAACCCTTACAATTTAATATTGCCTGCTTTATTGGGTGTTGGACCTATTTTGAACTTACTATATCTTTCTTCTTTCCTATTTCTCCCTTTTGGGTTAGAAATATATCTCTTATACCTATTCCACCATGTATTTTGGAAACACATATTTTCCAAATTTATTGAAAAATTAATACATTTTAATTTATTGAAGTTAAAAAATAATTTTATTATTAAAATAATAAGCTTCACAGCTGGAGAATAATTTGCCTCCAGATCAATCAAACCATGAGTCTTACCCATATCTGATTTAGATGACATTTAGACAAGATTCTGGACTTTAGACTTTTGAGTTGATGCCACAACGAGTTAAGACTTTTAGGGAAATTAGGATGAAATGAATGTTTTTTTTTGCATGTGAGAAAGATATAAATTTAGGGGACCAGGGGATAAATGCTGTGGTCTGACTGTTGGTGTCCCCCCAAAATTCATATGTTGAAACTTAATCCCCAAAGTGATTAAGAGGAGAGACCTTTAGAAAGTGATTAAATCATAAAAGCAGAACCCCCAGGAATGGGATTAGGGTCCTTATTAAAGAAGCATGAGAGAACTTGTTTCTCCTTTTGTTCATATGAGGACTTTTAGAAGGTGCCATCTTTGAAGTGGAGCGTGAGCCCTCATCAGACACTAAAACTTGCTGGTATATTAATCTTCAATTTTCCAGCCTTCATAACTATGAACAATAGATTTTAGTTATCTATAAATTACCCAGTATAGGTATTCTGTTATAACATCTTGAATGACTAAGACTGAAACTTAGCTGTTTGGCTTGAAGAAAAAAGTTATTTTCTTCAAAAACTTTGTGGCACTCACAGCTAACTGGATACCTAATATGAATTTTCTTCTTGTTATTACAGTAAGGACTAATGTTTCGAAGTATTAAACCATTTAATAAAATAAGTAAATCCACCTTTTAAACTTTTATTTATTTACTAATTTTTGCAGTGGCAACTTGCATGCTACACAGAAGGGTTGAGTAGTTGTGATAGAGTGGCTGTTATATGGTTTGCAAAATGAAATATTTATTAACTGACCCTTTATGGAAAAAGTTTTCAAATGCCTGGTTTAAAATATGAAATCCCAAAAGGAAACAGAGCATAATATTTTTATTTTCACTGGTCAAAGAGGATGAATGGTGCAAGTGAGATCAGGCAGAAGATACTAAGCGAAGCATGGATCAAACCACAAGAAATATTGAGAGACTCTTTTTAGCTATAGTATGAAGTAATTAAGAAAAGCAGTGGTGGAAATTTCTTTTAATTCTCCAACAATAATAGGTGGTTGTATAAATTTTGGATATGTTTTACATGACAAGATTATAAAGATCACTGAATAAAACTCTTTTTTCAGATGGAAAATAATTTATAGCCTTTAATATAAAGAAGATTAATGATGTTAGATTCCCAGGAAAACCACAGAAGACATGAGAAATTACATGGAAATCACACTAACCCACAACAGAGTCCAAACCTGTGTGAGATGTTTGACATGGAGAAGAATGACTTCAGAATGGAATTATCCTACTCAAGTAGGTAAAAGTGGTTTTTTTTACCAAATAAAGTCAAATGGTTGACTTTATTTCTCTCACTAGGGAGAAAAATTGTAAGTTAGAATCTGTACCAGAGTGTTAGGAAAACATATATCTAGAGTAGAAATAAAAGAAAAATTCTGAACGCAGATACTCTGATCCAGGAACCAGTGTTATTCATACATAACACAAAGAAGGACGGAACATGACAAGTAAAGAGTGTTATAGCTTTATAGTTTGAATTCTCAGCTGTTTCTACACCAGTAGAAGAAATGAAACATAAGAAGCTTCCCACTTCTTCCTAGAAAGACAAGGTAAAAAGGAAAAGTTTCTTCTTTCATTGAAAAAAGTGCAAGTAACCCAATGAAATATGTTGAGAGAGCTACATAGCAGGAAACATGCTCATCCTTATTAGCAGGAGACATACTCATCCTTATTAGTCACCTGAGAGCAAGGAAATAAAAAGTGCTTCCAACATATTTATTTCAAAAATCCCTTGCAGATTACTCCTCATGTTTCATGCTGTGAGCTCCAAAATTAAAATTTATTTCTAAGAGTTTTCATAGGCATTGAACAGCATTCCTATTAAGACATAAACAATTTGTCTTTGGTATTTTATTGGTAATTATATTACATTTATTGACTGTGTTTTAGAAAATTTGCCTTACTTCAACATTGAGTTTGTTACCAGAATGTTATATATCCTCAAATTTTTAAGTTTTCTCTTAAGTATTCCCAGTGAAATATTATTTTATTCATATTCATAATATATTAATATTTACATTTGTAAAAGAAAATTCAACAAATCTCAGGACCTTTAAATATATGCAAAAGGGAAGATCATTACAATGTCCTCTTCCTAATGAATAGTTGTAACTAAAATTATGCATCAGCCAGATCCCCATGGAGAAGTAAAAGACATCAGACATCAAAGAAGGAAAGCCACCACAGATATTTCATACGTAAATTATTTGCTGGTTTTCCATAAGCAAGGTCATGCCAATTTTGACTTTAGCTCTACAATGTAAGCCTAGCTCTGAAAACTTCACACTGATAATGTCCATTGCAAGCTTATCTTCCCAGATACAGAACAAAGTCAATACTCCTTCTACCACCTACCCAAAGACATCTGCATAATTGCTTCTTTTTGTACTTCTCTTTTTTTTTTTCTCCAGACACATCTTACATAAAATGTAGTGTTCACCTGACCACCTCCATGCCTCTTGTCCTATATTCATCCCTCCTGCTCCTTTCAAGAAATGTATAAATACTAAATCTCCTGAAAACCTATGTGGAAAAACAAAGATGCGCCTGTGGCTCATGTTTTTTCTGGATACACCCTAAAGTAGTTTAATAAATTTTGATGATTGCAACTTATCACTCAGTTACTCATTTCAGTTGTCACATTTATAATTAATTTATTTTTCAGGGATTTATTGTTTTATTTGATTTTATACCCTTTATTGTTAGTATTGTTCAAAGCATGTGTCTTTTATATTCATTGTATTACCAAGTATTTCCCTTAAATCTTCAGTAATTTTAAGTAAAAAATAAAATATGCAAATATTGTAATTTTATCTTGAATATTGTGCATATTTGTAAATTTTATTTTCCTTTTCTGTTTTATATCACTCTCTAAATATGATAATGCAGTGGTAAATTTTAATGAAGATCATGGGAATACTCACCTTGCTGTTTTTCCTTTTCCCCCAGAGAAAAGGAAAATAGCAAAGCCTTATTTACAGGCTTGCTAAATACTGTCCAGAAAGTGATTGAGCTTAGGTGTCAATTTTAAATAAACAAGAAAATCTGGAGTTGAGAAGCTTTGAAAATGTAGATGTTGACCTTGCCAATGAACTGACTCCTCAAATAAATCCCATTTAAGGGAAGCCGAAGAAATAAAACCTGTGTTGGAATCTTTTTTTAAGGGCACCTTTGAGATAACCGATTGATTGAAATAACATTTATTTCCATAAAATTCATCTATTTAAAGTATAAAATATGTGGTTATTATATTCACATAGTTTTATAACCTTCAAAAGTATCTAATGTCAAAACATTTTCAACACCCCAAGAAGAAATCCCATAACTATCACTAGTCAATCTATTTCCTTCTGTCCTAAATTTTTCAAAACTATTAATTTACTGTGTGTATCACTAATTTACTTTTTGTCTCTTTGGATTTGTCTATTCTGCACATTTTACGTGACTAGGATTATGCAATATATAGTGTTTTACAACTGGCTTCTTTCACTTAGCATAATGGTTATAAAGTTCATCCAAGATGCAACATGTATCACAATTTTATTTATTTTTATTGCTGAAAATTATTCCACAGTATGAAAAAAATGCATTTTGATGATTCATTTATCGTCAGCTGGTGGACATTTGAGTTGTCTTAATTTTTTGGCTATGATAAATACTGCTGCCAACCCCACCATGATGCCACAGCTGTGATGGCCCATGCAAGTGAGCATGGATCCTGCTTCCACTGACATGACGAAGCACAATGGCCCAAACCACCCATCAGAGTGTTGAGGCCAATGCTAAGGGAAATTGTTACCACCAGACCTGTCTTATAAGAGATCCTGAAGGGAGTGCTAAATATGGAAAATAAACACCATTACTAGCCATCACAATATAACCTGACTTAAGTACATATACCATTGATGCTATAAAGCAATTACACAACAAAATCTGTATGATAACAAGCTAACAACATGATGATAGGATCAAATCTGCATGTATCAATATTAGCCTTGAATATAATCAGGGTAAATGTCTCAATTAAAAGGCACAGAAGAACAAGTTGAATAACGAATTAGGATACAACTGTATGCTGTTTTCAAGAAACCCATCACACACAAATGACACCCATAGAATCAAAGTAAAGGGATGGAGAAAAATCTACCAAGCAAATGGAAACAGAAAAAAGCAAGGGTTACTATTTTAATTTCAAACAAAGCTGAATTCAAACCAACAACCATCAAAAAAAGACAAAGCAGGGCATTACATAATGGAAAAACGTTCAATTCATCCAGAAGACCTAACTATCCTAAATATATGTGCACCCAACACAGGAGCACCAAGATTAATAAAACAACTTCTTAGAGACCTATGAAGAGACTTACACAACTACACAATAATAGTGAGAGACTTTAACACCCCACTAGTATTAGAAAGATTATCTAGGCAGAAAACTAACAAAGATATTTGGGACCTGAACTTGGCACTTGACCAAATGGGCCTAACAGATATCTGCAGAAATCTTCACTCAAAATCAACAAAATATACATTTTTCACATCTGAACATGGCACATATTCTAAAATCCATCACAGAACCAGACCTAAAACAATCCTCAACAAATTAAAAAAAAAAAACTACAAATATACTGACCACACTCAAGTACCACAGAGCAATAAAGATAGAAATCAATACACATGGACACAGGAAGGGGAACATCACACTCTGGGGACTGTTGTGGGGTGGGGGGAGGGGGGAGGGATAGCATTGGGAGATATACCTAATGCTAGACGACGACGACGAGTTAGTGGGTGCAGTGCACCAGCATGGCACATGTATACATATGTAACTAACCTGCACATTGTGCACATGTACCCTAAAACTTAAAGTATAATAATAAAAGAAAAAAAAAACTTAAAAAAAAAAAGAAAAGAAAATCACTCAAAACCATACAATTACATGGAAATTAAACAAACTACTCCAGAATGACTTTGGGGTAAACAATGAAATTAAAGCAGACATCAAGAAACTCTTCGAAACTAATGAGAACAAAGATACGGCATGTCAGAATCCCTGAGACACAGTGGGAGCAGTGTTAAGAGGGAAACTTATGGCACTAAGTACCCACAACAAAAAGTTAGAAAGATCTCAAACTAACAACCTAAGATCACAACTAGAGGAACTAGAGAAACAGGAGCAAACCAACCCCAAAGCTAGCAGAAAATAAATAGCCAAAATAAGGGTTGACTTGAAGGAAACTGAGACATGAAAAACCTTACAAAAGATCAGCAAATCTGCAGTTTGTTATTTGAAAAATAAATAAAATTGATAGACTGCTAGCTAGACTAATAAAGAAAAAAAGGGAGAAGATACAAATAAACACAATCAGAAATGACAAAGGGGACATTACCACCGATGCCTAAGAAACAGAAAAAACTCTCAGAGAGTACTATGAACACCTCTATGCACACAAACTAGAAAATCTAGAAGAAATAGATAAATTTCTGGAAACTTACAGCATCCCAAGATTAAATCAGGAAGAAATCAAATCCCTGAACAGACCAATAATTAGTTCCAAAATTGAGTCAGTAATAAGAAGCCCACCAATCAGAAAAAGCCCTTAAGACTTCACAGCTGAATTCTACCTGATTTATAATGAATTGTTGTAATTTCTGCTGAAACGATTCCAAAGCATTGAGAGGGAGACTCCTCCCTAACTCATTCTATCAGGGCAGCATTATTCTGATACAAAACCTGGTAGAGACACAATAAACAAACAAACAAAAAACTTTGGGCCAATATTCTTGACGAACATAGACGAAAAATGCTCAACAAAATACTAGCAAACCAAATCCAGCAGCACATCGAAAGGCTAATCCAGGCTGGTCAACTTTGCTTTACACCTGGGTTGCAAGGCTAGTTCAATATACATAAATCAATAAATGTGATTCATCACATAAAGATAAATAAAAACAAAATTCACATGAACATCTTAATATATGCAAAAAGGCTTTCAATATAATTCAAATTCCCTTCATGTTAAAAACCTTCAAGAAACTAGGCATGGAAGGAATGCACTAAAAATTATAAGAGCCATCTATGACAAGCCCACAGCTAACATAATACTAAATGAGCAAAAGCTGAAAGCATTCCCCTTGAGAAGTGGAACAAGCCAAGGATGCTCACTCTCACCACTCTTATTCAACATTGTACTGGAACTGCTAGCCAGAGCAATCATGCAAGAGAGAAAAATAAGATGTCCAAATAAAAAGAGAGAAAGTCAGACTATCTCTGTTTGCAGATGATGTAATTATCTACCTAGAAAACCCCATAATCTCTGCTCAAAAGCTCCTTCAGCTGACAAACAACTTCAGCAAACTTTCTTGATACAAAAATCAGTGTATGAAAATCGGTAGCATTTCAATACACCAACAACATTTAATCTGAGAGCCAAATAAAAAATGCAACGCCATTCACAAGAACCACGAAAAATAAAATAAAATACCTAGGAATACAGCTAACCAGGGAAGTGAAAGATTCCTACAATGAAAGTTACAAAACACTGCTGGAAGAAATCAGAGAAGACACAAACAAATGGAAAAACATCCCATGCTCATGGATATGAAGAATCAATATTGTTAAAATGGCCATACTGCTCAAAGCAATTTTGGCAGTTGCTACTCCTATCAAACTATCAATGATCTTCTTCACATAAACTAGAAAAAACTATTTAAAAATTCATATGAAACCAAAAAACAGCCCAAATAGCCAACACAATTTTAAGCAAAACAACAAAGCTACAGGCATCATGATACCTGACTTCAAAGTATATTACAAGGCCACAGTAACCAAAACAGTATGGCACTGGAACTAAAACAGACATATAGACCAATGGAACAGAATGGAGAACACAGAAATAAACCTGCACACCTACAGTCACCTGATCTTCAATACAGTTGACAATAATAAGCAATGGGAAAAGTACTGCTGTATTAGTCTATTCTCAGGCTGCTAATAAAAGCATACCTGAGACTGGGTAATTTATAAAGGAAAGAGGTTTAATTAACTCACAGCTCCACATGGCTGCAGAGGCCTCACAATCATGGTGGAAGGCAAAGGAGAAGGAAAGTCACATATTACATGGTGGGAGGCAAGAGAGAGAGCCTGTGCAGGGAAACTCCCCTTTATAAAACCATCAGATCTTGTGAGACTCATTCACCATCACAAGAACAGGAGGATGGGAAAGACCTGCCCTCATGATTAAATTACCTCCCACCGGGTCCCTCTCATGACACATGGGAATTATGGGAGCTACAATTCGAGATTTGGGTGGGGACACATGTCACCTCTCCATTTAATAAATGGTGCTGGGATAGATAGCTGGCTAGCCATATGGAGACGACTGAAACTGGAGCCTTACCTTTCACCACACAAGAAAATCAACTTAAGATGAATTAAAGATTTAAATGTAAAACCTAAAACTATTAAAACTCCATAAGGTAACCGAGGAAATACTATTGTGGACATAGACCCTGGCAAAGATTTCATGATGAAGATGCCAAAAGCAATTGCAACAAAAACAAAATGGTAAGTAGTACCTTATGAAACTAAAGAGTTTCTGTATAGCAAAAACAACTATCAATAGAGAAACAGAAAACCTACAATACTGAAGAAAATATTTTCAAACTAGCATCCAACAAGGGTCTAATATTCAGTATCTATAAGGAACTTAAACAAACTAATGAGCTAAAAACAATCCCATTAAAAAGTGAGCAAAGGACATGACAAACACTTTTTAAAAGAAGACATATGAAAAAAATTCTCAACATCACTAATCACTGAAGAAATGCACATGAAAACCAAAATGAGATACCATCTTACACCAGTCAAAATGGCTATTATAAAAAGTTAAAAAATAACACATGTTGGCAAAGTTGTAGAGAAAAGAGTATGCATATATGCTGCTGGTGGGCATAAATTAATGTCCAGCCATTGTAGAAAGAAGTTTAGAGATTTCTCAAAGAATGTAAAACAGTACAACCATTTGACCCAGCAATCCCATTATTGGGGATATACCCAAAGCCATATTAAAGCGTTCTACCTTAAAGACACACACACCCATGTACTTACTGCATCACTATTCGCAATAGCAAAGACATGGATTCAACCTAATGCCTATCAATGGTAGACTGAATAACAAAAATGTAGTGTTAGGTTGGTGCAAAAGTTGTTTGTTGTGGTTTTGGCCATTAAAGTGATGGCAAAAACCGCAATCAGTTTGCACCAAACTATTGTACATACACCATGAAATACTATGCAGCCATAAAAAAGAACAACATCATGTTCTTTGCAGCAACATGGATGGAGCTGGAGGCCATTATCTTAAAGAAACTAACAAATGAACAGA
Source organism: Homo sapiens (assembly GCF_000001405.40). NCBI lineage: Eukaryota > Metazoa > Chordata > Mammalia > Primates > Hominidae > Homo > Homo sapiens. The sequence continues at coordinate 45,885,130 of NC_000004.12, read as the reverse complement.
AAACTAAATACTACATGTTCTCACTTAAGAGTGGGAGCTAAATATTGAGTTCACATGGACACAAAGAACAAACACAAGGACCTACTTGACGGTGAAGGGTGGGAGAAGGTTGAGGGTGGAAAATCTATCTATCAGGCACTATGTTTATTACCTGGGTGATGAAATAATCTGTACTCAAACCTCCATCACCCACAATTTACCTGTATAACAAACCTGCACATGTACCCTGAACCTAAAATGTAAGTTAAGAAAAATAATACTGCTATGAGCATTCATATACAAGTTTCTATGTGTACAGATGTTTTCATTTTGGGGGAGTATATAACTAGGAGTAGTATTTCTAATTGTATGTCTAAGATTTGGAGGCACTGCCAATTTTTTGCAAAGTAGCTTCACAATTTTATTCTTCCCCATTTTAATAAAATTTTAAAATATTCATTATAAATTAATAATTTATAATTGTATATATTTATTGGGTACAAAGTGATGTTATGATTTATGAATACATTGTGGAAAAATTAAATCAACTAATTAACATATTCATCAATTCAAATGCTTACCATTTTTGTGGTGAGGACATTTTAAATTTACCTTCTTAGCAATTTTGAAATGTACAACACACTATTATTAACTATATTCATCACTCTGGGCAATAGATTTTTTTTTAAATTCTAATTCTTTCTACCTGAGACTACTCTTTTCCCATCATCTCATCATTCTCCTCAGCCCCCAGTTTCTATAACCAACACTCTATCTTGTATTTCTATGAGGTTGTTTTAAATTCCACGTATGGATGAGAGCATGTGTTATTTGCCATTGTGTACCTGGCTAATTTTACTTAGCATTATGCTCTCCAATTACATTGTAAACCAAAAAGTATCTGAGACAGGTCTTAATTTGTAAGTTTATTTTGCCAGGGTCAAGGACAATGTCTATGAGAAATAAAGACAGAATCACAGAAATAGTCTGTGGTCTGTGCCTTTCTCCAAAGATCATTTTGAGGACTTCCATATTTAAAGGGGAAAAGTGGGCTGGAGAGTAAAGAGGGAGGACATGGTAACACACATGTTGCGAGGGAAAAGGAGCAGGCGGGGGAATAGTGAATTATGCATTTGTCTTCCACTCAGTAAATTGGCACTTTACATAATATAAAGTGAATATAGAGGAGATAGTTAACCTTTTATCTGTAGCTACTTGCTTAGGAACAAAAGGAAAGGCAGTTGTTTGCATGACTCAGCTTTCAGCTTTTTTTTTTCTTTTGGCATAGTGAATTGGGGTGCCATGTTTTTATTTTCCTTTCACACTATCCATGTTGTCCCATATGAGAGAATTTTCATCTTTTTAAAGGCTGAATAGTATTTCATTGTGTATAATATCACATTTTCTTTTCCATTTATCTGTTCTTGGACATATGGCTACCATGAATAGTGCTGCAATGAACATAGGAGTGCAAATATCTCTTCAACAAACTGATTTTAAATCTTTTGGGTAAAAGCCCAGAAGTGTGATTGCTGGAGCATATGGTAATCCTATTTTTAGTTTTTTGAGGAATCTCTGTAGGGTGTTCTGTAGTGATTGTACTAATTTACATCCTCGCCAACAGTGTATAAGATTTCCCTTATCTTCACATCCTTGCCAACACTTATCTTGTATCTTTTTGATAATCACCATTCTGAAAGGTGTGAAATGATATATCATCATGGTTTTAATTTACATTTCTCTAATGATGAGAGATGAGCATTTTTTCATATATCTATCAGCCATTTGTATGTTTTCTTTTTGGGAAATGTCTATTCAGTTTCTTTTCCCATTTTTTTTTCTTTCTTTCTTTCTTTTTTTTTTTCTTGTCCTGATATTTAGTTGTTTGAGTTCCTTATACATTTTGAATATTATCTCCTTACTGGATGTATGGTTTGCCAATATTTTCTCTCTGTCCATAGGCTATCTCCTCATACTGCTAACTATTTCCTTTGCTATGAAGAAGCTTTTCAGTTTTATTTAATCTCATTTGTTTATTTTTGGTTTTGTTTCCTGTTTATTTTGGTTTTATTTTTGGAGTTAAATAAAATAAATTATTGCCTAGACTAATGTCATGTATTTTCTCCTCATGTTTCCTTCTAGTTGTTTCATAGTTCCTCATCTTATATTTAAATCTTTAATTCATGTTGACTGTTTTTTTGTATATGGTGTGAGACAGGGGTCGAATTCCATTCTTTAGCATGTGTATTTCCAGTTCCTCCAAAACCATTTATCGATGAGACTATCCTTTTTTCATTGTGTATTCTTGGTACCTTTGTCAAAATCAATTGACCATACATGCATAGGTTTATTTCTGGGCTCTCTATTTTTGTTTCATTGGTTAGTCTGCCTATCTTTATTTTTATTTTTTTGCCAGTACTATGCTGTTTTAATTACTGTGTCTTTGTAGTATAGTTTTATGTCAGGTACTCTGATGTTTCTAGCTTTATTATTTTTGCTCATTATTGCCTTGGCTATTCCTTTTTTTGTGGTTCCATATAAATTTTAGAAGTTTGTTCTATTCTATAAAAATGACATTGAAATTTTAATAGGGATTGCATTGAATCTGTACATCACTTTGTGTAGTATTGATATTTTAACAATATTAATTATCTTCATTTATAAACACAGGATAGGTTTTTCATTTATTTGGGCTTCAGCATTTTATAATCCCACAGAAATGTATAACAATTGTAGTTTCTCCATATCCTCACCAGCACATGCTACTGACTGTTTTATCTTTTCACCATACTGTGAGTGAAAAGTTACATAATACAGTGTTTTTAATTTAGAATTCCCTAGTGATTATGTTTAGCATCTTTTTAAGGTGTTTGCCATTTTTGTACCTTCTTTGTAGAAATATCAATTGAGATCCCTTGTACATTTTCAAATGGATTATTTTACATTTTTATCATTGAACTGAATGAGAACTTTGAATATTCTATATGAAACTTTTATCATATAGGTGACTTCAAAATATTTTCCCCATTATCTATGTTTTCTGTTTACTTTCTCAAATATTCCTTTAAAGAAAAAAGTTTAGTTTATATGAAGTTCAATTTATTTATTTAAAATCAATTGTGCTTTTGGTATCATATCTAAGAAAATATTGTCTAAGCAAATTCACAATATTTTAGTTCTATTTTTCTATTAATTTTATAGGTTTAGCATTTATATTTAATTCCATGATTCATTTTGAATTAATTTTGTATATAGTATGAGGTAGAAATTCACCATCTTTTTTTTTTGCATATAGTTATCCAGTTATCTCAGCACCATTTGTTGAATAGATTATTCTTTCCCCCCTTTGCAGCCTCATTCAAATCAACTGACCATAAATGTAAGGGTTTATTTCTGAAGTCTAATTTATTACATTGGTCTTTATGCCTGTCCTTACACCAGTACTAAACTTGCTTCATTACTATTACTTTGTAGCATGTTTTGAAAATGGAAGATGAGAGTCATCAAATTTTGTTCTTGCTTTTCCATATTTTTTGAGCTGTTCTGGATCCTTTGTATTTCCATAAGAATTTCAGGGATAGTTTGTCAGTTTATGCAGATAATATAGTCATGAGTTTGCTGGGAATTGTATTGGACCTGTAAATCAATTTGGGGAGTATTGCCATCTTAGCTCTTTCAAGTCTTCACATTTATGAACATGAGTGTTTCAATTTATTTAGATCTTCTTTAATTTTTACAATCTACAATTGCAAAAATATGGAACCAGCTCAAATGTCATCAATCAATGAGTGGATAGATAAAATATGGTATGTGTATATGTGTGTGTGTGTGTGTGTGTATACACACATACATATATATATATATATATATATATTCCATCATATATATGATAGACTACTACTAAGTCATAAAAAAGAACAAAACAATGGCTTTTGCAGCAACCTGGATGGAACTGGAGACTATAATTCTAAGTGAAGTAACTCAGGAATGGAAAACCAAATATTGTATGTTCTCACTCATTTGTGGGAGCTAAGCTATGAGGACGCAAAGGCATAACAATGATACACTGGACTCCGGGCACTTGGGGGAAAGGCTGTGGGGTGACGAGGGATAAAAGACTACACACTGGTTACTGTGTACACTGCTCGGTTGATGGGGCCACCAAAATCTCAGAAATCACCACTAAAGAACTTATTCATGTAACCAAACACCACCTGTTCCCAAAAAAAGATTGAAATAAACAATTTTAAAAAATTAAAAAAAGAAAAAATCTTCTTTAATTTTTTAAACAATGATTTATTTTCTCAGGACCTGTTACTAAGTGAAAGTTGAAGAAGAAATAAATATTTAAATGTAAACAGTATCCAACAGAGTACTTTTCCTTTATAAAATTCTTTATCGTTCCTTCATGACCCTTTTGATTTCATTTTATATCTTTGGCTTGGTTCTCCTTCTTACCTGAAAATGTCTTTCCTCCAATGATATGGCACTTCGAAATGCGGTTCATTTTTCTATTTCGTTGCTCTCCCATTTGCATCCTTATTTTTTCTTTTGTTTTCCTTTTTTTTTGTCTGCAAGTAACTATAGCATTAATTATGTCCCCTCCCATCCATTCATAATATCTTTCATGAGATCCAATCCTATGTTTCAGATTTCCTGGTGGACTATTTTATCTCTTATTGTGTTCAATCATCTAAAACCACATATGCCTTCTTGGCCACTCAATATTCTCTGTCAGCAAACTTACACACTCTTAAACTTGAAATATTAGAAAAATTTTCTATTAATGCTTCATATATAAGATAACTTACCGAATCATATTGATCATATGTCCTACCTTTGTACTTCCTATGCCATAAGCTTAACTTAGGAATTAATAATTGTTATCTTTCAGATTACTCTTGTTTCTTTTTGAAGTTTTTGTTTATCTTATTCTGTACTTTGTTATACTTATTTTATTCTTATGATATTCTCAAAAATAGAAAAATGTAGAAATAATAAGAGGAATAGTCTCTGTATGGCCTCTGCCAAGGTCGCAGCAGATCCTAATATTTTGCAATATTTGTTTTAGTTTTTTTTTTCAATTTAAAAATACATACATTTAAGATAAGTTGAAGCCTTCCATGCCATTTTATTACCCCATTCCTCATTCCCATCTGAGATGTAAAACCTGTTCTGAAGTTAATGTTTATATTTCACCTTCATGTTGTCTCCTATTACTTTGTGTGTGTATCTATCTCTAAATAATGTCTATATGGTGATTTTTTTTTGCATATTCCCAACCTATAATTAAATAGTATGACCCTATTTTAAATTAGTTTTCATGCCTCCTTAGTTTCTAATTTATGGCAATTCCTCAGTCTTTACTTGCCTTTCATGATCTTGAAACATTTTTAGACTAATGGCCAGTTATTTATTAGAATGTCTTGCAATTCGGATTTTTCTGATGTTTACTCATGATTCGACTGAGAATTTACATTTTTGGTGAAAATCCCACTGAAGAGTTCTGCTCTTCTCAGTGAGCATGAGATTCATGATTTCAATTTGTCTTATTAATGGTGATGTTAGCTTGATCACTTGATTAAGGGAGTGTCTGTACATTTTCTCAACTGTAAAACTGCAATATTCACCTAGTAACTAAAAAAATTCTTGGAGGAGACAGTATTAGACTATTTAAATATCCCATTTCTCCTTAAACTCTCACTCACTAAATTTAATATTTATCAGTTAATCTTGCTTGCAACAATTATTTTAGTGGTTTCCAAATAGTGACTTTCTATTTCCTAATTTCTTCTGAATTAAATAAGAATTCTTCTGAGGGACAAGCTGTCATTTCTCTCCCATATTTTATTAAATTATTTATTTTTATCTGTATTGACTCATGAATATTGAATATTTATTGTGTCACATAAGTTATAATTTAGTATTATTTTTACTGTTTATATTTTATTGATTTGGTTATTTGAAGCTCTTTCAAGTCAGTTATTGAGTTTCAGCTGGCTAAATTTCAGTTATTAATTTAGAAATAAAATGCTCTTATCCTGTTTTGCTTTCATTTTTTAAATTACTATGTTACTAAACCTCTATTATTTTTGCTTGCTCTATAGACTCACCAATACTTGGCATTATCAAATCTAAAAACATGCACCATTCTAATATGAAATGATATTCCATTGTTGCTTGGTTTGTTTCTCTGAAATATAGTGAGGTGAAATATGTTTTTTATATGGAATTGCCATTTGATTTTTATTTTCTATACATTCATTGCCTTGATAACTTTGCCAAATTTTTCTATTGCATTATTAATCTTTTAATTTTTGATTTGCAATTATTCTCTATATTTTTTGGATAAAAATTGTTAGTGTATTAAAATTGGATGTATTTGCATAAGAAAACACATTATAAAAATGACTTAATTATACTATTAATATTAATGCTTCATATATTTATTTGTCTTATATGCAAAAAGTCTGGAATCAATACTGATGGGCTGGCATGGTGGCTCTAGATAAAATGAGAAATCTAAGCTTCTGTTTTTTACTGCTATCCTCAGTAAATGTATTCTGTCATCAAGAATATTTCATGGTTCAAGATGGTTACTAGAATTCCAGCTATCAAAGTCATATTCTGGGAATTAGAAAGAGCAATCGAGAAACAAAAGTCTTAAACTCTTCTTTTGAAGTAGAGTTCATAGTAATCTCTTACAATTTTTATTCTTATATTTTATTTATGAGAACTTAGTTAAATGGTTACTACTTGATGCGATGGAGCCTGGGAAACAGCTTTTATTTTGAGTGGTAAGCTACCTACTAAAAATAAGAGGTTTTTCATCAAAGTGTAAACTCTTTATAGATATTGGGATAGGCAACTAACACTCTCTTCCACAATTACTTGTATACTTGGTCAATTACCTAACTTATCCATAAGAAACAACCCTAAAGCTTAGCATGCTTAGTGTCCTAATAATGGAACACTAGGCATAAATGAGGTCACCAATAATAACACTAGGCATAAATGGTTAACCCCATTTATGCCTGGTTTTCCATTATTGGAACACTAAGCATGTGGGAGTTATTTATATCCTACTGCTCAAAGTCATTGCCAAAGTCTGATTGCAAAAAGTAAAAAAAATTGCAACCTCAGGCATAAATGAGTTAAAATAGTAACCACATATTTAGCTCATATTTTGGTTGGCAATTTAGGTTATGATCAGTTAAGAAGTTCTGATTTGGCTGGGGTTCCTCAAGCATTGTGATTAGCTGAGAATCAGCTAGACAGCTCTGCTTCTTGGGGTTTGCTGATGGTTAGAGAGATCTTTAGGTCTCTTTCTTGTGGTCTCTTTTCCTTCACCATAATGGCTGGTCTCCCACATGTCAATGTCAGGTTTCCTGGAGAGAAAGCAGAAGAGTTCAAGGTCCATCGGAGGCTTAGACTTAGGTTGGCAGAGCACTTTTGTCTCACTTAATTGGACACGGCATGTCATAGGGTCAAAACAGACTCAAGAGTAAAGAAAATAAATCCCAACTCTTCACGTTCAGAGATGCAAAGTCTCCTTGGTAGACAGTGAAAATGAATAATTATAGCCATTTTAACAATCAGCCTACAAGAGTCATGTACCAATTGCTCAAAACTATGTATGTATAGTCTCCAAAATTTACTTTAGATTGATATTTTGTTGCCCTTATTGAATTAAAGAAATTAACCTAATGTCTCCTAGAAAAGTAGTTAGGAGTCGAATCAAATATAAGTGTGTATATGAATATATATATATATACACACACACAGCAGAATTATATGTTTTGCAAATTGTCAAAGAATATGAAGTAAAACATTTCTGTTATATGATTTATGCTATGCCTTTGAGAAGTTATTACAAACATTCTCTGGAAAAAATAGAACAAAACAAAAAAGGATTAGGTACAGAATCACTCCTTTATGGATCAAGTACAGCTTAGGTTGAAACTCCCAGGAGAAGTATGGCCAGGATTATGTGAAATCTGTAATTTTAAGTTAGTCAAATTACATTAGTGACATTTCAAAAATGTCATTTTGAGCAGGTTCGAGAAAAGTGATTATTAACTGCTGGAGTAGATATCTAATGAATTGATTCCTATGCTAGTATATTTACCTTTTAAAGTATAAATATTTAAGGGCTGGCAAAACAAACAAACAAACAAACAACACTAGACAGTTTTTTCTTGTTTTGCTTTGACTGGCTTGGTAGATTGTACATTTCAGAAGTGAAAGCTTTTAGGAAGAGTCAGAGAGGCATTTATCTGGTAGAGTCACATCTTCAAATACCCCTGGATTTTTGTGGATATTTTTCCAATATGAAATATTTCTTCTCTGCATGTGTATTTCCTTTCCATGTGCTTTTATTTTCTTCCCTTACTACTATTAGTTAGTATCTACTACATAGTGACCTTAGTGTCAAAAAAATCAATTGTGTGGATCTCAGATATGGCACATTTCACAGAACTGACAAGACTGGAAATGAACCTGTGATGAGTCTGAAACGGAGAAGTTATGACATCCATTGCCCCCCGCCACAGCCATTAAAAACAAAATAACAAAAGAAATGAAGAAATGCAAAAGGAGCACAAGATAAAAAGGGGAAATAATAATTTATTCCATTAAAGCAGTTAATAAAATACTTCCAAAAATGGTTTTGAACTTATTTTAGAATCACTTTCAGAATGCAGGTACTTAGTTACTCATCAACTTAGTTACATCACAACTTCAGTGTGGACTGAAGTCCACACCTCTTTTTTTGCAGTGTTTACTACACATACCTGTACAACACAGCTGACAATCTGGATTGGAAACTGCTGATCAAAACTTTACTGATTATGCTAACTGCACTTTCCAATGAAAAATCTTACTATCCATCCCACTGTCCAATAAAAACTATACTTTTTAATATGTTTGCTGGATTTTATTAAACACATTAGAGAAATAAAAGTCCTGTTTGGAGTTCTTCTTTTGTTGATTTTCTTTCAAAAAGATTACCAGTAGTAATCAAAAATGTTGCACAAGCATAAATATGATGCATAACTTCTTGAAAAAGGTTTGCTTTTTCCTTTTATTTCAGACATGATTGGTCAAATTCAAATTTTCAGTCAAAGTTGGAAACCTTAATGCCACGCAATACTGTTCAATCACTGTAATCTCTGTTATACTATATGATTTATAAACTTTAATGTCAAGTGCTTCAGTCACATAATACATGATGAGCCTAAAGCACACAAAAATGAATCTTGTTAAAATTGAAGAAATATCTTACAGTGCTGTACAAATTAATAAAGTCATCTTACAGTTTTACAGTGGGGAACTGATTTAAAGTTTTTATAAATCCTAATGAAGGAAAACATTTTCAGCTAATCAATTTAGCTGTTTAAATTGCCGAAGCAACTTGATAGAAACTAAATCAAGTAATTTGCATAAATCACACTGTAAAATGTTTCTCCTGAAATCTATTTAGTTGTGATTTGTATAAATTACAAGCACTCAAAGATATTAACAAAGACCAGGCCTCAGAAAGTCATAGTAATATTATGAAGCATTTGTAAATGTGCCATTACTTAATCAGATTTAATATTTTAATGCTCCATACAATTTAACATTATTTATTTTGGGAAAACTTGCCTTCAGTAATTTCTGAGGAGGATACAGGTTTATGAAGTGTTTCATTTACCAAATAACTAAGTGGATTTACTTTACTGTATTAAACCCATGCTATGTTGCTTTTTAGACTGCTATCTCTATATTTGTTCATGGGATAAATCTTTTTCTTATTTCATTATACATGACAAGCTCTTCAAAAATGTTTGTTTTTTTTCTTGGAAGATATGCATGGGTATTTAAAAAATCCATAAAAATGAAAATATATTTATGCATTGTTTCCTTTTTGAGGTTACATTAGTGGCAAAAAATTATGTATATATGTATTAGTTTGTTTTTAAGTATTAAATCTTTTTTACACAAATCTAAACATGATTTCATTGTTTAAGCCACATGAGTTTATTTTGCCTTTTAGGGTAGCTTTACCCAGATATCACCCAGAAGTGGCTTGTGTATTATCCCATGCAAATGCAGATGAGGAGTTGATATCATTAAAATAATCTTTTATTGGATATCCTTCCCTTAACTCTATCCCATCCTTTTTATTATTTTTATTACAACAATTAAACTATTTACATAAGGCACATGTATAATCCGAATAATAATAATGAACACCATGCAGCCACTGCCCATCCTCAGGAAAAACTATTACTAATATCTTTGAAGCCCTGGGGACTTCCCATTACATTGCCTTGTCTCATTCTCAGAGATAGCTACTGCTATGAATTTTGTTATGATTTACTGTATTTCTTCATGTTAAAGCAATATTCATGCTTGTCTCTGAACAAAAAATTGCTGTTACGTGTTTTGGTAATATATACATATATATATACATATATGTATATATGTATACATATATATATGTATACATATATATGTATACATATATATACATATATATATGTATATATATACATATATATACGTATATATATACATATATGTATATATATATATACACACACACACACACACACACATAGAATTTATTTGTCTACTCATTCAATAAATATCCACTGGGTATCCATTATGCTCCAAACTGTATTATTTCAGTGTTAGTATTTATTACAGTAAAAATTATAAAATTAAGGAGAAGAGAATGTTTGTGAGTGGCTAAATGTCCAGAAATGGAAAAAAATGATACAAAATAACAAAATGTAATACAGCTAAAACATTTAGTTAAGGTGTCAGGGATAGCCTCACTGAAAAAGTGACTTTTGATTAAAGACCTAAAGGAAGTGAGTGAATTAGTCGTGCAGATAAAGAGAAATAGAACATAGAAAATGCAAAGTCCCTGAAGTGACAAGGAGATGTCAAAGAGAAGCATGTGGCTAGAGGCTGAGCCAGGCAGAGAGAGGGCTGAAGGACATGGGATCAGAGTGGTGACGGTAACCAGATCATATGGGGCCTGGTAAAGATTCGACCTTTACCTGGAAGCCTTTGGAGGACTTTTGAGTAGCGGAGAGACATGATCAATTCTAAATTGTAACAGGATCACTCTGTTCATGTGCTAAGAATAGACCACAAGGATTTAGCCAAAGGCAAAAGCATGAACCCCAGTTAGGAGATTATGTGAGAGTCAAGACAAGAACTAGTGTCAACGTAGACCAGGAGGAAGACAATGCTGGTACTGAAATGGGGTCAAATTGTAGCCATCTTTTGAAAGTAGAGCCCATAGAATTTGCTGACAGGGATCAGGTGTGATAGAAAGGATTCAAGGCCTGAAAAGCAGGAAAAAGTAGTGTCTATCTCAGTGTATTTACCTGAGATGTGGAGCCTATAGCAGCAGCTTGCAATGCTAAGAATGAGAAATTTATTAGCCATCAATAAAAATATGTCAAATAGGCGATTTGTGATTACATTTGAAGGTCAGGCAAAGCATTTAGACTGGAGAAATAAATTTGGAAGTCATTAGCATATAGATATCTTTATTAATTTGTGTTGATCTAGGTGTTTGAAACAATGACTCTTCATGTGAACACTTCTTTAGAAATGCCTGATAAATTCTGAGTTTTTACATATTATTGTTGACTTCTAGAAATTCTGCAAGTTCAATTTGAATTTATCTTTTAGCAGATTGCTCTTTGTAAATGTATGAAGGAGAAAGATTTCATTTTTTATATTATTATTAATGTTTAGATTGAATTTAATGATTTTATTTGTGGTCATTTTCCATGATGGTTATACTAATTTACAATCTCCTATCAATTAACAGTATTAGGTAGATTGATGCAAATTTATTTTCAAAATTTTCCAGTCAGTTGGATATTAAATGGAATCAAATTCTAGTTTACTCTGTATTGCTTTGATTACTGAGTATGAGCATTTCAATAACAGTAATGACAATAATACTATATATTTGCCGAACTCTGATGTTCCAGATTTCTTCTGTGTGCTTTTGTATAAATTAATCCCATCGATTTTATTACAGTCCTATGAAATATGCACTATTATTAATCTACACTTTAAAAACAAGAAACAGGAACACAGAATTTTTCCAATGTTGTGGAGCAAAAATGTGGTAGAGTCAAGACTTAAACTTCAGCAGTTTTATATCATGGAAAACATTGTCAACCACTATGAATAACATTCTCTCATTCTCTGTCCAAATCTTTATTTATTTATTTATTTTGGTTATTTGTGATTGCTCAGTAAACTTCCTGTTCTTCATTTTGGTAATTTTAAAACTTAAATGCTTTTCAGTTTTCATAAAATAACAAAATTTCTTGTATTCTCAATATACTCATTCTTTTTTGGTTTTCTATGTGGAAATTTTCTATTTTTTTGCCTTTAGGCCATGTAATTTATTTTTTCTTGTCTGTTGTGTTCAAATTCTGTTTTCTTACTTTTCAGGTATGTCTTTTTAACTAGAATATAGTTGAATTTTTAAAACATCTGGCTAATTAATATTTACTTCAATTTAAATGTAACATTCTATTTTCATTAATTTTGATAACTCATTTATTTAAATTATTTTCTATAATTTTATTTTATAATTTTTACATTTTATTTCTAGTGTCTCTTTTTCTCTTTCTTTGCTTTCATTTGGATTTAGTTTTTAAAAATTCCTTCCTTAAATATGTCCTTCTCTTAATTTGGAATTTAAACAATTTGTTCTTTTGTTAGTCATCAAGAACACTTAGTATTTTGTCTTATATTTAGGAGTTAATAAACTTATTTATTCTTTTTCCAAAAAAATGGAAGTAATTATTTAACTTGAAATCTTTTTCATAATTTATGTTATTTTTCAGTCTTTTAATTCAGTCATTTCTTTTTAACTTCACAAGTTAAATGTTATTATTTTGTGCAATTTTCTTTACTTAAACAATTCCTTTTTTATATCAGATTATCTGAAAATATTTTTATTTTATCTTAAGTCCCTTCTTTAGAGTTTCTTTCAATAAAGAACTGCTCATTATTGCTTTGCTTCCAAAAATGTCTTTATTTTGCCTTTGTTTTTAAATATTTGCTTCTCCGGATGTATAATTCTATGTGGAAACGTATTTTATCTGAGCCGGTATGTCATTCTAATCCATTCTCGCTTTTATTGTTATCATTGAAAAGCTGACTACTGGTTTGTTTTTCTATATTGTCATTCCTTTGTAGGATGTCTTTCTTGCATCTATAGCAATCTTGAAGATCTTTACTTTTTCTTTATTATGCTGTAGTTATATTGTGATTAGGTGTTAATTTATTTATCTTCATCTCAGTATTTTACTCATTAGTCACTGATCACCACTATTGTGTATCAAATCACAAAATTTGTCAATCACTTTCCTCATTTTCATTGTCTCTTTTAAATTTTCTCTATTATCCACTTTTGCAAATACAATTAGATATGTTTTTTTTATTTGACATATTTCACTTTTTTTTTTCTTTTTTTTTTTTGAATTGGAGTCTCACTCCGTCACCCAGGCTGGAGTGCTGTGGTGTGGTTTCGGCTTACTGCAACCTCTGCCTCCCGGATCAAGCGATTCTCCTGCCTCAGTCTCTCGAGTAGCTGGGATTACAGGCACCTGCCACCATGCCCGGCTAATTTTTGTATTTTTAGTAGAGATGGGGTTTCACCATGTTGGTCAGGCTGGTCTCCAACTCTTGACCTCAAGTGATCCGCCTGCCTCGGGATTACAGGTGTGAGCCACTGTACGTACCCAACCTATACATTTCATTTCTTGATCTCTTTTAAAATTCATATCCCTTTGTTTTCACGTGACATTCCATATGTATATCATCAGATGTATCTTCAATCTCACTAATTTTTTTCTGTACCTTTGTCTATCTGCTGTTTAATATATCCATTGAATGTTTTTTCTTCAACCATTATGTTTTGATTTATAATAGTTCTATAGTGTTTTTACATTTTTTACTATTTAAATCTGTCCCATCACTTTCTCAGCCTCATCTGGCCTTGCTGATTTTCAGTCATGTATTTTATTTTTCTGCATATTGAACATATTTAGTTTATCTTTGTTATATGGTTATTTTAATATTTCCAATCTTTTCACAACTGATTCTCCATGTATTTTTTATTGTATCATTGACTTTTGCTGGGTTTCTTTTTATTATTTTATTTATCTTGGGGGACTCATTGACGGTGGCTTCTTTTCTCTTTTACTTAGTAAGTTTTTTTAAATGTGATTGCTTGATTGTTAGAATTTTATTTATAAGAAACTTTGAGACTGTCTTTCATAATCTGCATTCCTTTATAAACGTCCTTCTATTAGATTCGTACAGTCACCTTGGAACATTACTAGCCCAAGTTACTTTAAATTATATTTTTGGTTTAATATGTTTTGTGTTGTACTTCAAAATACATTAAAATGAAGGCTGTAGGTTAGAAATTTGGGAGTCTTTGTTCTTTCCTTTCTTCCTTCCTTCCTTCCCTTCCTTCCTTCATTTTGTTCCATCTTTTCTCTCTTTCTTTCTTTTCTTTTTCTTTCTTTCTTTCTCTTCTTTTTCTTTCTTTCTTTCTCTTTCTTTCTTTCTTTTTCTTTCCTTTCTCACTCTCTCTTTCTTTCTCCCTTTCTTTTCTTCCTTTTTTTTCTTTCTTGCTTTCTTTCCTTTCTTTCTTTTTCATCTAGAAGTAGAGGCTGGAAAGATCACATGGAGGAGGTGTCCTGGTCTGACATAACAGACTCTGATCTGACCTCTTAGTCTACCTAGGCCCCAAGACCAGTCTCTTGTTTTTCTGCACACTGTGTATAAAAATTTACTCTCATTACACATTCGTCATTCTCACTTACTTTCTGTATGTATGTCTTAAAATTTCTCTCCCTTGAGAAAGTCACTCCCATGTTTTTTCCCACAAAAAGCTCAGCAATGTATCAAAAGATATAGTTTTTACTTAGCTAACTTTTTACTTATGCTGTACAAGGAATGATTTCTGTGCTAGGTAATATTACATTCAACCAAAAATAAAATTTAATGGTCCTTTTTAAAACCCAAATGACAATTCATAGGTTTCTTTTTGTTAAATGGATTTGTACGACTGTTTCTTTGCTTAACAATTTCTGGATTCTCTTACATACATGTTGAATTTTACATTTCTTTGGCTCATATGGAAGAGTATTCAAATGTAGCTTTTTCATTTGTTCCAAATTTATAATACTTTCTTCCATATAAAAATCAATCACACTTTTCCAAATATATCATATACACTTTTATTTTATAATTTTCTGTGCCTTTCTCTCTTTCTTCAGTGTCTGCCTCCTCTTTTGTCACCTGGATTTCTAAAACAACTTTCTAACACTCGTTTTGGTTTCCAATTTTCCCCTGCTAAATAAGTTTCTCCAAGCTTTATCCAAAGAGATATTTTTGAATTGCAAAACATTTTGTAGTGTAGAATCTTTAAATATAGTCATGTGCATCATAACGATGTTTCAGTCAAGGATGGATGGCATGTGGATGGATGACAGTGGCCTCAAGATTATCATAATGCATTTTTACTGTACCTTTTCTATTTTAAAATACAGTTAGATAAACAAATAACCATTGTGTTACAATTGCCTATAGTATTCAATACAGTAACATCTTGTTCAGGTTTATAGCTTAGGGGCAATAGGTTATAATATATAGCCTAAGTGTGTAATAGACTATACCATCTTAGTTTGTGTTAAGTACACTCTATGATGTTTACACACTGATAAAATCGCCCAACTACGCATTTCTCAGAACATGTGCCTGCCGTTAAGCAATACATGACTGTATTTTTCCACTGCCCTTATGATAATTTATAAACTCTTTATAGCTTAACATATGCAGAGGACATTGTGAAAATGTGTTTATTGTCATTTAAACTTGGATTTTTAAAATAATTATAAAGGCTTCAGTCTGTGTTCAGAAGGCACTGGCATTGTTAGAAGCTCAGGTTTTTTTTGTTCCTTTAAAAATTTGTTTTAAGTTTAATTCTGGGATACATGTGCCAAATGTTCAGGTTTGTTACATAGGTATATGTGTGCCACGGTGGTTTGCTGCATCTATCAACCCATCACCTAGGTTTTATGCTCCACATGCATTAGCTATTTGTCCTGATGCTCTCCCTCTCCTTGCTACCCTCCTACCCCCAACAGGCCCCCAGTGTGTGTTGTTCCCCTCCCTCTGTCCATGTGTTCTCATTGGAACGCATGTTTTCTAAAGTAGTTGACCTGAGTTCAAATCCTAGCTCTGATGCTTACTATATGACCTTGAAAACTTATTTTAAATTTCCCCAAGCCTCAGTTTCCTCATCTTTAAAATGAATACAATGTGTATCATCTCTCTATCTCTACCATTTGTCTTTTTCATTATTACCATTATCATTTGTCATCTGTCTGTCTTCTATTTCCAGCTTATTTGTAGCTAAAATAATAGGTAACGTAATAAATAAAAGTTATACTGATTTCTAATCACTTTTCAACTGACCTATGCTTACTACTTTTTTTTTTTTTTGATGGAGTCTCACTCTGTCACCCAGGCTGGAGTGCAGTGGCACGATCTCGACTCACTGCAACTTCCGCCTCCTGCGTTCAAATGATTCTCCAGCCTCAGCCTCCTGAATAGCTGGGATTACAGGTGTGCAGCACCACACCTGGCTAACTTTTTTTTTTTTTTTTTTTTTTTTTTTTTTTTTTTTTGAGACGGAGTCTCGCTCTGTCGCCCAGGTCGGACTGCGGACTGCAGTGGCGCAATCTCGGCTCACTGCAAGCTCCGCTTCCCGGGTTCACGCCATTCTCCTGCCTCAGCCTCCCGAGTAGCTGGGACTACAGGCGCCCGCCACCGCGCCCGGCTAATTTTTTGTATTTTTAGTAGAGATGGGTTTTCACCAGGTTGGCCAGGCTGGTCTCAAACTCCTGGCCTCAAGTGATCTGCCCTCCTCAGACTCCAAAGTGCTGAGATTACAGGTGTGCCCAGCAGCTTTCTACTTATTCTTTAGGCTCTTGTTTATAAACTTAGTTTTGTTTAGAACATTATCTGCACCACGCTATCTCCAGGATTACTTTTACTTCTAAATGTAGTTCCATTGTAGATGTTCTTTCCTCTAGAAAATCTTTCAATGTATCCCAAATCTTGCGTTACATAACTATTTTATTTTGTCCCTGTAGCAACCTATCCTTTCCTTATCATGTCACTTACTTCATTGCATTGAAGTAATCTGTTATAATTTTCCAAGCCTCTATTTCCCAAAAATTCTGAGTTTCTAGAGAAGGAGAATTATGTAAATGCATTTTTGTATATTCAGTACTGGTACTGAATATGTGCTCAATAAATTGTGGATGACCTAGTGAATTTTGACATTATTTGATTAGGTGATGTTTAGACCCTATTTTCTTGGATGCTTTTAATTAGCCGTAGCATAGATATTCCCAGTGCCATGTATGACAAATGGTAATAATACTGATGAAAAAGATAGATCATAGAAATAGACAGATGATAGGTATTATCTTCATTTTATAGATGAGGAAACTGAGGTTTGGAGAAATTTAAAATAAATTTTCAAGGTCATGTAGTTAGTGCTTAACACTCTATAAATTGTATTGCTGTGTATATATATATATATGTATGTATATGTATATATATATATATATATATATATACACACACACATAGTGTTTCCTTAGCTAGTCAGTAAGATTCTTGAAGCAAGGCTTGTGCTTTCCTGTACTGCCTTAGCCAGACACTATCAACATTTGGCTTTTCAGGCGATATTCACTGCAAGTGTGGGGCTACCACTAGGGTTTGAAACAAAATTTATAAATTTCTCATCTTTTACCCTTTCCTCTGTCCTCATGTTCTCCTCTGCTAGCATAAAACCTGTTCCTCAAATATTTAAGCCAAACTTGTCCTATGTTTTAATGTTACCCTACCTTTTATAGTTGAATGTCAATACAAGAATCTATTCTGTAAGCAAAGCTTTATTGTATAATGTAGTAGTTACTCAATAAAAATATTAATTGAATAAAATGTACTCACTCTAAGGTATGACAGGCTTAGTTATTTTCAACCTATTTAAATGTTTATTTAGCAACTATCACACACTTTTCTCTATGAACGAGTTTTTATTTTATGTGCTATGGATACAAAATCAATTTGCGTAATTCTCTGGCTTTAAATAATTCCCAAGTGTGAAGGGAAAAATTTTGTTATTAAATGTAATTAATTATATCACAGAATGGTGCTTAAATTAAGAGAAGATTCATAATGCATACAACTTTCCAGATTTAAGGGCATATGGAGGGATCTTTTTGAAGGATGAGGCACCTTTTACATTACCCTCTCAACTGAAGTCCTGTTATATCCTTTTATGTTCTCTTAGGCTTGTAAACACAAGAAAGAATGAAGCTCTGCGACTGGTTTGCATACTTTTGACATATTTCTGTGTCCTATTGTAGTCCTTGGACAGGCCACTATAAATAAATAGACCACGTTCTGAATTTCCAGTTCCAAAGTCTATGTTAACCTATATTATTTTAAGCTATATCTTTATAGAATACATGTTCATTGCCTTTATTAAGGTTGAATTTTAATGTGCCCTTTTATTGTTTAATAATACAATCAGTAGTTTCATAATCTCCCTCAAGGACTTGTCTGATGAGGATTGCAAAGGGTCGCAAAACAGACCTTTAAAAAAATAATCCGTTTTACCTAGCAGATCTCCTCATAAATTCCCCACAGAAATGCATCAAAGGGGAATCTAATACACTCTTACAGGCTTCTAGAATATCTTTTCATATAAAATGAAATCTAAATTGATAGAGAAATTATGAGCAACAAGTTTCCTTTTTACTATTTAGTTTCATGGAATAACAAGGTGTAAAATTTTCTCTAATGTACTCTAGTGATAATGTTAAAACAATGTGTATCCTTTCTTCCTGAACTAGGTCTCTTCCTACTCTGTCCCTACTCCACCTACTCTGAGGCTTTGGGTGGGTTACATAAGTCCTGACCTTCACTTCCCTTTTTATAAAATATGGGTTTTAAACTAAATTTTGATCTCTGAGTTGATTTATAGTATCAAAATTCTATGAATCACTGTGTTCAGAAGTGACAAAGAACAGAATCACATGATTTATCATTCAGGTTAACGCCATCGAATTTACATTTAAGGAAAAAATAAAAATAGTGTCAGACTAGGAGATGCACTTACAATGGGAAACTTCCTGGCTTTCAATAATGTGAATGTATTTTGTTATTTAATGTAGCCACTTCCCCTTGGGTTTTAGGCAAGGAAACAGATGCAATGCCTCCTGTAAATCACACACACACAAAAAAAATTCCATGCAAGATGATTGACCTGAAGCCTGAAGGAAATTTTATGTCTAGGAAAATATAATAGCCCATGATGTACTCTAAAGAATATTTGCATAAGTTAACTTATGTAAAGAAATTCTGATTCATATGTGCTTCTGGGTAACAAATGTGTGACAAATAAGTAATTTAATATTTTAAAAAGCAATATTCAAATAACACTCTAGCCAGTCTATAAGAATCATTATTCATAATTTATAATAGTATGTACTATTTTCTTTGTAGATCATTATTTAGAAAAATACTTCATTCTACAGGCTTCAATTGCAGTCTTAAGAAGTGATAACTATCTCACATTTGTAAAGAAAAGTCAGTACAAGCAAATTATAATAGCTTGAACCAATGACGTCAAAGAAAATTAAACTGTTTCTCTAGATGCATTTTCAAGGTTGTAAAGACACAGATTGTGAAATGAATGGACTGTCAACCTGCTTCAGGTTGTATATTCTAATTTTACTTTTATCTTTCAGTATACCTGGAAAAATAGTCATTACTATTTACCATCTCGATCCAGTGAATCCTTTCTGGATTTTTATATATTTTATTCATCATATAAATAATTTATAAAAATAAAAATAGTCATAGTGAAAGGGGTTTTGTAAAAAATTATATTTAAACTTTCTTATTTTGAGATAATTATGGGTTCATATGAAGTTGCAAGAAATAATAGATTCCATAGACCCTTTACCCATTTTTCCAATAAAAATATCTTGTGAAATGAAAATAAAATAATACAAACAGGATATTGACATTGAGACAGCCAAGGTACAGAAATTTTCTATCATCACAAAATTCCTCATGTTGTCATTTTATAGCCACTCCAACTTCCCTACAATTCCCACTCCATCCTTCACCTCTGTCAACCACTAACCTGTTCTCTATTTCTAAATTTGTGTCATTTAAATAATGTTATATTAATGGAATCATAGCGTATGTAACCTCTTAATAAAAATATTTTTCTCAGCATAACTTTTTGGAGATTCATCCAGGTTGTGTGTGTATTTTGTTCCTTTTTATTGATAGGTAAGATTCCATGATATGGAGGTTCTCTTTTATTGATAGGTAAGAGTCCATGATATGGAGGTTCCCTTTTATTGATAGGTAAGATTCCATGATATGGAGGTTCCCTTTATTGATAGGTAAGATTCCATGATATGGAGGTTCCCTTTTATTGATAGGTAAGATTCCATGATATGGATGTTCCCTTTTATTGATAGGTAAGATTCCATGATATGGAGGTTCCCTTTTATTGATAGGTAAGATTCCATGATATGGAGGTACCACAGCTTGTTTAACCATGAACATGATTGAAGGTTGAAGGACATCTAGGTTGTTTCCAGTTTTGAGCTATTATGAATAAAACTGTTCTAAATTTTGTGTATATGGATATAGCCCACACCTGACCATACCAACAAGGTGCTTGTGTGTGTGTGTGTGTATACACAAATATAATATATATTACATATATAATAATGTGTGTTTGTGTGTGCGTCTGTGTGTGTGTTAATGTAAGTTTTATTTCTATGGAATAAAAGCCCAGGAGTGCAATTTATGGTTTCTATAAAAATTGCATGTCTTGTTTTTTAAGAAATGTCTGAAATATTTTAGAGAGCAGCTTTACCACTTTACATCATAACCAGCAATATATGAGTCATCTAATTTTTCAGGGTCCGCACAAGCATTTATTGTCATCATTTTATTTCAGCTGTTCTGATTGGTGTGTAGTCAAATTTCACTGTGGTTTTGATTTGCACTTACCTAGTGGATAATGATGTTGGACATCTTAATATGGCTTATTGGACATATGTTTGTTTTCTTCAGTGAAATATGTTTGTTTTCTTCTTCTTCCATGACTTTTTCCCATTTTCTAATTGGATCACTGTTGCTTTTTTCTGTCATGGTTTGGAAGTTCTTTATGTATTCTAGACACTATTCATTTGACGGATATGTGGTTTGCAAATTCCAGTATTTAGCTTGTCATATCACTCTCAAGAGCCAAAGAAGTTTTTATCTTTGATGAAGACGAATTTACAGTTTTTCTTTTTATAAATCATACTTTTGGTATCAAAATCCTTTGTCTAGGTGTAGCTAATAAAGATTTTTGCTTATATTTTACCCCCTAAGATTTGTAGTTTTAATGTTTCTATTATAAATCCCTGATACATTCTGAGTTAACTTTTCTGTAAGATCTGAGACTTAGGTCAAAATTCACGTTTTTCCTATAAATGCCCACTTGCTCTAGTACCATTGTTTGAAAAGGCAATCTTTTTTATTATGAAACACTGTGTCTTTGTCAAAGTCAGTTGTGAAAGAGTTATGGTTTTAGTCCAGACGTGTAAAGAGCTTAGAAGTGCTTACTCTGTCCTATGGCAAGGAAAAACTAAATATACTGAAAATCAGTAACTTTTGTTAGTCTTTTTAGAGAAGTAAGATTTTGGGGAAAACACTATCCTTTAATCTGGAGAAACAGGGAAATACAGTGTGGCATAGCCAAGTTTTGCTTACCTAGATTAGAAGTTACTGGGGCCATAAGGCTGGTAGTAATACTTTATTTATTTATGTATTTATGTATTTATTTATTTGAGACAGAGTCTTCCTCTGTCACCTAGGCTGGAGTGCAGTGGTATGATCTCAGCTCACTGCAACCTTTGCCTGCAAGGTTCAAGTAATTCTTCTACCTCAGCCACCCAAATAGCTGGGATTACAGGCAAATGCCACCATGACTGGCTAATTTTTGTATTTTTTGTAGAGACGGGGTTTTGCTATGTTGCCCAGGCTGGTCTCAAACTCCTGACCTCAGGTGATCTGCCAGCCTCGGCTTCCCAAAGTGCTGGAGTTATAGGCATGAGCCACTGCACCTGACCAATAATACTTAAATAGTATTATTTGATGAATTGCTAGAGGATATGTGCGCATTATCTTCAGAAACTACTGTGGGCTGTAGTTTCCTCAGTTTTACCTTTACTTTTACCTGTAGGAACTCTACCAGGTTCTGTACAGTGGAGATTCAGTAGAGATCCTCTCATAATATTGGCAAGGGGAGAAAAAGAGTAACCACTGTGAAATATATCTAGATCATTCTCTATAACAGGGCCCACTTCCAGGGAAAATGACTTTACTAGACTCTTATCCAAGCTGAGGAAGGTAATTCCTCATTTTATAGACCCTCTAGACTTATTGTCTAACTTTAGGAGGATAAAAAATATACTACTAGAAAATATTTGTGGTTACAGCCCAGACACAAAGACCCACTAAAACACTGAGTTTTAATCATAAGATCATAGATCACTTCCTCTACGTCACAACCTGACCACCATACCAACAGGGTTCCAGTAATAGCAGTGAATTACAGTTGAATATGCTATAAGACACAGACTCTCTCTTAAGAGGAGTACCTAGGGAAGCTGAAAGTCAAGAAAGAAGACTAAAATAATGATTATAGAAGAATTTAAAACCTCTGGCATCTACAGCTATAGTAAACATTAAACACAGCCTAAAAGTCTTAAGTTTATTAGCATAAAACACCTCACATTAAAGGCCAATGTACTTCAATTCCTATTAGCCAATATATTATGTCTGACTTTCAACAAAATTTACAAGCCATGCAAACAGGCAAGAGAAAATCACACGGTAAAGAGTAAAAATAAACATCAGAAGCAAGCTCAGATGTGAGAAAAATTTTAGAATTATCAGACAAGGAATTTAAAATAATTATGAGGATCATGTTAGGGGGACTAATGGAAAAAAGTAGACAGCATGCAAGAAAAGATAGGTAATATTAGCAGAGATATGGAAACTCTTAAGAAAACCCAAAGGAATCTTTAGAGATAAAAACATTGTAACACAAATGAAAACTGCCTTTATTGGGCTAATTAGTGAACATGACCCAGAAGATAATTAGAAAGCTTGAATGTTTATAGGAACTTCCCAAACTAAAATATAAGAGTAAAAAGAATTAGAAACAGACACAATAAAATACAACTGTCCTCACCCTCAGACAAAACAGAATATCCCAGATCTGTGCACACTTTCAAAAGCTATAAAATATGTATGCTGTAAGTGGAATGCCAGAAGAGGAGCGAAAACAGACAGAGCCAAATAAATTGAAGTAATAATGGCCAAGAATTTTCAACTTGATGACAGGCCCCAAGCCATGGATCCAGAAAACTCAGAGAACACCAAATAGAATAAACAACACAGATCTACACCTGAATATATTGTTTTCAAATTTTAGAAAAATAAAAATCTTGAAAGAAGACAAGGCAAAACAACAACAGCTGCAGCAGCAACAGCAACAAAAAAACACCACCACCATCACCAACAACAAAAAAAGTATCTATGGAAAAACAATAGTAAGAATTACAAATGCTCAAAATGGATTTTTATTCAGAAATCATTCAACTAAGAAGAGAGCAGAATGAAATATCTGAAATGTTGGAAGAAAAACATTCACCAATTAGAATTCCATATCCTGTGAAATTATCCTTCAAAGGTGTAGGAGAAATAGGAACTTTTTCAGACAAAGAAAAACTGATAGAATTCATTCTCAGTGAAGGTTCTCTGAAAAAAAAGTCAAAGTTTTTCAGGAAGATCAGAAACTTTAATCTATATTAAGACAGGAAGATTGTTGAAGGAATAAATAAAGGAAGTCTGTAGATTCAGCGTACAATAAAGAATGCTATAAAACAATCTGACAGCATTAAACAATGTATGAAACATACACCCTGAAAGGCATGGGGGAAAAGCTGCTATCATAAGTAACTTTGGAAATGAGTAGTTCCTAAGACTAAAGTAAAAATAAACTATACATAAATATTATACTCTAGTTAATCCCATTGTTCTCCACAGAGTCATAGGTTAACAATTTTAATACCTTTATAACTGTATCTTGTAATGAAACAATTATGTAAATGAATAGTAGGTGTTGGGTGCCAAGTTTCTCACTGTTAGAGAGAAAGGTTACAAATAAACAAGGGTCAGAGTCTGGAGTGATCCATGTGGAAATTAATTTGAGTTTGAGGTGTCAGCATGAACCCATGTTTAGCTTAATACAGACAGATGGTTACATATGGCTTAATAGAAACAGATGGTTACTACTTAAAGATAATGGGTATATATGGGTTATATGAACACATATATTAATGTGTGCATACCTGTGTGTGTATATACACACAAATGCACATACACACATATATAAGAGGAACTAGGAGGAATGGTACCCTAGAATCAACAGTCACACTTAAATAGACCTTGGTTTGTAATATCATTCCCTGATGATAGCAGCTCCTTGGAGGCATGATAGGTTATAGTACTGGTGAAGGAACTACATAGTATGAGCCTGGAGTATCTGATAGCACTAGAAAGAAAAGAAATGCTCAAAATCAACCAATCAAAGAAAACATATCACAAAAATTGGGGTATGTCAAAGGGACATGGGGGTCAACTGAAAGCTTCCAATGGCAAAGATTAGAAGCACTTGAATAACAAAATAAATTAGTATTAAATTATAACCTAAAATATAAAACAAAATTGACTTTATGCTTTTAGAAATGAATGAATAAATAAATAAGCTATAAAAGACAAATCTTCTGAGCAGAAGACTTCCAAACAATTTATATAGATAGACAACCCTTAATGAAGGAGCAAGTAACTCCCCACTTCTTAAGCGTGGGGCATTTACATGGTGATTTCCTTCCAACTGATGTAGCATGGAAACAGAGATGAAAAGAGTAACTTTATAGTAAAGAAACCTGACCACCACTTTCTCAGACAGACAAGCAAGGTTAACGTCAACAGCGATAAATCATGTTGGCAGTATATATACTTGGTATGATGTGATAAAAATGGCACTTTACATCTTTGCTCTTTCTCTTCAAATAGTCCCAGTGTGACCATGAGAAAAAGATCATTCAAGTCCAATTGATGAACATTCTACAAAATACCTGACTTCTACTTTTCAAAAGTTCTGGGATCATCAAAATCTAAATTTTGATGGGATCATCAAAGTGAAAGTCAGAGAAACTGTCTTAGCCAAGAGGATGCTGAGACATAATTATTACTGTAATATGGTCTCCTTGACTGGATCCTGGAATAGGAAAAAAGAACAGTAGACAAAAACTAAGAGACTCTGAAAAAAGTATGGGCTTTAGATAATAATAGTGTATCAATAGTGCTTCATTAATTGTAACAAATATAATAGATAAGATGTTAATAATAAGAGAACTAGGTGTAAGATAAATGGGAACTTGTACCATCTGTAATTTTTCTGTAAATCTAACATTTTTCTAAAAATAAAAAGTTTTCAAGTTACAAAACAAAATTAGTTTGCATACTTTTGTAGGTCTATTTTTGGGTTCTGTACTCTGATCCATTGTTTCTGTTCCATTCTGTGTCTATGCTCCCTCTAGTACCACCCAGGCTTGATTATTTCAGCTACCTGTCTTGAAATCCAGTAGACTGAGCTCTCATTTGCATTTCGTTCTTCTTTATCATAGCATTTTACCTATTTTAGTTATTTGCCTTTCCATATATATTTTAGAACAATTTTGTCTGTATCTACAGCTCTTGCTGAGAGTTGGCAGGAATTGCATTAAACTTGAATATTAGTTTGAGGGTAATTGATATCTTGATTTTATTGAGTCTTCCAATGCATAAATATAGTACATCTTCACATTTATTCAGATACCTTGTCATTTCTTTCTTCAGCAATCAGTAGTTTTCAGCATATAAGTTCTGCACATGATTTGACATGATTTGTTAGATTTACATTTAGGTATACTTTATTTTATTTATTTATTTATTGAGACAGGTTCTCACTCTGTCACCCAGACTAGAGTGCGGTGGTGTGATCTCAACTTGCTGCAGCCTCAGCCTCTGGAGCTCAAGCAATCCTTCCACCTCAGCCTCTTGAGTATCTCGGACTATAGGTATGCACCACCACATAATTTTTCTATTTTCTGTAGAGAGGTGGTCTTGCCATGTGGCCCAGACTGGTCTGGAACTTCTGAGCTCAAAAGATCCACCCAAGTCACCAACCCAAAGTGCTGAGATTACAAGTGTGAATGTCCTGCACCTTGCTGCAATTTTGTTTTTGAACAAGTACAACTGGCATTATATTTTAATTTTGGTCTCTACATTTTCATTTCAGATAACTGAAACACAGTTGATTTTTGTATATTTGTTTTGTATCCTATAACTTTAATGAACCCATCTGTAAGTTCTAGTAATATTGTTGTAGAATCTTTGGAGTTTACTTTGTAGGCAGCTATGCTATCTACAAATAAGGTAGTTTTATTTTTATTTTCCAATCTCTATGCCTTTTCCACTGCCCCACCTTCATGTCTTGCCTATTTCATTGGCTAAAACTTACAGCGTTATATTTAAATACAGTGATTAAATTGGACATTCTTGCCTTATTGCCAGTAGTAGTGGAAAAGCATTCAGTCTTTCATCATTAATTATAAAGTTAGCTGTAGGCTTCAGTAGATGCTCTTTATCATGTTGAGGATGTTCCCCTTTCTTCTGATTCTTCTGAGAATTTTGTCATTAAATGTTGAATTTTGCCAACACGTTTTCTGCATTGGTTGATACTATCATGTAATTTTTCTTCCTTGGCCTGTTAATATGGTAAATTACATTGAATGATATTCAAATATTGAACCTGCCTTACACCTTTTATTAAGTTCCACTTGGTCATGGTGTACAATTCTGTTTATATATTGCTGAATTCTGTTTAGGTGAGATTCAAAATCTATGCTGCTACTTTTACCATTGCCTTATAGTTTATATGTGTCATTATAAGGATATTTTACATTCTCCCATTTTTCAATTTGTAAACACATTTTGATGTATTACCTACCTAACACTATTATTGGGTACCAGATTTTCTAGAAAGATTTTTCATAAAAATATTGTAACAATTTGTTTACTTGTAAAATCACTTTGTCTTTTTTCATTAATTGCTTCATTTTGAATTTAGATATGACAACATAACTCACGTAGCTTTTTAAATGTCTTTGGGATGCTGAGAAGCCACTTTTTTCCATAATAATTTGTTAAAACAATAATCTTTTAAAATGTGTACGTTATGAAATTTCTTTAAGTACACACACATATATATATATATATATACACATGTGCAAGGGCAAACAACTCAGTGTAGACAAGTATGCATTGCCTCCTGCTTTGAAATATCTAAAGCATTACTTGTAGAGGAGTTCATCTATTTTTTATGGTTCAGATTGACACAGAAACATTTCTGACATTCAGAACAAACTTTTTATATGCTTTTTGTGACAATATCTCTTATTTTAAAAAATGAGAACTGTATTATTCTTTATTTGAATATTTATTCCAATATCCTCCTATGGTATTAGCTGGTGCTCTGAGTCAGTTTTCCTGCAGTTATTCTAGTAATCTGTGTTCCTTTGCAGCTAACACTTTTGTCTCTTTGTTATTACGATGGAAAATGTAACATATTTTCTGGTTCCTTTTACTCGTAGTTTAAGTACTGAGAGCAAGAACCATATCAAAAGCTGATCTCAGTGAGTTAGGGATCACGGTGGATGGGAGGCAGGACTAGATTGCAGCTCCCACGCAGATGGACAGAGCAGGGTGAGGAGACTTGCATAGTGCACTTTTGCTCCAGAACTACTGCAGGAATAAACCAGGAAACCTGAGAGAACCCACAGACCCTATGAAGGAAGCAGATTGCTCTTGCAGGACCCAAGAGACGCGCCAAATATTGCGAGCGCCCAAGTTGTGGAAGTAGGAAAGTGGGATCGTCCACCCCCAAACACACACCCTTACTGGGGAACCTGAAGGTCTAGATCACAGGAGAAGAGTCTGAACTTACCTGGAGATGAGTCAATTTAGAGAGCTGAGTAAAATACAGGGGTAGAGAAAGCAGCGGGAAAAGCCCTGTGGACTCTCTGGGTCCACTGGGAAGCCAT
Source organism: Homo sapiens (assembly GCF_000001405.40). Taxonomy (NCBI): domain Eukaryota; kingdom Metazoa; phylum Chordata; class Mammalia; order Primates; family Hominidae; genus Homo; species Homo sapiens. The sequence continues at coordinate 45,856,796 of NC_000004.12, read as the reverse complement.
TTCTGCCTTGTCTGACAAGGGTCCTTGGGGAAAGCTGCCAGATGTACTGGGAAAAGACTGCAGGGAGAAGCAAACCTCTAGCTGAACTTTGTGACAACTCCAGCTGAATGTGAGGTCTCCTGGGCCAGAACTCGGGGGGAGGGTGTGAATCCAGTGTGCAGACTCCACAGGCAGGGAGGCACAAAAGCCATCCTTGCTTGCACAACTGGGAGGCTGGTAGCCTGGGGCAAGCTCTCAGCCCAGCTTGCCCACCTCCTGGAGACAGACTCGGTGCTGTTTGATGGGGGAGCATAGTGGGAGTGAGACAGGCCTTTTGGATTGTGTGGAAACTGGGTGAGACCTGTAACTGTCAGCTTTCCCCTGCTTCCCTGACAACCTGCATGACACAGCAGAGGCAGCCGTAATCGACCTGACCTGGGAACATAACTCCATTGACCTGGGAACCACACCTCCATCCCCCACAGCAGCCACAGCAAGACCTGCAAAAGGAGAGTCTGAGCTCAGACATACCTAGCCCTGCTCTCACCTGATGGTCTTTCCCTACCCATCCTGATTGCTGAAGACAAAAGGCATATACTATTGGGAGTTCTAGGGTCCCACTGACCACTTGATCCTCCCTATACTACCACAGATGATGCTGTCTTGAAAGTGCCACCTTCTGGCAGGAGGCCAACTAGCACAAAAATAGTGCACTGAACAACCGAAACAAAAGACCTCACAGCATCCATTTCACCACCTCCACCACTTCTACCAGAACAGGTGCGAGTATCCTTGGCTGAGACACTCACAGGCAGTTCACATCACAGGACTCTGTGCAGACAACCCCCAGTAATAGCCCAGAGCCTTGTAGACCTGCTGGGTGGCTAGATCAAGAAGAGAGATAGCAATCACTACAACTGGGCTTTCAGGAAGCCACATCCCTGGGTGAAGAGAGAGAGTACTACACCAAGGAAACACCCTGTGGGACAAAAAAATCTGAAAAACCACCTTGAGTCCCAGACCTTCCTTCTGACATAGACTTACCCAAATGAGAAGAAACCAGAAACATAATTCTTGGTAATATGACAAAACAAGGTTCTTTAACAACCCCCTCCAAATCACACTAACTCACCAGCAATGGATCCAAACAAAGATGAAATCCCTGATTTACCTGAAAAATATTCAGAAGGTCATTTATTAAGCTAATAGGAGGCACCAGAGAAAGATGAAGTCCAATTTAAGGAAATCAAAACAAAAATGATAAAAGAAAATGAGAGGAGAAATAATCAGTGAATTAACATAAATAAAAAAAAATCAAAACCTGAGGAAATGATGGATACACTTAGAGAAATGCAAAATGCTCTGGAAAGTCTCAGCAATAGAATCGAACAAGCAGAAAAATAAATTTCAAAGCTTGAAGACAAGGATTTTGAAGGAACCCAATACAACAAATACAAAGAAAAAAGAATAAGAAAAAATAAACAAGGCCTGCAAGAAGACTGGGATTATATTAAATGACCAAACCTAAAAATAATTAGTGTACCTGAGGAAGAAAAGAAATCTAAAAGTTTAGAAAATATATTCAGAGGAATAATCAAGGAAAACTTTCTCAGCCTTGATAGAGAACTAGACATCCAAATACAAGAAGCTCAAAGAACACCTGGGAAATTCATCACAAAAAGATCATTGCCTAGGACCATTGTCATCAGGTTATCTAAAGTTAAGACAAAGGAAATAATCTTAAGAGCTGTGAGGCAAAAGACCCAGGTAACCTATTCAACAACAACAAACTATCAGATTAACAGAGGATTTCTCAGCAAAAACCCTACAAGTTAGAAGGAATTTGGGCCCTATTTTCAGCTTCCCTAAACAAAAGAATTATCAGCCAAGAATTTTGTATCCAGTGAAACTAAGCTTCATAAATGAAGAAAATATACAGTCTTATTCAGACAAACAAATGCTAAGAGAATTTGCTACTAACAAGACAGCACTACAAGAACTGCTAAAAGGAGCTCTAAATCTTGAAACAAATCCTGGAAACATCAAAACAGAACATCTTTAAGCCATAAATCTCACAGGACCTACAAAAAATACATTTTTGGAAAAAAAAAACAAGGTATATAGGCAACAAATAGCACAATGAATAGAATAGTACCTCACATCTCAATAGCAACATTGAATGTAAATGACCTACATGCTCCACTTGAAAGATGCAGAATTGCAAAATGGATAGAAATTCACCAACCATCTGCTGCCTTCAAGGGACACATCAAATACATAAGTACTACATAAACTTAAGGTAAAGGGGTAGAAAAAGACATTCCATGCATAAGGACACCAAAAGTGAGCAGGAGTAGCTATTATTATATGAGATAAAACAAACTCTAAAGCAACAGAAGTTGAAAAAGACAAAGAGGGACATTATATAATGTTAAAAGGCTTTGTCCAAGAGGAAAATATTATAATCCTAAACATATATGTGCCTAAAACTGGAACTCCCAAATTTATAAAACAATTACTACTAGACCTAAGAAATGAGATAGACAGCAACACAATAATAGTATGGGGCTTCAATACACCACTGACAGGGCTAGACAGGTCATAAAGACAGAAAATCAACAAAGAAACAATAGATTTAAACTATACACTGGAACAAATGGACTTAACAGATATTAACAGAACATTCCAGCAACAATTGCAGAATATAACACATTCTATTCATCAGGACATGGAACTTTCTCCAAGATAGACTATATAACAAGCCACTAAACAAGTCTCAATAAATTTAAGAAAATTGAAATTATATCAAGTACTCTCTCAGACCACAGTGGAATAAAACTGAAAACCATCTCCAAAAGGAACTTTCAAAACCATGCAAATACATGGAAATTAAATAACCTGCCCTTGAATAAACACTGGCCAAAATGAAATAAAGATGCAAATTTAAAAAATTCTTCAAACTGAATGACAATAATGACACAACCTGTCAAAACCTCTGAGATACAGCAAGGGCAGTGTTAACAGGAAGAGCCCTAAATCCTTATATAGCCCTAAATCCTTACATCAAAAAGTCTGAAAGAGCACAAATAGATAATTTATGGTCACACCTCAAGGAACTAGAGAAACAAGAACAAACCAAACCTAAACCAGGCAGAAGAAAGGAAACAACCAAAATCAGAGCAGAACTAAATTAAATTGAAACAAAAAAATACAAAAGGTAAATGAAACAAAAAGCTGGTTCTTTGAAAAGATAAAATTGATAGACAATTAGCAAGATTAACCAAGAAAAGAAGAGAGAAAATGAAAATAAGCTCAATTAGAAACAAAATGGGAGATATTAAAACTGATACCACAGAAATACAAAAGATCATTCAAGGCTACTATGAACAGCTTTACACACAGAAACTGGAAAACCTGGAGGAGATGGGATAAATTCCTGGAAAGATACAACCCTCCTATCTTAAATCAGGAAGAATTAGGTGCCGGGAACAGACTAATAACAAGCAGTGAGATTGAAATGGTAATTAAAAAAATACCCAACACAAAAAAGTCCAGGACCAAATGGATTCACAGCTGAATTCTACCAAACATTCAAAGAATTGGTACCAATCCTATTGACACTATATCACAAGATAGAGAAAAAGAGAATCCTCTCTAAATCATTCTATAAAACCAGTATCACCCTAATATCAAAACCAGGAAAGGATATAACAACAACAACAACAAAACTACAGACCAATATCCCTGATAAACACAGATGTAAAAATCCTTAACAAAATACTAGATAACTAGCTATCCAACAATATATCAAAAAGATAATCCACCATGATCAAGTGGTTTTCATATCAGGGATGCATGGATGGTTTAACATCAGCAAGTCAATAAATGTGATACACCACAAAAACAGAAAAGCATTTGACAAAATAAAGCATTCTTTTATGATTAAAACACTCAGCAAAATCAGCATACAACATAATAAAAGCTATCTATGACAAACCCACAGCTAAAATAATACTAAATTAGGAAAAATTAAAAACATTTTTTCTCTGAGAACTGGGACAAGACAAGGATGCCCACTCTCACCACTTCTGTTCAACATAGTGCTGGAAGTCCTAGCTAGAGCAATCAGAGAAGAAAAAGAAATAAAATTCATACAAATCAGTAAAGTTGAAGTCAAACTATTGCTGTTTGCTGATGATATTACTGCATACCTAGAAAACCAAAGGACTCCTCCAAAAAAACATCTAGAAATGATAAAATAATTCAGCAGTCTCCAGATACAAAATTAATGTACATAAATCAGTAGATCTATACATCAACAGCGACCAAGCTGAGAATCAAATCAAGAACTCAACTACTTTTACAATAGCTGCAAAAAAAAAAATACTTAGGAATATATAAAACCTAGGAGATGAAAGACCTCTACAAGGAGAACTACAAAACACTGCTGAAAAAAATCAGAGATGGTCTGGGCATGGCAGCTAATGTCTGTAATCCCAGCGCTTTGGGAGGCCAAGGTGGGTGGATCACAAGGTCATAGGTTCAAGACCATCCTGGCCAACATAGTGAAACCCCATCTCTACTAAAAATACAAAAAAAAAAAAAAATTAGGTAGGCATGGTGGTGCATGCCTGTAATCCCAGCTACTTGGGAGGCCGAGACAAGGAGAATAGCTTGAACCTGGGAGATGGAGGTTGCAGTGAGCTGAGATCTCTCCACTGCACTCCACGCCAGGTAACAGTGTGAGACTCCATCTCAAAAAAAAAAAAAAAATCATAGATGACACAAACAAATGGAGACATCCTATGTTCATGGATGGGTAGAATCAATATTGTGAAATTGACCATATTGCCAAAAGCAATCTACAAATTTAATGCAATTCTCATCAAAATACCACCATTATTCTTCATAAAACTAGAAAATACAATCCTAAAATTCATATGGAACCCAAAAAAGAGCCTGGATAGCCAAAGCAAGACTAAGCAGAAAGAACAAATCTGGAGACGTCACATTACCTAATTTCAAATTATACTACGAGGCCATAGTCACCAAAACAGCACTGGTATGAAAATAGGCACATAGACCAATGGAACAGAATAGAGAAACCAGAAATATACCCAAATACTTACACCAACTGATCTTCGACATAGGAAACAAAAACATGAAGTAGGGAAAGGACACCCTATTGAATAAATGATGGTGGGATAATTGGCAAGCCACGTATAGGAGAAGGAAACTGGATCCTCATCTCTCACCTTATACAAAAATCAATGCAAGATGAATCAAGGGACTTGAATCTAAGACCTGAAACTAAAATTTGTAGACCATAACATTGGAAAAACCCTTCTAGCCACTGGCTTAGGCAAGCATTTCATGACCAAGAACCCAAAAGCAAGTGCTATAAAAACAAAGATAAATAGCTGGGATTTAATTAATCTAAAGAGTTTTGCATGGCAAAAGGAATAGTCGGCAGAGTAAACAGATAATCCATAGAGTTGGAGAAAATCTTCACAATCTGTAAATCTGACAAAGGACTAATATCCAGAATCTATAATGAACTCAAACAAATTAGCAAGAAAAAGCTAAAAATCCCATCAAAAAGTGGGCTAAGGACATGAATAGACAATTCTCAAAAGAAGATATACAAATGGCCAAAAAACATGTGAAAAAATGCTCCGTATCACTAATAAACAGGGAAATAAAATCAAAATCACAATGCAATACCACCTTACTCCCGCAAGAATGGCCATAATCAAAAGATAAAAAAATAATAGATGTTGGTGTAAATGTGGTTAAAAAGGAACACTTCTACACTGCTGGTGGGAATGTAAACTAGTACAACCACTATGGAAAACAGTGTGGAGATTCCCTAAAGAACTAAAAGTGGAACTACCATTTTATCCAGCAACCCCACTACTGGATATCTATCCAGAGGAAAAGAAGTAATTATTCAAAAAAGATACTTGCTCATGCATGTTTATAGCTCACAATTCACAATTGCAAAAATGTGGAACCAACCCAAATGTCCATCAATCGACGAATGGATAATGAAATTGTGGCATATATATATATATATATATATATATATATATATATATGACAAAATACTACTCAGCAGTAAAAAGGGATGAATTAATGGCATTTGCAATAATCTGAATAGGATTGGAGACTATTATTCTAAGTGAAGTAACTCAGGAATGGAAAACCAAACATGTATGTTCTCACTCATAAGTGGGAGCTAAGCTATGAGAATGCAAAGGCGTAAGAATGACACAGTGGACTTTGGGGACTCCGGGGGAAAGTGTGGGAAGGGGTGGAGGGATAAAGAAGCACAAATTGGGTTCATTGTATTCTGCTCTGGAGATAGGTTCACCAAAATCTGACAAATCACCACTGAAAACCTTACTCATGGAACCAAATACCACCTATTCACCAAAAACCTATGGAAATAAAAGAAAAAGCTGATTTCAACGAACTTTTTTGCATTTGGTCTAGTCTATAGAGCCAGAGATTTATATAAAAAAAATTCTGAGACTTCCAGTTTACATGCTGGTTCTAGAGCATTATCTGAGGCTTCAGTTGCTTTAACTAATGCCTTGACACTATCTTCACTTATGACAATCTCATCCTGGGGTGGTCAGATCTAGAGTTAGTTTACTCTACCTCCTGCTGCTGCTGGAGGTCTGGTTCTGAATACATTGATTTCCAAAATCTTTTATTAGCCTGGGCACAGTGGCTCATGACTGCTATCCCAGCACTTTAAGAGGCTGAGGTGGGAGGATTGCTTTAGACCAGGAAGTTGATACCAGTCTGGGCAATATAGTGAAATCCCATCTCAAAAAAAAAAAAAAAGAAAGAAAAGAAAAAAATAAGAAATTAGCCAGGTGTGGTGGTGTGTGCCTATAATCCCAACAACTCCAGAGGCTGACGAAAGAGGATCACTTTAGCCCAGGAGACTGAGCCTCCAGGGACCTACAATTAAGCCACTGCACTCCAGCCTGGTTGTCAGAGCAACACCCTACTGTGTATCTATTAAAAAATAACAAAAAAATTCTTTAATCCTCTGTCTTAGACAAGGTTCTCCAAAGGGACAGAACCAATAGTATACATGTGTATATAGAAAGGAGTTTATTAAGGAGAATTGTCTCACACAATTACAAGGTGAAGTCCCATGATAGACCATCTGCAAGCAGGGAAATAGAGAAGTTGCTGATGGTTTAGTCCAAGTGCAAAGTGTCAAAACCAGGGAAACCAACATTGCAGCCAAAGGCCTGAGAACCCCTAGGAAGCCACAGGTGCAAGTCCTGGAGTCCAAAGGCCAAAGAATCTGGAGTCTGATGTCCAAGGAGAGGAGGAATGGAAGCAAGCATTCGGCGTGGAAAAAAAAAGAGAGAGAGAGAACCAGAAGACTCAGCAAGCAACCTAATTCCACCTTCTTTCACCTGCCTTGTTCTAGCCATACTGGCAGCCTATTGGATGTTGCCCACGCACACTGAGGGTGGGTCTTCCTCTCCCAGTCCACCAACTCAAATGTCAGTCTCCTTTATCAACACCCTCACAAACACACCCAGAAATAATACTTTGCCTGTCATCTAGTCATCCCTCAGTTGAATCTAGTTGACTGCTAATATTGCCCACCACATCCTCTATTTCTAAGATTTAAATTTTGCAATTTAATATCTATGAGCAAATCTTTAAGGCTGGGCACCAGTCTTTCACTATGTTTGTCACCAAAATGGCCATGCTTGTTCTGGATTTAGGAACAAATTAGGTTTTAGAAGACCTAGCTATTTAACTTGTTTGATTGTGGGGAATCTTCTACATGTAGCCACATGACTGCCATTTACCATGCCTATCCTCAAATATGAGATGTTGGTAAAGCTTATCCTAATTCTTCTCTATCTACTAGTTGAAAATTCCTGTGTTTTTTTTTTTCTGTACATAGAAATCCCTCCCAGCTAGAACTTTAGGCAAATTCCTTTCAGCCACCTTTATCACATCTAATCCCAGCCTACAACTCAACAGACACCAAGTCTCATGCAACTTCAAGACGAAGCTGACCTCAGTGATGAAATGTTATTGAACCAAAAATTTTTTTTCTTTTTACTTTCAAAGTCACTTTATCTCTGTTAATATTTTTTAAATCGTGCTTCTACCCTCATTTATATCTGACTTAAATCAAATAATTTGGCTGGCCAAACTATTGGATCACATCTATATTTCTAGTAGATAGGGCAGTTTTACTTTTCAATAGTATATTTCAATATGTTTATTTTTCTTTACATTTTGTAATGACTGTCAACATCAATTTCCATATTTTAGATCTTGAAGTGATTCCAAGAAATCATCTGGCATAGTCCCCCACTTTCAGGAAATATCCAACTAGTGCTCAATAATAGAGAGTTTTGTTAGTGAAAAATCTTAGAGAGGTTACTTTTCTTATTCTCTCTAACCACATGGTGAGAACTGTGAATTCTGTTATTATTGGCACTATTGTACTCATAAAGGACACCTGTAAAATTATTTGAGGAATATGACTTCCTTAGGTCACATTTAGGAGATTTCAGGCAGAAGAGTGCTTTATTGCAAAACCTGAGGTATTTTCTCTGAAAGGAAATTATGCTCTCTACTTACTAGAAAAAAAGCCTTCTACTTACTCTCTACTTCCCAATGCTGTCTGATTCATTGTGTCTAAAAGACGACATTACAAAAGTGTAGTATAAATGAATCTCTGTCTGTGTAGTTATCTCTAGCTTAGTGCCATTTTTTTCTGGATGACAATTTTGTTTCTTTGTGGTCACCTGTCCTAGAGCTTTAGGGAATTGATGACTTTTTTCCCCGCTATGCAACTTTCTTTTCATTCTCAATTCACAGCATTCAATATCGTTATCTTTGAATGCCTAGTGAACATTCTTGGTTTATAGCAGGCAATATTATAAGGTTTTTAAGAAAACTTATTCATGTGGGATTAGTGCTCCTGAGACAGAGTTCAACAGTAGAGACTCCAGAAATAAGGTAAACAAATAAATGTCCCAAGGACCAATAGCTTCAATATCAAATACTGAAATGCCAATTACTTGCTAGATAGATTTGGAGGTAAATTTGTAAAGACTAAGGGCTTTTTGGTACCTACCACATCCCTTGTTTGCTAATTCACAAAGTCAAAGTATACCTTATTTATGTTAGTGCTTTGCAATTATAATGATTATCACTGGATTAGTTTGATTATAGTAAAAATAATGATATTTAACATGAACTGAATGAGTCTAAAGTACCATGCATTATGCTAATCAAGCATTATTGTATTTGATACTTATGACAGCGTTATAAATCTAAGAATCTTTTCTGCTGTTAATTTGAAGTGGTACCATCGTTAGAGAAAAGTAACACAAATTCACACTACTTTTAGCATCTGGGCTTTGCTCCCAATCTGTACTTTCAACCTCTATCCTTGATGGCTAGATTTTCCGTATTTAGTTTAGAAGAGATACACATGGTGCACAAAATGATGTTTGTATTGCATTACCTGCCAGTTTTATTCTTCTTTGGTCATACTCTTATTTGTGAGTTGGGTGGGATAGTGTGAGAATGATTGTACTTACAGATGAGTTTAAGTCCTAAAGGAGTTGCTGTTATCTAGAAGAGTGAGAGGCCCATAACAAATACAAGGCAGGCCCAGTTAGATCTTTTATGGAAATATGAAAAAACACACAAAAATTAACCCAAAAGTTAAATAAGCCAAAGAACACAATCAGTGTGAAAAATGAAGATACATGGCCCCATTTTTCTTCTTTCTTAGGGTACAATGCAAGGAGAAGGGAGCTCTTAAGAATTGCCTAAAATTTCAATATTCTCCTACCAATACCAAATTCCAGGGATCCTTTTTGGAAACCTGGATTTTTATATGAAGTAATATTTGGCTCAAATTGTATATGTCAACATTTTCCAAAATGGAGCCTAAACACTAGTGCATGTTGTCTTTTTTCATTAACCCTTAACTCCCTAGTCACTACCAATAAAGTACTAGTAAACACCTAAGTATAGACAGAATGCATATCTTACTCTGCCTCTCCACCTTAGCAGCATATAACTATCATAATCTCATTTACTTTAGAGGCTAAGGGGATATACTACATTATCTATAGAAGTTTCATGTGGTCAAATCTTCACCAATCAACTTGAGAGTCATAAATCATAAAATCATAGACTGTCAGAATTGTAAGAACATTACACACAAAGTAATCAATGTCATTTATATTATAGAGGTAGAAATATAGTCCAAGGATGGTAAAGTAACTCTCTGGTTTGAGAATCATAAGTGTCAGAGTTTCAGTAAAATATGCCTGATGTTTCACTTTCCCTATACAGGGGAAACGCATTACATTTTGTACCTCTAAAATCAGAGTTTGAGTTGTTATGTATTGACGCAGTATAGTACTTTACATTCTGTTTATGGGGTATTTGAAATCCTTTAAATTCACCACTGTATTCTATATGAATATAATATCCATATTAAGCTCTGGTATTTAACATTAAACACATTTCAGTTTTTTCTGTTGGCTCCCTTGAACAGTTTGCTTCTTGTTGCTAAGGAAACAGATTTTTGCATAGATGTAACACTGATGTCACAGGAAACCACTAAAGTGGAAATCTTTAATGTCTATCAACCTCTTGAGAGTAAGCAATTTGCTCTAATCAAAATGAATTAAAAATCATTCTGAACATGTAAAAATGCAGTATTTTAGAAATACATTCCTGTTGGTAACATTAATTTTGTTTATCTAGTTTATTCAAAATCAACATAAAATATTTTAATTACGTGCTTAAATTATATGCAATTTATATTCGTATAAACCCAATTTACTATAAATTTAATTTAAAACATTCTTGTTTTTTTTTAGATGGATCCTCGCTCTGTTGCCCAGGCTGGAGGGCAGTGGCATGATCTCAGCTCACTGCAACCTCCACTTCCCAGGTTCAAGCAATTGTCCTGGCTCAGCCTCCTGAGTAGCTGGGACTACAGGTGCGTGCCACCACGCCAGGCTAATTTTTGTGTTTTTAGTAGAGACAGGGTTTCACTGTGTTAGCCAGGATGGTCTTGATCTCCCGACTTCATGATCTGCCCTCCTTGGCCTCCCAAAGTTCTGGGATCATAGGCGTGAGCCACTGTGCCCAGCCTAAAACATTTTTAACAAAGCAACTATAATCATGGTTAAGAATAAAAGGAATAATTCAAAAATTAAGTTAATTTTTATTCTGAATGATGTTAGTATTTTTTTAAGCTGAAGCTGGATGATATGATTGATCCTCCATTTCCATAGCTCAACCCTTTTCAACAAAAGTGAAAGGCGTTTCAGTTATTTGGAGTATGAAATGGCTTAGGACAATAGCAAGGAACTTAATTTTTTAGTTGAGACTCAAATCAGAAAAAATAAAATTTACATGTTTATTAGTAATATTTATAAGCCACTGTATTAATCCATTTATTACCCTGCTAATAAAGACATACCTGAGACTGGGTAGTTTATAAAGGAAAGAGGTTTAATTGACTCACAGTTCCACATGGCTGGGGAGTCCTTATAATCATGGCAGAAGGCCAAGGAAGAGCAAAGTCACTCACCAGCAGGCAAAGAAAACGTGTCCAGGGGAACTCCCTGTTATAAAACCATCAGATCTCGTGAGACTTATTCACTAACAAGAGAACAGCATGGGAAAGACCCACCCTTACATTCAATTACCTCCCACCAGGTCCCTCCCAAGACAGGTAGGAATTATGGGAGTTACAATTCAAGACTAGATTTGGGTGGGGACACAACGAAACCATACCAGTCATTAAAATTTTATTTCTTTGGCATTTTTGATAAGTAGCAATATGGTAGCAGTTTTTGTAACTCTTTAATTTTAATAAGATCAAGGATATATCAGGAAATGAACTGGTCTCTTTAATGTGTAGATCGCTTATTCACAGCTCAGAGTTTTAGAATAGTAACTCATTATGTGAATGGATCCTTTCAAGGAGACAAAGCATCTTCCTTTCATGAGACCTGAAATGGTAGCACAGTGTTTGTGGGTCTCCTGTCGGAGCATCAAAATTGTTTTAGGGGCTACACAGATCCTTACTGTGCCAGGTTAGCTGCAATTACAACTGCTCAGATATCAGATACTCTGAGAACAGAAAGACTGGGCTACATCTGAGGGAGGCTTGAGAAAAATGGTAATGGTTTTTGGTTGGTGGGAAGAAAGCAGTGAAGCTTATATTATATTTACAAATTAAAGACAATCTGAGTTCTGATCTTAAAATTAACGGTTTTGGGTCAGGCAATGTGACTCACATCTGCAATTCCAGCAGTTTGGGAGGTAGAGACATGAGGATTGCTTGAGCCTAGGTGTTCCTTCGAAGCTGCAATGAGCTATGATTGCACCACTGCACTCCAGTCTGGGATATAGAGCAAGACCCTGACTAAATAAATAAATACTTATATACATACATAAAATTATGTTTTGGAAATCAGTAAACCTGAATTTGACTTTTGTATATTTGACATCTTTAGTACAGCTTTGCATTAGAGTTTTTAGTTTATATGTCTAGCTCTTAGGACCACTGCAAATTTTATTTGTATTTTTCTTGTGGTCTTTGTCACTTGCAGCACTCGATGAGTATCAGGAGGTATTTCACTCTGTCCTGCTTAGAATATAATGTTTTAGAGACAATAAAAAGTATAATTTCCTATATATATCACAGTCACTATATTTGTGCTATGAAATTAAGAAAATTGTGTAACTTGCTGCATTGTGGCAATAATTTTCTTAACATAGCTTTCATAATTTAGGCAAGAGGGGTGTATGGGTTTTGTGTGTGTGTTGCTGTTATTAGTTTTATCTGTAGATAATTATTTTGGTGTAAACTTAGTGACCGAATGGGTTGATCAGATCAATTGTGCATAAAATAAGTTGCTGAAAGAGTTACAGGATGTTTGTCAAAAATGTTTAACAAATAACATGGTGTAAACAAAATATATCTAAGAAAAACAAATTATTTTTCCTAAACAACAGACCTACAATTGGAAACATGAAGTAACTCAAAATAATAGAGACCATTTCTACATTTCTCCTTTTGAATGGCTAAACTTTGCATAATTTTTTCCCCAAATAATCATTGTTTCTGGGATGTTAATGAACATATTCAAGGGTCCTAGAAAGTGCCTTAAAATAAGGAAATTATTTTTCAAAAGATACTGCAATTTTTGGGTACTTATATGTTTAAAGACAAAGTATAAGAAAGAACAGCAAAATATAAGAAAGAAAATCAAAAAAGACTTGATTTCTTGGTGAATCTCACCTGCTCCATCCTTGCTCTGGCAGCCCTACTTTCTGTTCCAGTGAATGCTTCTGGAGTAGTAACTCTTCATCTATGCCGCTTCTCATTTACCCTTTCCAAGGGTCTCTCTTTTGTGGTATCACTATTCCTTTCCCTCTGCCTGTGTACAGGTTACAATGTAAACTGCAGGGTGTGGAGAGCAGCAACTGAAGAACCTTATTCTCATCAGATAGGCAGCTAGTTTGAAGCCGGCCTCTTAGTAACCATGTAACCATGAGTATGCTTACAAATTCCTCACAGGATCCATCTTATCACTTGTAAAATAAAGATTAAGAAAAAACACCTTACCTGTTGGTAAGTTATGCAAGTAAAGCCTGGAGCAGGATGTTTGGCACATGATTAAATGCAACAAAAGATAACTGATGATGTTGATCCATGCATACAGAGAGACGACCTAGATAAATCAAAGGGTTGTAAAATCTCAACATTAATTCCTATGTTAAGGATTAAAATGAGAAAAATAAATTACTAAAGTAGATTAAGATAAAATCATTCTAGGCTGATTTTATACCAGAGGGTTTTTTTTTTCTATTTTTAAAAAGAAAAGAGATTAAATAAGGTTGCACAGGTTATCAGAGACAAAGAGCTCAGCAAGCTTTTAATTAAGTTATTCCAATTATGGGAACAGTGCACAAAGGTGCAGAAATTTTATCCCGACTTAGGAGCTAAGGACCATTTTCCTTTCCTGCCACACTACACCAAAACCTTTACGTGTTTTACAGTGATGCCAGTAAATCCAGTGCTTTAAAAGAATACACATTAAAACAGTTCTTGCCTCATAATATCAGAATTAGAAAATTTTTCTGAGGGTGAACAGTGAGTGTGAGTAGGATGTCATACATAATAAAACAAGGACAATGCCACCAAATATTTTCAAATCGACAAAAAGAAATTTTTATGTCAGAGCGTTTTGCCTTTAGTGTGCATTTCATTGTACTAATAAAGCTTTTATACACCTGCATACCAAACTTGTTAATGACAAAGCACTTCAAATGAGTGCTACAATTAACAATTGCATAAAAAAGATAGAAGAAAATACGACCCCAAACAAGCATTAGTATTCAAGAAAACTAGTACGATCTATAAAGATATAATACATATTAATGCTCAATAACCTAAAGACACATTACACATCGTCTTAACAACAAAATTTTAGGTCCAAGTAAAACTTTCTACAGAACAAATTGTATTTACATATTTCTCATGAGCTAAAATTAACCTTTGAATTTTAACCCATATTAAAGGCTACAGGAAGTAATTTTAATTTGTTATCTGAAAATATTTTCTTTTTTCCCTTATGTTAGGATTTGAAGTTTGTTTCCATAGAAACCACTTCATCAAACAAGATTTAGAACTTTTTTTTCTTTAGACATAAAATGGGCTTGACCATATCTGTTCTTACAGTGGTATAAACAAGCTAAAAATAGCCTTCAAAACAATTTTAAATGTAGGCTGCTGTTTACAACATAGCCCCTGTGGTCAGTAGCCAGAAAGTTCATGAAATAGCTCTTTGATGGTTTGTCTGTATAATTTTCGGATTCGAGGCTGCTGTGACAATGTTCTTTATCTCTTTCTTCTTTCCCCCTCCTTCTTTCTTGTATTAGTTTCCTATGGCTGCTGTAATGAAGTACTATAAACTTGGTGGCTTAATACAGCACGAATTTATTTTCTCTTACAGTTCTCAAGTGCGAAAATTCTAAATCACTTTCACTGGGATAAAGTTAAGATGTGGGCAGCGCTGGTTCCTTCCGTAGGCTCCAGTGGGAGAAAACCTTTCCCTTGCCCTTTTTAGCTTTTAGAGGCCACCTATATTCCTTGATCGGCCACCCCTTTTTTCTATCAGTCCAAGTACTCGCTTCTATGTCACTTCTACAATCTCTCTGTTCTTCTTCCTAACTCCTATAAGAAAGTAATCCCTTGTAATTATGTTCCACCACCAGGATAATCTAGGATAATCTCCCAATTATAAAATTCTTACCTTATTCACATCAGCAAAGACCTTTTTGCCATTTAAGGTAACATTCATAGGTTCTGGGGATTAGGGCATAGATTTATCTTTCCTATCATACTTCCTTTCTTTCTCCCTTTCCTTCAAGTTGTTTGTATGGAAAAAAGACATAGCATCCTTTGTAGTCTTACGTAATGAATAAAAAGAAACAAAACTTCTCACCTGCAAAGATTAAACTTCAAGATTGGTTTGAAGACAACTAAGGAAATGTGACATAGCATCACATCACAACAAAGATACCAGACAGCTTGCTCAGTAGAAGTTCAGAGAAGATAATATGTTTTTTACTTGCCTAATGTGTTAAATACTTGCATAGAATTTCATGTGCTACAAGGAGACTGATATGATTATGAACTTTCCTGATTAGAAAATTAAGGTCCACTGAGGTCAAGTGGCTTGCAGAAGCTTACAAAATCTTAGAATGACAAGGGCTGCAAGTGAAGTAAGCTGTCTTCTTACTCAGTGTTTTTTATCATTGTACTTAGAGAATGTCAGCTGTGAAAAGTGTAGATGATTTATTCACCATTGTGAGAATTACTGTACAAATGATTTTAACAATGCAAGCTTTTGAAATATACACTTCTTTTTTCAAGAGTCCAAGCTAATACAAGGCTTAGATTTTGAAGCATATGTTAAATTGCTTCTTAAATAACTTGGTTTTCAGTCTGCCTAACTTGGATTATAAGGAAAACTTACTGGTAAATATTTGATAATTATACAAATGTTTAAAAGAGAACAAAAATAAATCAATTGTGACACCACCCACCAGATAAGTGCTTTTCTTTTTTTCTTGGCATGATTAATTCATATCCTATCTCCCATGGATTTTTTTACAAATGCATTTGAGTTTCGCTTGTTTTATTTTGCAAAACTGAAAATGTATTGCTATTTGATTTTGTGTCATTAGACACAAGATTGTTATAAATATTTGCTTGTTGTTAAATAATTTTATTAGGTTAGAAATTATTTTATTTTCATGTGCATATAAGATTATTTTTAAGATATAAAATAAAAAGTGAAATTGCACACTCAGATGATTAGTGCTAAGATACAATTTTCAAAGCGCCAACCACTATCCATTAGAATTACTCCAGCAGTTATCTGTGAATGCCCATTTCCTTGGCATTTCATCAGTGTTGGATATATACTTTTCAGTGTTTCAGTTCAATGATCTAAGACACTATTTATTTGTTGTTACAATTTTCTGTTATTTGGATGATAACCATAAAGATAAACTTTCTTTTGTCTTTTTTTATTGGTTGTTAAGACTTGTTTGCTCATATCCTTTGCACATTTCTTAACTTGTTGAATTTTTAAATCAATATGAATATTAATTAATATTACCAAACCTATGCAAGTTAGTGTACAGAGCTCTCAAATTGGACATTTTGCTGACAGCAGTTAAAAGCTTCTATTTAATTAATTATTTATTATTATTTTTTATTTTTTTCATTATACTTTAAGTTCAGGAATATATGTGTAGAATGTGCAGGTTTGTTACATAGGTGTAGACGTGCCATGGTGGTTTGCTGCACACATCAACCCGTCATGTACATTAGGTATCTCTCTTAATGCTGTCCTTCCCCTAGCATGCCGCCCCCTGACAGGCCCTGGTGTGTGATATTCCCCTCCCTGTGTCCATATGTTCTTATTGTTCAGCTCCCACTTATGAGTGAGAACATGCAGTGTTTGGTTTTCTCTTCCTGTGTTAGTTTGCTGAGAATTATTGTTTCCAGCTTCATCCACGTCCCTGCAAAAGACATGAACTCATCAATTTTTATGGCTGCATAGTATCCCATGGTGTATATGTGCCACATTTTCTTTATTTAGTCCATAATTGATGGGCTTTTGGATTGGTTCCAAGTTTTTGCTATTGCGAACAATGCTGCAATAAACATACATGTGCAAATGTGTTTGTAGTATAATGATTTATAATCTTTTGGCTATATACCCAGTAATGGGATGGCTGGCTCAAATGGTATTTCTAGTTCTAGATCCTTGAGGAATAGCCACATTGTCTTCCACAATGGTTGAACTAATTGGGAAAACTGGCTAGCCATATGCAGAAAACTGAAACTGGACCCCTTCCTTACACCTTATACAAAAATTAACTCACGATGGATTAAAGACTCAAACGTAAGACCTAAAACCATGACAACCCTAGGAGAAAACTTAGGCAATACCATTCAGGACATAGGCATGGGCAAAGCCTTCATGACTAAAACACCAAAAGCAATGGCAACAAAAGCCAAAATTGGCAAATGGGATCTAATTAAACTAAAGAGCTTCTGTACAGCAAAAGAAACTATTGTCTGAGTGAACAGGCAACCTACAGAATGGGAGAAAATTTTTGCAATCTGTCCATTTAACAATGGGCTAATATCTTGATTCTACAAGGAACTTAAACACTTTATTTTTTTATTTTAAGAAAGAAAAAAACACGCACCTTTGGATAGTCAGCTTTAAGAGTCATTAATTGTATGTTTACATTATAAATATATTCACTGTTTTAAATAGTTTTTTATTCATGTAATTAATATTAAATGCTCTATACAACATTTAATTATGATAAAAAGTGTAATTTTACAAATTATAGGCCACATGGATTATTCTTATACATACAAAATATGGGACTCTAACAAAATCTCTGTGTGTGCAATAATTTTGTTAACTCTAGACTGGTTACAGGTAGAATGGGAGCAATCTTTCCTTCTTAATCTCCAATTCTCTTATTAGTCTTTTTTGAGCCCCCTCACAAGGAGGCTTTCTGAGAAAATCTACTCCCCCTAATCCACACCCATCCTATATATACTCAATGTACCTGTTGCTATGTTAGCCCAATGGGAGACATGGGTCTGTGCAGACACAGAATTGATTACAAAGCACGTGGGATGTTAAGCTTACAACTTGGGGTATTCATTAAAGTCACATGTGGGAGTGATGTTCCTTTATTAATCTGGAAACTGCAAACCACTCTCCAACACTGACACCCATATCCTCTGAACAAATCATCTCATTATTCAAAATTCAACTGGAATGTCACTTTCTAAGGAAAGTCCTCTCTAATGCCCCTGACCAAGTCATAGTCTACTTCTGTTTTTTCTCATAGCCCAATTATATTTCTTCATCAGCCATCAAAATTTTGTCATTTGTGTAAAACTTTAGTAATTATTCAACTTGCCCATATTACTGTAAGAATGTATTATATGCTTAACTTATACAAGGCTAAAAAAAGAATATTTGTTGAATAAATAGAGGACCTTATTTGAGATACATGACTCAATTTAATTATTACCTTAGAGATGTTTCTTACCATTATTTACTAAAAAATCAGGTATTACTTTCTACTGGATAGAATCTATACTGCATTTATGTGTTTAACAAAAGAAATAACACTCATCATAATAATTTTATAGTGTGCAAAATTTCATGGTAGCATCATGTCTTAGTCCATTTAGACTACTATAACAAAATATCATAGTCATAGACTATGGGGCGTTAATAATAAACACTTACTTCTCACAGTTCTAGAGGCTGGGAAGTTGAAGATTAAAACTCAGGCAGATTTGGCATTTGATGAGGATTCATTTTCTTATAGATGGTGCCTTCACACTGTGCTCACATGATGGAGGGGCTGGTTAGCTTTCTGGAGTTCTCCTTTTTAATGGTGCTGATTCCAATCATAAGAGCTCCCAAAGACCTAATCTTCTAATAGGGTCACCTTCTGGCATAGGATATCAACACATGAATTTCAAAGGAGCTCAGACAATCCAAATCATAGCAAATTGTTGATCATTCAATAGAAGCTATTTAACTGTCAATACAAGTATAAAATGTTTTATGAAAATATTGAATAAGAAAAGCAGTAACAGACTTTTAACTTACTCTATATTGATAAGAATCATAAAGGAAGAACCATAATAGATACATAAAGAAATAACCTTTAGATCAGATGAGATATTTAATAGGTAGAAAAATTCAGTCTTATTTGGTATGGAGCAGATTTGTTATTTAGCATAAAAGAAAAATCATGATTATTGTCTATTTTTTCCGAAGTTTTTATTTCGTTTTCCTGATATAAAGGATAAATTCTACATTTCTCGCTAATAAAGAAAAATAGGTATGTTATAGTTATTGGACTATTAGTATTTCACACAAAGCTGGCATAGGGCATGGTACAAAAAATCAGGCTCAATTTTGGATGTGACTTTCTTGGAAAGCATTAGATCTTATTACAGCCGAAAGCATTAAATATTACCTTTTGTCTCTACCTTAGTTTGTACAGAAACATATTATTTTTAGATAAAATTTTGGATCATTGAAATTTTCAACAGAATACAATTGTCTAGAATTGAACCATTCTTCTAATGTGTTGAAGTAGTATAAAATAATATTAAACGACAAGAATGTGTAAATAAGATAGATGTGATTCAACTGTAGGCTCTGATCTTGAGTTCATTTTTGAAGTTAGAAAAAACTAAATATATCCTCTAAACCTTGGTTTTCTATAAATAGGCAGAAATATTAGATGACATTCACAGAGTTGTTTTGAATATTGAATGAGATAAGACTAAACATCAAGGACATGGCCTGGGACAAAGGCAGTTAGGAAAATTATCTTTGAGAAAGCTGTAAGTAAAAGCAAATCATGGTCAGACATGGTGGCTCACACCTATAGTCTTAGCATTTTCAAAGGCCGAGGTGGGAGGATCGCTTGAGCCCAGGAGTTTAAGACCAGTCTGGGC
Source organism: Homo sapiens (assembly GCF_000001405.40). Classification (NCBI taxonomy): domain Eukaryota; kingdom Metazoa; phylum Chordata; class Mammalia; order Primates; family Hominidae; genus Homo; species Homo sapiens. The sequence continues at coordinate 45,836,686 of NC_000004.12, read as the reverse complement.
TACATACTGAGACTCTGTCTCTACAAAAAGTTTTAGAAAGTATTAGCTGGGTGTGGTGGAGGCTGAGGTGAAGGATCACTTGAGCCTGGGAGGTCAAAGCTACAGTGAGCCATAATTGTGCCTCTGCACCCCAGCCTGGGTGACAGAGCAAGACTCAGTCTCAAAAAGATAAAAAAGACAGGGGATCATGGTGGACAGGAGGCAGGACTAGATTTCTGCTCTGACTCGGACAGATAGAACAGCGTGTGGATGCTCGCATCATGAGTTTTTGCTCCAGAACAACTGCAGGAATAAGTCGGGAAACTTAAGAAGACCCACAGACCCCCTGAAGGAAGCAAATTGCTACTGTGGGACCCAGGAGACACCCCAGATACTCTGAGTGCCCAAACTGTGGAAGAAGGAATGGGAGATTGTCAGCCCCCGAACACACACCCCCACTGGGGAAACTGAAGGCCTAGATTATGGGAGAAGATTTTGACCTTACCTGGAGCTGAGTCAATTTAGAGACCTGAGCAAAATACAGAGGTAGAGGAAGCAGTGGGAAAAGCCCTGGGAACTTGCCAGGTCCCCTAGCAAGTTGTTTGTACCTGGCCTCACAGAGGTCCTTCGTGAGGGCAGCCAGAGGTGCTAGGAAAAGGCCACAGAGAGAAGGAAATCTCCAGTTGAACTTTGTAACAATTTGAACTGATTGAGAAGCCTCCTGGCCAGAACTCAGGGGAGGCCATGAATCTGGTGTGCAGACTCCACAGCTGGGGGAAGGAAGAAAGCCATATTTGCTTTTGCAGTGGAGAGGCAGGTAGCCTGGGACAAGCTCTCAGACCTGCTTGCCCACTGCCTGGAAACATTTGTTGCTGTTGGCATGGCTGGAATGAGACGGGCCCTTGGGCTTGCATGGGAGCTGAGTGAGACCTGTGACAGCCGGCTTCCCCCCATTTCCCTGACAACCTGCATGACACAGTAGAGACAGTCAAAATCCTCCTAGGAACATAACTCCATTAACCTAGAAAGCTCGCCCTGATCCCCCACAGCAGCTGCAGCAAGATCTGCTCACGAGAGTCTAAGCTTGGACACGCCTAGCTCTGCCCCCACCCTGTGGTTCTTCCCTGGTAACTGTAGACAAAGGGGATATACTCTTGGCAGTTCTAGGGCCCTGTCCATTGCCTGTTCCTCCCTATACTACTACAGCTGATGATCTCTGGAAAGTGCCACCTTCTGGCAGGAGGCCAACCAGCACAAAAACAGTCCATTCAACAACCACAACTAAGGACCTCACAGAGTCCATTTTACCACCCCTGCCACCTCCACCAGAACAGGTACTGGTATCCATGGCTGAGAGACCCACAGATGGTTCACATCACAGGACTCTGTGCAGACAACCCTCAGTACCAGCCTGGAGCCTGCTAGACTTGCTGGGTGGCTAAATCCAGAAGAGAGATAACAATCACTACAACTTGGCTCTCAGGAAGCCACATCCATAGGAAACACCTCGTAGGACAAAAGAATATGAACAACGGCCTTCAGCCCTAGACCTTCCCTCCAACAGAGCCTACCAAAATGAGAAGGAACCAGAAAACCAACTCTGGTATGATGATAACACAAGGTTCTTTAACATCCCAGAAAAATCCCACTAGCTCACCAGCAATGAACCCAAACCTAGAAGAAATCCCTGATTTACCTGAAAAAGAATTCAGGAGGTTTGTTATTAAGCTAATCAGGGAGGCACCAGAGAAAGGCAAACCCCAATGTAAGGAAATCCAAAAAATGACACAAGAAGTGAAGGGAGAATTCCTCAAGGAAATAAATAGCATAAATAAAAAACAATCAAAACTTCAGGAAACAATGGACACACTTATAGAAATGCAAAATGATCCACAGAGTCTCAGCAATAGAATTGAACAAATAGAAGAAAGAAATTTAGATCTCGAAGACAAGTTCTTGAATGAAAGCAATCCAATGAAGACAACAAAAAAAAGAATAAGAAAATAGGAACAAAGCCTCCATAAAGTCTGGGATTACATACCAAGACCACACCTAAGAATAATTGGTGTTCCTGAGGAAGAAGAGAAATCTAAAAATTTGGAACACATATTTGGAGGAATCATTGAGGAAAAATTCCCAGGCCTTGGTGGAAAACTAGACATGCAAATACAAGAAGCACAAAGAACACCTGGGAAACTAATCACAAAAAGATCATTGTCTAGTCACATTGTCATTAGGTTATCTTAAGTTAAGATGAAGGAAAGAATCTTAAGAGCTGTGAGACAAAAGCACCAGGTAACCTATAAAGGAAAACTTATCAGATTAACAACAGATTTCTCAGCAGAAACCCTACAAACTAGGAAGAATTGGGACCCTATCTTCAGCCTCCTTAAACAAAACAATTATTAGCCAAGAATTTTGTATCCAGTGAAACTAAGCTTCATATAGGGAGGAAAGATATATTCTTTTTCAGACAAATGCTGAGAGAATTCACCACTACCAAGCCACCCCTACAAAAACTGCTAAAAGGAGCTCTAAATATTGAAACAGATCTTGGAAAAACATCAAAGCAGGACCCATTTAAAGCATAAATCCTACAGGACCTATAAAACAAAAACACAAGATTAAAAAACAAAACAAAAAACAACAAAAACAAAAAAACAAAGTATACAGGCAACAAAAAGCACGATGAATGGAATGATACCTCACATCTCAATACTAACTTTGAATGTAAATGGCCTAAATGCTCCACTTAAAAGATACAGCATTGAATAATGGTTAAGAATGCATCAACCAACTATCTGCTGCCTTCAAGAGACTGGTCTAACACATAAGAATGCACATAACCTTAAGGTAAAGGGATGAAAAAAGACCTTTCATGCAAACAGACACGAAAAGCAAGCAGGAGTAGCTATTCTTATATGAGAAAAAAACAAACTTTAAGGCAACAGCTGTTAAAAGAGACAAAGAGGGACATTATATAATGATAAAAGGCCTTGTCCAACAGGAAAATATCACAATCCTAAACATATATGTACCTAACACTGGAGCTCCCAAATTTATAAAACAGTTACTAATTGACCTAAGAAATGAGGTAGATAGCAGCAGAATAATAGTGGGGGACTTCAATACTCCACTGACAGCACTAAATAGGTCATCAAGACAGAAAGTCAACAAAGAAACAATGAATTCAAGCTATATTCTGAAACAAATGGAACTAACAGATATATACAGAACATTCCATCCAACAATCACAGAATATACATTTTATTCAGCAGCACATGGGAATTTCTCCAAGATAAACCATCTTATAGGTCACAAAATGAGCCTCAATAATTGAGAAAATTGAAATTATATCAAGCACTCTCTCAGGCCACAGTGGAATAAAACTGGAAATCAACTCTAAAAGAAACCTTCAAAAGCATGCAAATACAAGGAAATTAAATAACCTGCTCCTGAATAATCACTGGATCAAAAATGAAATCAAGATAGAAATTAAAAACCTGCACGTTGTGCACATGTACCCTAAAACTTAAAGTATAATATTAATAAAATTAAAAAAAATATTTGAACTGAATGACAACAGGAACACAACCTATCAAAACCTCTGTGACACAGCAAAGGTGGTGCTAAAAGGAAAGTTCATAGCCTTAAATGCCTACATCAAAAAGTCTGAAAGAGCACAAACAGACAATCTAAGGTCATACCTCAAGGAACTAGAGAAACAAAACAAACGAAACCCAAACCTAGTAGAATAAAGGAAATAACCAAGATCAGAGCAGAACTAAATAAATTTGAAACAAAAAGTACAAAGATAAATGAAACAAAAGGCTGATTCCTTCAAAAGATAAATAAAATTGACAGGCCATTAGTAAAATTAACCAAGAAAAGAAGAGAGAAAATCCAAATAAGCTCAATAAGAAATGAAACGGGAGATATTACAACTGACACCACAGAAATACAAAAGTTTGTTCAAGGCTATTATGAACACGTTTATGTGCACAAACTAGAAAACCTAGAAGAGATGGATAAATTCCTGGAAAGATACAAATCTCCTAGCTTAAATAAGGAAGAACTAGATACCTTGAACAGGGAACAGGGAGATTGAAATGGTAAATACAAAAATCACCAATAAAAAGAATTTCAGCATCAGATGAATTCACAGCTGGATTCGACCAGACATTCAAATAAATGGTACCAGTCTTACTGACACTATTCCAGAAGATAGAGAAAGAGGGAACCCTCCCTAAGTCATTCTATGAAGCCAGTATCACCCTAACACCAAAATCAGGAAAGGACATGCAAAAAAGAAAACTACAGACCATCATCCCTGATGAACATAGAGGCAAAAATCCTTAACAAAATACTAGTTAGCCAAATCCATCAACATATCAAAAAGATAATCCACAATGATCAAGTGGGTTTTATACCAGGGATGCAGGGGTAGTTTAACATATGAAAATCAATAAATGTAATACACCATGTAAACAGAATTAAAAACAAAAATTACATCATCATCTCAATGGATGAAGAAAAAGCATTCAACACAATCCAGCATTGCTTTACGATTAAAACTCTCAGCAAAATCAACATAGAAGGGACATACTTCAATATAATAAAAGCCAACTATCACAGATCCACAGCCAACATAATACTGAATGGGGAAAAGTTGAAAACATTCCCTCCGAGAAATGGAACAAGACAAAGATGCCCACTCTTCCCACTCCTTTTCAACATAGTACTGGAAGTCCTAGCCAGAGCAATCAGACAACAGAAAAAAATAAAAGGCATCAAAATCAGTAAAGAAGAAGTGAAACTGTTGCTATGTGCTGATGATATGATTGTTTACCTAGAAAACCCTAAATATTCTTCCAGAAAGCTCCTAGAACTGACAAAAGAATTCAGCAACGTTTCCAGACACAAAATTAATGTACACAAATCAGTAGCTCCAAGCTGAGAATCAAATAAAGAACTCAAGCCCTTTTACAATAGCTAAAAAAAAAAAAAGAAAGAAAACAGGAAAATACCTAACCAAAGAGTTGAAAGACCTCTGCAAGGAAGACTACAAACCACTGCTGAAAGAAATCATAGGTGACACAAATAGAAACACATCCCATGCTCATGGAGGGGTAGAACTAATATTGTGAAAATGATCATTCTGCCAAAAGCAATCTACAAATTCAATGCAGTTTCCATCAAAATACCACCATCATTCTTCACAGAAGTAAAACAAACAATTCTAAAATTCATATGGAACCAAAAAAAGATCCTGCATAGCCGAAGCAAGACTAAACAAAAAGAAGAAATCTGGAGACATCACACTATCTGATTTCAAACTATACTATAAAGCCATAGTCACCAAACAGCATGGTACTGGTATAAAAATAGGTACATAGACCAATGGAACAGAATGGAGAACCCAGAAATAAACCCAAATACTGACAGCCAACTGATCTTTGACAAAGCAAACAAAAATGTAAAGTGGGGTAAGGACACCCTTTTCAATAAATGGTGGGATAATTGGCTACCCACATGTAGGAGAATGAAACAGAATCCTCATCTCTTACCTTATACAAAAATAAACTCCAGGTGCATTAAGAAATGAAATCTAAGACATGAATCTGTAAGAATTCTAGAAGATAGCATTGGAAAAACCCTTCTAGACATTGGCTTAGGCAAGGATTTCATGACCAAGAACCCACAAGCAAATGCAATAAAAACAAAAATAAATTGTTGGAACTTAAACCAAAGAGCTTTTGCATGGCAAAAGGAACAGTCAGCAGAGTAAACAGATACCCACTGAGTGGGAAAAAAATCTTCACAATCTATACATCTGACAAAGGACTAATATCCAGAATCTACAATGAAATCAAACAAATCAACAAAAAAACAACAATCCCATCAAAAAGTGGGCTAAGGACATGAACAGACAATTCTCAAAGGACGATGTACAAATGGCCAACAAACATATCAAAAGACGCTCAACATCACCAATAATCAGCAAAATGCAAATCAAAACCACAATGCAATACCACCTTACTCCTGCAAGAATGGCCAAAATAAAAAAATAGTACACGTTGGCGTGGCTGTGGTGAACAGGGAACACTTCTACACTGCTGGTGGGGATGTAAACTAGTACTATCACTATGGAAAAGAGTATGGAGATTCCTTAAAGAACTAAAAGTAAAACTACCATTTGATCCCACAATCCCACTACTGGGTATCCACCCAGAGGAAAAGAAGCCATTATACGATGAAGATATTTGCACACGCATGTTTATAGCAGCAAAATTCACAATTGCAGAAACATGGAATGAACCCAAATGCCCATCAATCAGCAAATGGATAAAGAAACTGTGATATATGTATACAACGGAATACTACTCAGCCATAACAAGGAATGAATTAATGGAATTCACACCGACCTGGATAAATTGGAGACAATTGTTCTAAGTGAAGTAACTCAGGAATGGAAAACCAAATATCATATATTCTCACTCATAAGTGGGAGCTAAGCTGTGAGAATGCAAAGGTATAAGAATGACACAAGGGACTTTGAGAATTCAGGGGGAAAGAGTGGGAAGGGGTTGAGGCATAAAAGACTTCAAATAAGGTGCAGTGTATGCTGCCTGGGTGATGGGAGCACCAAAATCTAAGAAATTACCACGAAAGGACTTACTCATGTAACGTAACACCACTTGCTCCCCAATAAACTATGGAAATAAAAAAAAAGATAAAAAAAGAAAAACCAACAAATAATATACTCAAGATATATGGACTTTAGTAAGATATTTGTTTCTACCTACCTAAACTTCCCATTGATTTGAAAAGGTTTGAGGATATTTATAACAATGTTAAAACACGGCATAAATACCGTGTTTTAACATTTGACCAAATTCAAGAGTAAATTTTCAAAATAATAACCTCTTTATAAAGCCAAATAGTTATAAACGGCGTTGTATAAGTTTCAATCAATAGCCTTGTTAATTGAATTTTCATATCTATTACACATTGAAGCCCAAGCATTCGCGGTTATATCAAAATGTTCCTAAAATGAGATGTCTCTGTAAATATTTTTTCTGAAATTATTTTACTATTTTTTATTATCTAAATAAAAAAATTATTAGTAGGCATTGACAATTGATGTAGTCAAACGTACATTATAGTATGAGCCAGTAAATGTTAGTAAAGAAAGAAATCTGATGAATCAAATGTTACAAATAGAGCTTTTATTATGATTTAATATCTATTATTAGACTTTGTCTTCCTGCAGAATATTTATGTTACATAATTTTTCAATGCATGACTATATATAATTATAAGTAGTCTAAGTGAATGCAATGATATATATAACTTTTAGAAATTAATAATATTAACAACAAAAAATGATGAAATGTATACTATAATAGTAGATGGATGAACTCTGGCTGAACATAAACTTACAAAAACATATGATCTTTACAGGTTAAAGAAATCTTGAAGTGCTTCTATATTTCACTAATTCTGTCATGCCTAACTTTGCATTTGAAAAATGGGCTGGTAATATAATGCCTTATAGATTTACCAAATTACTCATACTATGTTCTTTTGGACAGCCAACTAAGTAGTTATGGCTAATAATGTTATTATCCAAGGACAGTGGGAAAGTGGAAATTTTATAATCAGGTTGCTTTGGGGCAAGATAAGAGAAGTAAAATAATTTTTTTATAGGTAGTTCATTGCATTAAGTTCTAAGTTACTAAGGCACTCTGAACAATTCTATATTCAGCAACTTTAAAATTGTGTCATGGGAATTTAAAAAGTTATGTTTACAAGCAAAGAATCAAAGAACAATTTAAAATGCTCATTCACCTTTTTGGAGCATGATTCTTAGAAGTTTGTTAAGCTGACAAGAATTACAGGCTTGGAGTTTTATATAGGGCTCTTTGATGCTATGCTGGGAGCCACAACATCCACACAGAGCTCAACCAGGCTTTCTTATAGTACTTGGGAATCCATTAGCAAGTGCATTGTTCACAATTTTTTGTTGGTTAAAAAAACATTGCTTTGGATTGAGTCCTCTAAAATTGAATATTGGAAATATAACGCACAATGCTTGAATTTAGAGATCATGTGTAAATGGAAAAGTAATTTGCAGAAAGTCACTAATTATCATTTAAATTGATGAATATTTTATCTCTCCAAAATCAAATGTAATGAGCAAATATTTCATATTTGGGTGCTCTGACGTGTATTGGCATGAGTAGGCAGTAAAATATGGTGTTAACGTTTCAGGAAATTAACCAGAGATTAGCATGTGAAGTTCATAATACTGTTCCTGGTTTTGGGTATAGTTGATACACATCTACCTAGTAATAAATCATAGGAAATTAACATAAGCTGAATATTATCCTAGGTAGAGAACACCATTTCTGCTTAAGCTGCTTTTGTCTAAGTCATTTTTAACCTTGCTTCTAACATTTATGCTATCATCCATGTGTAAATAAGAATGTCTTCGATTTCATAACAATGTATCTTAATTTCACCATGGGCCTTAGACACCCAAAGTGCTTTCCTATATTACTCTATATAATTAAGAAAATAGTAATCTGACTAATATTCATAATATATGTATAAAAGAGTGAGGAAATCATTGATTTATGACTTTACTAATTTTTCTTCTCAGCTGAGGAGATTATATGATGGAATTAATGCAGTCAAAATAATCTATATGTATTTGAATCAAGTGTGTCATTGGCTAAAATACCACCAACATGAAATTCAAAATCTGGTGCAAGCTGGGATTAGTAAATTTTTCCCCAGCAGGATAAGAAATAGAGATTAGAGAAAAATTTTAGAAAATATACTAAATTGAGATTTTTTCCTACTCTATTTTCTCTCTCTCATTATTATCCTGATTTTGAAAGAGTCTTAGGGAGACAGAAAGAGAACTTAATGAAATAGGAAAAATGTGCAATTCATGCACTCAGCAAACAAATATTCATTTTGTGCCAAGTATTATGAGGTCATATTTTGGGCTCTGAGAAGACTTGGTGAGAAAGAAAATTTCTGTTTCCATAGAGTTTTAATAAATACATAATCTTGATACAGTTTAAAAAGTTCTAGGATTGGGAGGTTTTGTGTTGTGCTAATGAAGCATGTTAAGAGGGAACCTCAGTAAGAATCAGGGGTCAGCAAAGGCACTGCACAATAAATCACATAGTATTGAGACCTGCAGGGTGACTAGAGCTTAGCTGGAAAATTGTGGTGAGTGAGAGGGAATATTCTACTTAAAGGAAACAGCATGGGCAAACATATGTAAATGTTTCTGCTACCCTCTTGAGATGCAGAGAATTATCTACTATTAAAGTTTCAAGTCTGTATACTTCACTAAGAATTTCCGTCCACTCCAGATATCTCCTTGCCCAAGGTCATGCTGCCTTTCATGGAACAGCTTAAAGCCAATTGCTGGTTAAAGTGGGGATGGAAAGGCCCAAACTCCTTGCTCCAGTTAGAGGCAATCTAAAGAGCTATCCCAGCTCCAGAGCTCTCCATATGATTGGCAGATACCTCAGATGCAACTGCATTGCTGGTCAGCTTCTCTCTGTTCCCAAATTGTGAGAGCCCCACTCCCTTACAGATGTTTCCTCCTAGAACACTCCCCAGTAAAACATGGGCATGAAACTCTTCATCTTAATGTATGTTTCCAGAGTACCCAACATAAGATGAATATAGAAGTGAAAGATAACATGTATCTTTATGAAACTGAAAGATAAATAACATGGCTATGGATTGAAGAGTTAGGGAGAGGCAAAAATAAGGCTGGAGAAGTTAGCAAAAGCCAACCTATGTTTTGGAAACCTTATTGAAAAGTTATAAAAGCCACTAAAAGTTACTGAAGATTTATAAATACAGACACGTTTAGATTGTAATTTCATAAAATCGCTAGCTGTTGAATGGACAATGGATTACAAGTAGACACAGGTAAAGACAGAAAGATTAGTTAGGAAATTGTAGAAGTATTCATTGTGAGAACGAATGTTTGAACTAGTGTGGGGAGACTAGGCAAAGAGATAAATGGATGAATTTGAGATATATTTTGTAATTAGAATAGATAAGAGTTAATAACTATATGTGTAAGAGGACCAGAAATGTAGTTTCAATTGATATCCATATTTTTGGCATTGTGGCTAAATGATGGAGTCATTTATGAAGGTAGAGGAGGAGTAGCCTCTGTTATTTTTGTAAGTAAATGTTATTTATCTAACCATGTATATATATATATATTCAGTTATAGACATAGGACCAAATATTTATACTCAGTCACATATATGTAGTATTTAACTAAATTTAATTATCTAACTGAATATATGCATATATATAAAATATTATTGAATATATCTATTCAATACCTTGAAAGGGGCCTGGATAACCTTAAAACTTGAATTCTAAGTGAAAGGTTTAGATAGAAAAGCTGAGAGGGAAGTGGGTGTGAAGGATAAGAAAGGGACAAGCAACTTGAAATTATTTGGAGGGGATTTGGAAAAAATGAATGGGAAGAGGAAGACACCAAACTATCTAGTGGATCTGATATGTGATGTTTCACTCTAGATAATGTAGATTGAATTAGATAATGTAGATTGAATTTGGCTGGTCACAGCTGTGACCAGCTCTATAATGCAAGCCTTGCCATATAGTTACTCATAGTTGCAAGATGATGTTGCAGCATCAGGGATCATGTTTAGTTCAAAGTGTATGTCTGGGGAAAGCACAATAACTACCCTTGCTATGACTATCCTTTTATTATTATTAATATTTCATCAAGAAAGTAAATGCTTCCCCCACAGACTTCCTCTTATATCACTTTAACAAGAATTATATCATGTGGTTGCCTCTAACTTGTAGAAAGCAAGGAATTAGTTTTCCCATCCTTAATAACTGAAGCAAGCAAAGAGGGAAAGAGCTTGAGACTAGGAGTCATCAGTCATTCTATAGTGCCTGCCATAATCTAACCATTATAGCCTTCACCTCCAAGCATATCCTATTCCTGTATATATCCCTTATATGAAAACAATTCACTTACATCCTGTCAAATGACTTCATCAAACTTGAGATCCAGAATTAGTGTTTAGCAGTAAAATCTAAAACACGTTTTCTGCTTGGGTCATCTAACGTAAAATAAAAGAGAACACAGGACTTTTACCAAAAAGTATTTTCCTTAGTTTGGCAAAAAAGAAAGCAAAAACAGAACAAAAAACAGGTAAAACCTCATCTGAAATCCTGACAAGACTTCTGATATTCTAATGTTAGCTTTAACTTGAGTGACAGAATAATATAAAATTTCCGACTGTAATTCCAAAATTATGGAACTCTTATTCAACTCAGGTTGCTAAAGACAGAGTGCCTTTCTTATTAAAGATATATTCTGTGTGATTTCTGATTTCAGACTGGCTATTCCTTTCTTGGCTGGAAGTGACAAGAAATAACCAATTTCTATCTTTTTTTTTTATTATACTTTAAGTTTTAGGGTACATGTGCACATTGTGCAGGTTAGTTACATATGTATACATGTGCCATGCTGGTGCGCTGCACCCACTAACTCATCATCTAGCCTTAGGTATATCTCCCAATGCTATCCCTCCCCCCTCCCTCCACCCCAACACAGTCCCCAGAGTGTGATATTCCCCTTCATGTGTCCATGTGATCTCATTGTTCAATTCCCACCTATGAGTGAGAATATGCGGTGTTTGGTTTTTTGTTCTTGCGATAGTTTACTGAGAATGATGATTTCCAATTTCATCCATGTCCCTACAAAGGACATGAACTCATCATTTTTTATGGCTGCATAGTATTCCATGGTGTATATGTGCCATATTTTCTTAATCCAGTCTATCATTGTTGGACATTTGGGTTGGTTCCAAGTCTTTGCTATTGTGAATAATGCTGCAATAAACATACGTGTGCATGTGTCTTTATAGCAGCATGATTTATAGTCATTTGGGTATATACCCAGTAATGGGATGGCTGGGTCAAATGGTATTTCTAGTTCTAGATCCCTGAGGAATCGCCACACTGACTTCCACAATGGTTGAACTAGTTTACAGTCCCACCAACAGTGTAAAAGTGTTCCTATTTCTCCACATCCTCTCCAGCACCTGTTGTTTCCTGACTTTTTAATGATTGCCATTCTAACTGGTATGAGATGATATCTCATAGTGGTTTTGATTTGCATTTCTCTGATGGCCAGTGATGATGAGCATTTTTTCATGTGTTTTTTGGCTGCATAAATGTCTTCTTTTGAGAAGTGTCTGTTCATGTCCTTCGCCCACTTGTTGATGGGGTTGTTTGTTTTTTTCTTGTAAATTTGTTTGAGTTCATTGTAGATTCTGGATATTAGCCCTTTGTCAGATGAGTAGGTTGCGAAAATTTTCTCCCATGTTGTAGGTTGCCTGTTGACTCTGATGGTAGTTTCTTTTGCTGTGCAGAAGCTCTTTAGTTTAATTAGATCCCATTTGTCCATTTTGGCTTTTGTTGCCATTGCTTTTGGTGTTTTGGACATGAAGTCCTTGCCCATGCCTATGTCCTGAATGGTAATGCCTAGGTTTTCTTCTAGGGTTTTTATGGTTTTAGGTCTAACGTTTATTTTCTAATATTCTATTTTAAAATAATTTTCCAGTATTCTATTTTTTCTGTAATTTTCACTAAAGCCACAGCACTGGTCAGCACATGGCCTGGATTCAAGGCTCCAGAATGCTGCAGTTAGACCAAATATTAGACTCCATAATAAAAGTCACCAACGTTTTAGACCAAATTGGCTAGAAGGTCCTTAACTAAAACACTCTCTACTACACTTAGTCTGTTACATCTTAGTCTGTTACAATATCTTGTCAACTTTGTATAAAGGTGTTGCGTATTTCTGGTTAGATTTATTAACGGGTACTTAATATTCTAGTTACATAAACAGAATCTAATTTTTCTATTCTCTGTTTGAATATTTCAATGTATAGAAAATCTATGGGTGTTTGTACACTAATCTTACATTTGCTCTTCTTGTTCATCTTGTTGAAATTCATTCTTAATTTAAATAGTGTGGTTGTTATTTCCTTTGGGTGTTCCAGGTCAATTTTCATATTTTTTTACTGACAATACTTGGTGAAATATTAGTTTTCTAATAAAAGATTATGTTTCTCTGTATCTTTAAATACTTTCCTACTTGAATTCTCTTTTGGCTAATGTAGCATTAAGATAGCAGTTTTTTTTTGTTGTTATTATTTATTTGCAATTATTTTTTCTAATTTTTTTTATTTCAACAGCTTTTGGGGCTACGGTGGTTTTTGGTTACATAGATAACACAATAATTAAATGGTGGTTAATTCTGAGATTTTAGTGCACCCATCACCCAAGCAGTGTACATTAGCAATAATGTGTGTAGTTCTTTTGAATCCCTGACCCATCCCTCCCATCCTCCCTCTTTTGAGTACCCAAAGTGCATTATATCACCCTGTATGCCTTTGTGTACTCATGACTTGGCTCCTACTTAGAAGTGAAAACATAAGGTTTTTGGTTTTCCACTCTTGTGTTACTTCACTTAGAATAATGGCCTCCAGCTCCATCCACATTGCTGCAGAAGACATTATTTCATTTTTTATGGCTTAGTAGTACTTCATATATATATATATATATATATATATACACACACACACACACATGCACACCATGGTGTATATATATATATATGTTATGTGTGTGTGTGTGTGTACATATATATATATGTACACACACACACACACACACCATGTATATATATCACATTTTCTTTATTCACTTACTAGTTTAGGGGCACTTAGAATGTTTTCACATCTTTGCAACTGTGAATTGTGCTGCTATAAACACACGTGTGCAAGTGTCTTATTCATTTAATAACATCCTTTCCTTTGGGTAAATATCCAGTAGTAAGGATTGCTGGATTGAATGGTAGATCTACTTTTAGCTCTTTAAGAAAGAGGTTGTAGTGGCCAGGTGCGGTGGCTCACGCCTGTAATCCCAGCACTTTGGGAGGCCGAGGCGGGCGGATCACGAGGTCAGGAGATGGAGACCATCCTGGTTAACATGGTGAAACTCCGTTTCTACTGAAAAATACAAAAAATTAGCCGGGCGTGATGGCGGCACCTGTAGTTCAAGCTATTTGGGAGGCTGAGGCAGGAGAATGGCGTGAACCCAGGAGGCGGAGCTTGCAGTGAGCTGAGATCACGCCACCGCACTCCAGCCTGGGCAACAGAGTGAGACTCCGTCTCAAAAAAAAAAAAAAAAAAAAAAAAAAGGTAGTACTGATTTGCATTCCCACCAGCAGTGTATAAGCATTCCCTTTTCCCCACATCCCTGTCAACATCTATTGTTTTTTAACTTTTTAATAATGGCCATTCTTGCAGGAGTAAGGTGGTATCTCATTGTGGTATTAACTTGCATTTCCCTAATTAGTGATGTACAGCATTTTTTCATATGTTTGGTGGTGATTTGTATGTCTTCTTTGCCTTCTCTTATTTATATTTTTTAACTTTCTGTCAATTTGGCTTATACTGAGCTTTATTTTATTTTTAAATGCAATATCAGGGTTTCTTCTTTTAATAGTTGAATTTACCATCTTCCCAATTATTGAAACTGACACAGAGAGGAGGCAGGGAAATACTGAGTAGAAGAGGGTGGTTTCCTGGCAAAGGCCCCACTCTCAAGCTTGGAAACCCATGGCCCTAAATGGGAGCACGCATTCCTGTTTTTCACCCCAAAATGTTGCCTTTTGGCCCACCACACCCCCCATCCTGTACCCATATAAACCCCAAACCACAGATTCCACGAGCAGAAAGGCAGAAGAGCAGAACAGTGGCGCAGCAGATAAGGAGAAAAGAGAAAGAGAGTCTGAATCTCTAGAGGAGTTGGGCTGGGGACATTCGGAGAGGAGATATGCTGCAGGATGGCTGAAATCAAGGGGAAGATACTCTTCCCACTCCATTCCCTCTCCAGCTCCCCATCCATCCTGCTCATGGCCACCTCCATCTGCCAATAAAGTCCCCCCCATTTGCCATCCTTCAATTTGTCTGTGTGACCTTGTACTTCCTGGATGCCAAAGACCTGGGTACCAAGAGGTCACTGAGCTGGTCAACACTTAATCCATCTGCTGATGGTGAAGCTAAAAGAGCACTGTAACACACCCACTTGGACTTCGGGCATCACAGGCACCCACTCCTAGACACTACCACGGGGCCAGAGCCCAAAAGTGCTCACTCTGGCTCCTCCACCTGCCCATTTGCATTCTCCCCCTCCAGTAAGGGGTCTGAGCGCACTGAACAGATGAGCCACGCCCCTGTTGCAAGTCCTGTGAGGGGAGTCAGGACACTCACCCATTTCAAAATTACTAATAGTTTTGAATTTAACTTCTTTTTTTCCATTTTTATTATTTCACAATGTTTCTGTTTTCTTCTTTCTGAATTTTCATGAAATCATAAAGTTTTATTATTTTTACTCTTCTCTATATTGTATTGAATAACATGGAATATTTCATCATATTTAAGACATGTTATTTAAATATTTTGAAAATTGAATTGTGTCTATTTATTGATGGCATCTTATAATTACTGGCAGTCAATGAAATTCGTGACAAAGCTGTTCTTACCTTACCTTTCTCTTATAATTTCCTATTATCATCAGTAGTACCACATATAATGTTCACTTTAAAAATACATACAAAAATATTATTCCCTATTGAAATGTAATGTTCTTTTAGAAGTTAACATGGAGACAGAGTAAAGGAAAATAAATTTGATATTATTAAAGCAAATATCTACTGTTGAAACAATGAAAATGATCCCATATTTTCTTGCTGAATAACATCTAAGTGCTTTTTGGGACTTAATAAAAAGGAAACCTGAAAGTAGATTAACCTATTGTATTTTTTTAACTGAGATATGTAAATAGGACTGCTAATCACACACCTAAAAAGAAAACACTGACATTAAAACTTACAGGATGGTGCTTAGAGGCTTGGCAAGTAATATTGGAGATAATACATAATAGTGGATGATGTTTTTAATGCTATATCACCAATCTTTATGCTGGAACAGAGGATGTTGTTATATGAAGAAAAGAGAAAAAGGAGTTTGATGGCTCTTACTTAAAAAGAGTTATCTTAATGATTTGGACTTAGAATGTGAAAAAATGTTAAGACAATAATTTATTTTTTACACTGTTATTTTCACAATTGTAGAAAAAACAAGTTGTACACCTAAATAATTCTAAAATATGTTCAATTTATAGAAATAAAAATTCTGAGACATAAGAATGCATTATGGCATTGGTAACATATTTTTCTTTCTTTTTTTATTCTACTTTAAGTTCTGGGGTACATGTACACAAGGTGCAAGTTTGTTACATAGGTATACATGTGCCATGTTGGTTTGCTGCACCCATCAACTTGTCATTTACATTAGGTATTTCTCCTAATGCTATCCCTCCCCCAGTCCCCCACCCCCAAACAGGCCCCAGGGTGTGAGGTTCCCTTCCCTGTGTCCATGTGTTCTCATTGTTCAACTCCCACTTATGAGTGAGAACATGCAGTGTTTGGTTTTCTCTCCTTATGAAATTTTGCTGAGAATGATGGTTTCCAGCTGCATCCAAGTCTCTGCAAAGGACGTAAACTCATCCTTTTTATGGCTGTATAGTATTTCATGGTGTATATGTGCCACATTTTCTTTATCCAGTCTATTATTGATGGACATTTGGGTTGGTTATTGTGAATACTGCCACAATAAACATAAATGCACATGTGTCTTTATAGTAGCATGATTTACAATCCTTTGGGTATATACTCAGTAATGAGATTGCTGGGTCAAATGGTATTTCTGGTTCTAGATCCTCGAGGAATCACAACACTGCCTTCCACAATGGTTGAACTAATTTACACTCCCCCCAACAGTGTAAAAGCATTCCTATTTCTCCACATCCTTTACAGCATCTGTTGTTCCCTGACGTTTTAATGATCACCATTCTAACTGGCATGAGATGGTATCCCATTGTGGTTTTTATTTGCATTTCTCTAATGACCAGTAATGATGAGCATTTTTTCATATATCTGTTGGCTGCATAAATGTCTTCTTTTGAGAACTGTCTGTTCATATCCTTTGCCCACTTTTTGATGGGGTTGTTTGTTTTTTCTTGTACATTTGTTTAAGTTATTTGTAGATTCTGGATATTAGCCCTTTGTCAGATGGATAGATTGCCAAATTCTTCTCCCATTCTGTAGGTTGCCTGGTCACGCTGATGATAGTTTCTTTTGCTGTGCAGAAGCTCTTTAGTTTAATTAGATCCCATTTGTCAATTTTGGCTTTTGTTGCCATTGATTTTAGTGTTTTAGTCAAGAACTCTTTGCCCATGCCTATGTCCAGAATGGTATTGCCTAGGTTTTTTTTCTAGAGTTTTTATGGTTTTAGATCTTACATATAAGTCTTTAATCCATCTTGAGTTAATTTTTGTATAAGGTGTAAGCTATGTCTATGTCCTAAATGGTATTGCCTAGGTTTTCTTCTAGGGTTTTTATGGTTTTAGGTCTTACATTTAAGTCTTTAATCCACCTTGAGTTAATTTTTATATAAGGTGTAAGAAAGGGATCTAGTTTCAGCTTTCTGCATATGGCTAGCCAGTTTTAGCAGCACCATTTATTAAATAGGGAATCCTTTCCCATTGCTTGTTTTTGGGAGGTTTGTCAAAGATCAGATGGTTCTAGATGTGTGGTGTTATATCTGAGGCCTCTGTTCTGTTACATTGGTCTATATGTCTGTTTTGGTACCAGTACCATGCTGTTTTGGTTACTGTAGCCTTGTAGTATAGTTTGAAGTCAGGTAGTGTGATGTCTCCAGCTTTGTTCTTTCTGATTAGGATTGTCTTAGGTATGCAGGCTCTTTTTGATTCCATATGAAATTTAAAGTAGTGTTTTCCAATTCTGTGAAGAAAGTCTGTGATAGCTTGATGGGGATAGTATTGAATCTATAAATTACTTTGGGCAGTGTGGCCATTTTCACGATACTGATTCTTCCTATCCATCAGCGTGGAATGTTTTTTGATTTGTTTGTGTCCTCTTTTATTTCATTGAGCAGTGGTTTGTAGTTCTCTTTGAAGAGGTCCTTCACGTTCCTTGTAAGTTGGATTCCTAGGTATTTTATTCTGTTTGAAGCAATTGTGAATGGGAGTTCACTCAGGATTTGGCTCTCTGTTTGTCTGTTATTGGTGTATAGGAATGCTTGTGATTTTTGCACATTGATTTCGTATCCTGAGACTTTGCTGAAGTTGCTTATCAGCTTAAGGAGATTTTAGGCTGAGAGGACGGCTTTTCTAAATATATAATCATGTCATCTGCAAACAGAAACAACTTGGCTTCCTCTTTTCCTAATTGAATGTCCTTTATTTCTTTCTCTTGCCCTGGCCAGAATTTCCAATACTATGTTGAATAGGAGTGGTGAGAGAGGACATCCTTGTCTTATGGTGGTTTTCAACTGGGAATGACATGCTGTTTTGATGATTTACTTTTTGTAAGATCACTTTCACATTTTTAAGCATTGTTTTGTATTTTTGTGTATATTTAGGAATGTTAAATTATGCTTTATAATTGTATGGAAGTAGATGTTCATTTTAGGTATTTGTTGTATTTAAACAACATCAACTAATCCCCAAAGTCTTTTGATCTTAAATGAGTTGGTAGACTTGAGTAGAAGCTGTATGATCTAGAGGCCTATTGTGGACCATCTGTTAAGAAAACTTTTGCAAATGAAGTGAGTGACAAAACCCTCTTCATGATTTTTAATTGCTGTTTCCTAAAGAGGTGGATTATTTCCTGAAGGTAACATACTACCTGTCCTGCAAGCAAGTGGGACATTTGTCTGTCTCAGCTAAGGGACAAGTGTTCACTTATACTCTCTAATGTATAATATTTTTGTTTTTCAAATAAACTTCACAATAGTCCCTGCCTTTTCTACAACTAAGAATTTGTTAATAGGAGGTCTCAGCTAGGAAAAAATTATATTAGTTCCTGACATAAATTTATTGTTCTACTGTAACCTCAGAATTATTAGCCACTTTCTTTAAGAATGACAAATATTCGAGATATGTAACAAATAATTTGTTACCACTTATTTTTAAAGTGTATAGATTTGGATTTGTGAATTAAATTTTCAATGCACTATGAAAGTAATTCAAGGTTAGTCTTACCATAATGCTTTTCTCATTCGCATTCGACTTCCAAACTCGCAGTACTTCCCAAGGTACATAATATGTGAGAGTAATAACTTTTCTAATAAACAGCATTCACAAGTCCTAAAACTCTTATTTTCAGTTTAGAACAACAGGTAATATTAGAGTTACAGGTAATATTAGAGTTATCTGGAAGGATCAGATAAAACTTGAAAAAAGATTGCATTATAAGATACAATAAAGCCTCGTATACAGCATGGTTCAACACTGGAATCAAGCATTTCCGAAGAGGGAAGAATCTTTAGTGCATCTGTTATTCCACCCATAGGGAAATTAAAGTAGTCAAAGCTATGTGGATTAGACGGGATATAATGGTCAAATAAGGCAAACCAAAAAACACTGTGGTGGTTGGACTTATGAAACTAAAGCTATGTTGGTAAAATTATAATCTTTTAAAGGTTACTGATTAAATCAATGAAGTTACTCTATGGCATTGGCTCTGGTAGTAAGTGACTAAGTAAATGTATAATATATATGCAAAACACACACAAATTTGCATATGTGCTTTTTTGTTGTATTTATAATGTATGCAGTTGTATTATACACACATACACAATATTCATACATATATAATGACTATACATATTTGTGTCTTCACTTGACATTCCTGTGTACAATAATTGCTTTATGGCTTACAAAACACCTTTATATGTATAGGTACATAACACCTTTATATGTAGTGACTTATCCTCACAGGCTCTATGAATTACTGTGAAGCTAGATGAGGAACCTAAGACTGAGAGACTAAACAGAAACAAATATCCAAAATGGTGAAAGGAAGAGACCAATGTGCTCTCACTCTGTTTATTCTACCCTGTCATTAATGTTTGTTAGTACAAGGGCCAAAGGATTGATGTCTGATGACATGTCGTAGAGGGAGACAGTTAAAGTGGTAGGCAGAATTCTAAGAGGGCCCCAAAGCTCCCACCCACTCATAAACATAATGAGTTCATGTGCTTTGAGTGACAGTGGGATTGTGGATAGGGTATATGAGTACTTCAAGTTGTGTAACAGACAAAACCTTGCAGACATGATTAAGGTCCCAAATCATTTGACATTGAGTTAAGAAAAAGAGAGATTATCCTCTGTGAACCAAACCTAATCCAGGGAGCCCTTAAAAGAGGATAGGGAGATTCGAAATGAGAGATACTCTCCTTCTAACTTTGAGAAAGAAAAAAAAAATGATGTAAATTTTCTGTGGAAGAGATCCCATGACAAGGACCTGACTGCAGCTTGTAGGAGCTGAAAACTGTCTCCACTCAAAAGTCAGCAAGAAAACAGGGACTTCAATTATACCACAATAAGAAACTGAATTCTGCATGTGAGCAGTAAGCTTGGGAGACACAAGCCTCATAGACCTAAAGACTCTTGATTTCAGCCTGGTACAAACTCTCAGTACTTCCCGATTGTCTCTCTCTATGACGTGTCATCAGACATCAATCCTTTGGCCCTTGTACTAACAAACATTAATGATAGAGTAGAATAAACAGAGTGAGAGCACACTGGTGTCCTCCTTTCACCATTTTGGATATTTGTTTCTGTTTAGTCTCTCAGTCTTAGGTTCCTCATCTAGCTTCACAGTAATTCATAGAGCCTGTGAGGATAAGTCACCACATATAAAGGTGTTATGTACCTATACATATAAAGGTGTTTTGTAAGTCATAATTCTGAGAACCCAGCTAATCTGTAACCAGGCTCTTAATTCATAGAAAAACTATGAGATAATAAATTTGTCTTGTTTTTTGCCACTACATTTATGGTAATTTGTTTATGCTAGGTAGCAATAAAGACATAATTCAATTGGCAAAGTTCTCCATGTACCATACAATGTGTAAAAGAGGGGTGTGTGTGTGTGTTTGTCTCTGAATCTTCACGTTTCTAATTAGAAAGACATTATTATGCATTAGTACAAACTACTCCAGCTTTTCTGCTACTTTCTGGAGAAACGGTCTTGGGAATTTTCAACCTATGTCCATTGAGGCTGAAGCAACATGAGTAATTTGTCACATATTTTCTATACAAAGATCTCACCACTTCTCTCATTTATTTGAAGTAAATTGCGGATGAAAGCTGGCATTTCTCAGAGACAGGTGATTTTCTTATTGTGGCATTGCCACCACCTGATGATTGACTGAATATTTTTGAAACAATGTTTTTATAAATAAAGAATAAACATGTAAATTCTACAATACGAGGCAGACAAAAAGTCAATAAGTCAGATTATCCCTATTTACGCCACAAATAGGATGTCAAATAGACACTGAAGGATTATGTGCATTTGTAAATAGTCAACCCTTCCTTTTCATGGGACATCCTGCTCAGTGCACCTCCATACTTTTAGAATTTGAACAAATCGAAATGGAGGTTGGCAGAAGTGGGCAAACTAGAATCAGATGGAAATATCTCAGTGATTCTATCATTTTAGCTCTGCATCTTGGCACATCCTATAAAGCGTAAATGGAGAAACCCATTTAAACGAACTCATTTTCATCCTTTCCTAATAGTCGCACAGCATAACCGCAGCTGATGAGCCATGTGATGAACAAAGCACAGAGCAGCATGGTTTGAGCTCCTGAAAAGGGTCTGTGGGTTCCCAGCACAGAGCATGGTGTCTGACACGGTGTCTGACACAGAATAATTGCTTAAAGTGATTATTTTCCTTCTTTACTGAAATAATGACAAACGCATCAAAGAATGCTCAACTAAAGCACAAATGGGTAAATAATAAATAATATATCCTTGTTCCCATTATGTCAAGTGAAATCCAAAGCAATTTCCCTAAGAAATCCATGTGGCCAAGTCTATATCTAATCACGTATTTTACAATACATTGAAAAATACAGACGTGTTTACCTTGGCATTCTGAAAATAAGAAGAAAAAAACCATATTTAAAGTTTAATGTCATATCTTATTTGAGCAGATTTGATATCACTCTAAGATTTAGCAGGACTATGTCTATTTTCTTTGATAACTTCCCAGTCATTGCTTATTTTAGAAGCTGAAAAAAAGAAACAAAGGTTTTGGTTAATTTCAAGATTAAATCATGTTTTCAAAAGCAATATTAGAAAATGAGAAATAAATAGGACTTGTGCTACTAGCTGTATGGATTTTTGGTATACTTTATTTATTTTTCTAAGAAAAATGTTGATGAGGATGTGCTTTTTCTCCCTTATTTGTGTTATAGAATACTTTTGAATTTGGATCATTTTGTCTTAAAATGAGGATTCCTTTTTATTTCAAAATTTGCTTATTTTGTTGCTTGTAAGAAATTACTCTGTGGCTTATAGTAGTAAAAATATAAATGTCATTCATTATTATTACATAATTCATAAATAATTGTATCATTACTGAATTTTTAGAAATGTGTCCTTATTATATATAGAAACAAAAGAGTGAGGAAATTCATGGTATATGCCATATATCAAAAACATTAAATAAACTTTACACTTGGAAATTCTTTGAAAACTATATCGGTGTCAATGATCAGGTTATTCCATGTATCATAGTGGTCATATAAAATAGATTTGACATTTTATTGATTTTTATTTATGGGTTTGAGGGTGATTTCAATTGTGAGCTTTCTTCTGTCTATGTAGTACACTGAGATTTCCTCATACTTCTCTTTCATTGAGAAAAAATAAAACAAAGCACTTTCCCTCATGTTATTTAGTTTTGGATCATTTTAAAAAATAGCAGCTCAATTGTTTATTATTTTGTAAATTCCATTAGGTATTCAATTCCCTGGAAATGGAGGTAATACAGTAGGGAAATATTGTACTAGTATTTTTTACTATACAATATATATATATATTCCAAGCACCAAAATATTGTGAATCTTAGTCAAATATCTATGTAAAATGGAAATAATAAGAGATCATTGTCCAAAAGAAAGATATTTTTCATCATGCTTGGCCTCAGAAGATATTTTAAATATTAGATACTGTAAAATATGTTATTTTACTATTATCCTGTTGTTATTTTATGGTTAGTAATTGCTTTATTAGTTTTCAGTGGCACTTTATTAGGGCAATTTTGACTGTTCTGTAAGTTTCCAACCTACCAGCGTCTTTGGCTGAAGGTTTTATCCCCACCGTGGCTGACAATAATGAGAGTATCTGAAGTAAACTCCTTCATATTTCTTTTTGTTTAGCTCCTAATATATGTTTTTAATATAATTTTATTTTCTTTTTATATAAGTCTTCATCTGACCTGAAATTAATCTCTTTATCATGCCTTGATTTTATCCTCTTTATATTTTTTACTTGTTATTTATCTCTTCCTCTATTCAATTTTCCTTTTCATAATCTTCTTCTCCTCTGTGAAAATGGCAAAATTCTAAAAGGCAGTTTGAATGAAATAAGTAAGAAAAAAATTATTTCTTTCCTACCATCCCTATGCTGGTATTTTCATTTTTGTTTCTTCAATTTAAAAGGTACTCAAAATTATTATATTTCCTCATTAGTCTCATTTATTCATCATTCATTTACTTCTTTTACTTTTACAATCTGATTTCTATCATCCTACACTAAGTAAACTTTTTAATTTGAGGTATCTTATTAAAAATATGTCTTTTTTAAATCCCCTTGGCCTGAATGCAGTGGTAGATACCTTTTAATCATATCCTGGTTGGATTTAGGGTTTAATGTTAAACTGTTCCATCATCTCTAGAATGGACAATTGAGAGAAGCAGGATGTAGAAAGATGGGTATCAAACATTATTATTAATAAAGGTGATTGGTGAATAAGACTTAAAATGCAGGATCATGATGGATTTCATACTATTTCCTTCCTTAATGAAGTAGTCCCTTATCATTCAGTCTTAGGCAGTGCTTGACATTTGCAAGGTTCCCTCATCTGTGAAAAGCCTGGTCTATGATGGAGCAGTAAATGTGTATGTGCTGAGGACAGCTTAGTTCTAAAAAGAAGAGATACCCTGGAAACTGCTTCAATTGTCTTCTACAAACACATTAATCAGAAACAAACTCCTCCTCTGAGTGAAAGGTATAGACAGAGGCCAATGAAATTAGCCAAGTTTCCAAATGAAAAGCTGGAGACGTCGATACTTAATCATTAGTGTCAATTTCTCTTTTCTTGTTATTCATGCTTTTGTTCTGTCCCACATTTCTAGACGTTTGGCTTTTGGTTGGGCTTTATGTATTCTTTGGCCACTCTCTTTCATACTTGGGTCACACACCCTTTAGAGAGAATATCCAGTTTCTTTTCTCGGGTCTCAACTTTCTGTAACTTTCTCCCTTTTTTAGTTGTATTCATTATAAAAATCAATCTATTTCTTTTCTCCTTGAAGTCAAAGATCACACTGTGTTCATTTTCATGAAAACTTTAGCACCTAACCCAGGATTTCACCTATAATAGATTCTCAGTATATATTTCTTGAATTCAACTTGTAAGAGCTTAATTAAATATAACATACACATAAAGGTTCACTTATAAAATCCATGTCAGACTTTTAGACTCACTTCCTAATCAACATCACTGCTCTCTGCTTTCAGTCTTAGTCTGGACTAGGAGACTCTTACATTTTTCTGTTTCCACAGTGTCTAATAACATAATTTTTATAACCATTAGACTACAGTTAGGAGGCATTTTATCAATTCTTACATATCTATTGTAATAAATATTTGTGAACTAAATTTTAACTTTAGTGAAAGGGACACTGATAACTAGAAAAACCTTAGAGTTTTAATTAACTGAAATGAAAATCTTATAGTAGAGCACCTTCGGATGGAAAAACCAGGGGGTAAGTTTTAGGAATACTAAGTTTCAGTTGTTCATGAAAAATTGTAGTAGAGATATCAAGTAATTAGGGAATCTATGAGTCTAGAATTCAGGACAGAAGTCTAGGCTATGTATATTAATTTGGGGGTCATTGGTGCCTGGTTGTGAAAGAACCAAGGAGCTATGTGTAGATGGAGAAGAAAAGTGGCACAATCGCTAATCCCTGACATACTCCAAAAATAAGATGCTCTATGTCAGAGAGAAGAGGAGGAACCAGCCCAGGAAAAAGAAAATGAGAGAGACAGAAGAAAAGACAAGAACATGTGACATCAAGTCAAGTGCAGATATGATAACAAGGAGTGATAATCTGTTAAGTACCAAGGAAATCAAGTAAGATAAGATATAATAATGGACAAGTTGATTTAATAACAACTGACTTCTTTGGCAACCTTGACAAAACCTGATTATAATGTGTTAAATAACAAAATGGAGGAGAGGAGTTGTGAACACTAAATACACATAACTCTTTCAAAGGATTTTGCTTCAAAGGGTAGCCGCATATTCTCACTCATACATAGAAGTCTCAACAGTTGATCTCATAGAAGAAACAAATAGAACAGAGGACACTAGAGGCTGGGAAGAAGAAGGGGAAGGGGGAGATTAGGGAGAGATTTGTTAAAGGATACAAAATTACAGCTTGTTAGAAGGATAAACTTCTGTGTTCTGCACCACTGTAGTATGATTATAATTAACAATATAGCTTCAAATAGCTAGAAGGAGGATATTGAATGTTCTCAAAACAAATAAATAGTAAATGAGATGATGGAAATATTAATTAACCTAATCTGATCTCTGTACATTATATGTATTGAAACATCACTATGTACTCCATAAATATATACAATTATTTTATGTCAATTAAAAAAACAAAATATAAAAACACCTTGATATGACCTTTATCCAAATGTACTTGCCAGAATATTATTCTGAGATTAGTTACAAATTTACATTAGTCGATAAGCTATAATTAGAATAACCAATAGGCTAAAATAATCTGTATTGATGAATAGTTAAGTAAATAATTAATAAAGTTTATCCAGATTAGAGATTTCTCAAGCAGTTGTGGACCTCTCAAACTTTTTTCCTTTTAATCTCAGTTTTGTTACATAACTCATTCAACCAACACAGTGAATAAAGGAGCCAATGTTTCCTCAAATTACGTGAAGATCTAAAAAGTTCCTTTATGTAAAAAAATAAATAAATAAAAAGTTCCTAAATAAGTGTGTAAAGTGCACTCTCCATTCTTATGACTTAGTCACACATTTTATATCAATAAAAAACAAAACTTTTCATCTCAGCTTTGTTACATAACTCATTCAACCAACCCAGTGAATAAAGGAGCCAATGTTTTCTCGAATTATGTGAAGATCTAAAAAGTTCCTTTATGTAAAATAAATAAATAAATATATAAATAAAAAGTTCCTAAATAATTATGTAGAATGCATTCTACATTCTTGTGACTTAGTCACACATTTTATATCAATAAAAAAAAAACCGACTATTCAGTTGAACAAATGGTGAATCTGTTCACAACTTCTAAAGCAGGAATGTGAAATAATTAATTAATGTTGAAAATCTGAACACCAGAAAGGGAAAGTAACACTTTTGGTTAAAAAAGCTAGTGGGAAAATCAACTTAATCGGATTTTTACTGTGCTCAGTAACATTGAAGTATGACGAAGACATTTGTCCTTTTTGAGTTATTTATTAAAATAAAAATACATACATATTTTCTTTCTTGTGTAAACATTAATGTATAAAACACAAATGGTTGCATGCTGCCGTTATTGTGGCAACAGAAATTACAAATCTGTTAAAGGCTTTCAATTGAAAGGCAATTTCTAGAACCTAATTCTTCTTCTAGAACCTAATCCCACTTTTATCTTTCCTTTTATATCAAGAATTCCAAATAACTTTTGTGATGGTTTTCTGAAACACACTGCCAAGGAACAATGACTCTGGAAATAGGGATTGTTACTGTTTCAAATTATTAACTTCCCATATTAATCACTAAGATTTTTTTTTACAAGTAAGTAAAAACATCCTCTCGCGCACTGCATAAGCTTAAAATGTAAATAAATTCTAAGTACGTTTGTCTCTACAAAAATGTAAAGGAAAATTCAGAAGCCATGGTTCCCTTTGATATAGTATGGGCCTTATTTTTCTACTATTCATTTGATTAAGACTTATGCTTTAATCTAGTTTTATTTTATTTTATTTTATTTTTGTTTGAGACACAGTCTCGCTGTGTTGCCCAGGCTGGAGTGCAATGGCATGATCTCAGGTCACTACAACCTCTGCCTCCCACGTTCAAGCAATTCTCCTGCCTCAGCCTCCTGAGTAGTTGGGATTACAAGTGAACACCACTGCGGCTGGCTTATTTTTGTATTTTTAGTAGAGATGGGTTTTCACCATGTTGGACAGGCTGGTATCGAACTCCTGACCTCATGGACCACCCACCTTGGCTTCGCAAAGTGCTGGGATTACAGGTGTGAGCCACCACGCCCCACTGGCATGAGCCACCGTGCTCAGCCCCAGTTTTATGATTAAGCTATGGTTTTGGTGTTTTAGGGGTGTTTGTTTTTTTGCTTGTTTGTTTAATTCTCGTCAACCTCTTCTATTTTCTTTCAGTTGTCCCCATCTCAAATTTCTTTGGTTAGCCTGTTGACAGATTCATCAAGTCATGAAAAAAAAAAAAACAAAAAACCAACAACTTCTATTTATGTACATCCCATTCTCTAATTCTTAATTAAATTAAAAATAAAGTAAATTAAGAGGAAATCGTTTTACAACATGTTCATTTTACTGTGAAGAAACACACAGGGCTTATTCTGTTGCAAAACATTGCTTGTTATTCTTGATAGAACTTATATGACATCCAGATTTTCATTGGTGGCAGCAAAATTCCCCAACCACCTCGAGCTTGTAAAGTTCTCTTCTCCATCATCCTCATTGCAAAATACAATCTTCTGGTCTTTCCTAATTTTGTCTCTTTTTTTTATTTTTTTATTTTTTTTAATTATTATACTTTAAGTTTTAGGGAACATGTGCGCAATGTGCAGGTTAGTTACATATGTATACATGTGCCAGGCTGGTGCGCTGCACCCACTAATTGGTCATCTAGCATTAGGTATATCTCCCAATGCTATCCCTCCCCCCTCCACCCACCCCACAACAGTCCCCAGAGTGTGATGTTCCCCTTCCTGTGTCCATATGTTCTCATTGTTCAATTCCCACCTATAAGTGAGAATATGCGGTGTTTGGTTTTTTGTTCTTGCGATAGTTTACTGAGAATGATGATTTCCAATTTCATCCATGTCCCTACAAAGCACATGAACTCATCATTTTTTATGGCTGCATAGTATTCCATGGTGTATATGTGCCACATTTTCTTAATCCAGTCTATCATTGTTGGACATCTGGGTTGGTTCCAAGTCTTTGCTATTGTGATTAGTGCCGCAATAAACATACGTGTGCATGTGTCTTTATAGCAGCATGAGTTATAGTCATTTGGGTATATACCCAGTAATGAGATGGCTGGGTCAAATGTATTTCTAGTTCTAGATCCCTGAGGAATCGCCACACTGACTTCCACAATGGTTGAACTAGTTTACAGTCCCACCAACAGTGTAAAAGTGTTCCTATTTCTCCACATCCACTCCAGCACCTGTTGTTTCCTGACTTTTTAATGATTGCCATTCTAACTGGTGTGAGATGATATCTCATAGTGGTTTTGATTTGCATTTCTCTGATGGCCAGTGATGATGAGCATTTTTTCATGTGTTTTTTGGCTGCATAAATGTCTTCTTTTGAGAAGTGTCGGTTCATGTTTTTTACCCACTTTTTGATGGGGTTGTTTGTTTTTTTCTTGTAAATTTGTTGGAGTTAATTGTAGATTCTGAATATTAGCCCTTTGTCAGATGAGTAGGTTGTGAAAATTTTCTCCCATTTTGTGGGTTGTCTGTTGACTCTGATGGTAGTTTCTTTTGCTGTGCAGAAGCTCTTTAGTTTAATTAGATCCCATTTGTCAATTTTGGCTTTTGTTGCCGTTGCTTTTGGTGTTTTAGACATGAAGTCTTTGCCCATGCCTATGTCCTGAATGGTAATGCCTAGGTTTTCTTCTAGGGTTTTTACGGTTTTAGGTCTAACGTTTAAGTCTTTAATCCATCTTGAATTTGATTTTTGTATAAGGTGTAAGGAAGGGATCCAGTTTCAGCTTTTTACATATGGCTAGCAAGTTTTCCCAGCACCATTTATTAAATAGGAAATCTTTTCCCCATTGCTTGTTTTTCTCAGGTTTGTCAAAGATCAGATAGTTGTAGATATGCGGCGTTATTTCTGAGGGCTCTGTTCTGTTCCATTGATCTATATCTCTGTTTTGGTACCAGTACCATGTTGTTTTGGTTACTGTAGCCTAGTAGTATAGTTTGAAGTCAGGTAGTGTGATGCCTTCAGCTTTGTTCTTTTGGCTTAGGATTGACTTGACCATGCGGGCTCTTTTTTGGTTCCATATGAACTTTAAAGTAGTTTTTTCCAATTCTGTGAAGAAAGTCATTGGTAGCTTGATGGGAATGGCATTGAATCTAAAAATTACCTTGGGCAGTATGGCCATTTTCACGATATTGATTCTTCCTACCCATGAGCATGGAATGTTCTTCCATTTGTTTGTATCCTTTTTTATTTCATTGAGCAGTGGTTTGTAGTTCTCCTTGAAAAGGTCCTTCACATCCCTTGTAAGGTGGATTCCTAGGTATTTTATTCTCTTTGAAGCAATTGTGAATGGGAGTTCACTCATGATTTGGCTCTCTGTTTGTCTGTTATTGGTGTATAAGAATGCTTGTGATTTTTGCACATTGATTTTGTATCCTGAGACTTTGCTGAAGTTGCTTATCAGCTTAAGGGGATTTTGAGCTGAGACAATGGGGTTTTCTAGATATACAATCATGTCATCTGCAAACAGGGACTATTTGACTTCCTCTTTTCCTAATTGAATACCCTTTATTTCCTTCTCCTGCCTAATTGCCCTGGCCAGAACTTCCAACACTGTGTTGAATAGGAGTGGTGAGAGAGGGTATCCCTGTCTTGTGCCAGTTTTCAAAGGGAATGCTTCCAGTTTTTGCCCATTCAGTATGATATTGGCTGTGGTGTTGTCATAGATAGCTCTTATTATTTTGAGATACGTCCCATCAATACCTAATTTATTGAGGGTTCTTAGCATGAAGGGTTGTTGAATTTTGTCAAAGGCCTTTTCTGCATCTATTGAGATAATCATGTGGTTTTTGTCTTTGGCTCTGTTTATATGCTGGATTACAATTATTGATTTGCATATATTGAACCAGCCTTGCATCCCAGGGATGAAGCCCACTTGATCATGGTGGATAAGCTTTTTGATGTGCTGCTGGATTCTGTTTGCCAGTATTTTATTGAGGATTTTTGCATCAATGTTCATCAAGGATATTGGTCTAAAATTCTCTTTTTTGGTTGTGTCTCTGCCCGGCTTTCGTATCAGGTTGATGCTGGCCTTGTAAAATGAGTTAGGGAGGATTCCCTCTTTTTCTATTGATTGGAATAGTTTCAGAAGGAATGGTACCAGTTCCTCCTTGCACCTCTGGTAGAATTTGGCTGTGAATCCATCTGGTCCTGGATATTTTTTGGTTGGTAAGCTATTGATTATTGCCACAATTTCAGTTCCTGTTATTGGTCTATTCAGAGATTCAATTTCTTCCTGGTTTAGTCTTGGGAGAATGTATGTGTTGAGGAATTTATCCATTTCTTCTAGATTTTCTAGTTTATTTGCGTAGAGTTGTTTGTAGTAATCTCTGATGGTAGTTTGTACTTCTGTGGGATTAGTGGTGATATCCCCATTATCATTTTTTATTGCGTCTATTTGATTCTTCTCTCTTTTTTTCTTTATTAGTCTTGCTAGCGGTCTATCAATTTTGTTGATCCTTTCAAAAAACCAGCTCCTGGATTCATTAATTTTTTGAAGGGTTTTTTGTGTCTCTATTTCCTTCAGTTCTTCTCTGATTTTAGTTATTTCTTGCCTTCTGCTAGCTTTTGAATGTGTTTGCTCTTGCTTTTCTAGTTCTTTATTTGTGATGTTAGGGTGTCAATTTTGAATCTTTCCTGCTTTCTCTTGTGGGCATTTCGTGCTATAAATTTCCCTGTACACATTGCTTTGAATGTGTCCCAGAGATTCTGGTATGTTGTGTCTTTGTTCTCCTTGGTTTCAAAGAACATCTTTATTTCTGCCTTCATTTCGTTATGTACCCAGTAGTCATTCAGGAGCAGGTTGTTCAGTTTCCGTGTAGTTGAGCGGTTTTGAGTGAGTTTCTTAATCCTGAGTTCTTGTTTGATTGCACTGTGGTCTGAGAGATAGTTTGTTATAATTTCTGTTCTTTTACATTTGCTGAGGAGAGCTTTACTTCCAAGTATGTGGTCAATTTTGGAATAGGTGTGGTGTGGGGCTGAAAAAAATGTATATTCTGTTGATTTGGGGTGGAGAGTTCTGTAGATGTCTATTAGGTTTGCTTGGTGCAGAGCTGAGTTCAATTCCTGGGTGTCCTTGTTAACTTTCTGTCTCGTTGATCTGTCTAATGTTGACAGTGGGGTGTTAAAGTCTCCCATTATTATTGTGTGGGAGTCTAAGTCTCTTTGTAGGTCACTCAGGACTTGCTTTATGACTCTGGGTGCTCCTGTATTGGGTGCATATATATTTAGGATAGTTAGCTCTTCATGTTGAATTGATCCCTTTACCATTATGTAATGGCCTTCTTTGTCTCTTTTGATCTTTGTTGGTTTAAAGTCTGTTTTATCAGAGACTAGGATTGCAACCCCTGCCTTTTTTTATTTTCCATTTGCTTGGTAGATCTTCCTCCATCCTGTATTTTGAGCCTATGTGTGTCTCTGCATGTGAGATGGGTTTCCTGAATACAGCACACTGATGGGTCTTGAATCTTTATCCAATTTGCCAGTCTGTCTTTTAATTGGAGCATTTAGTCCATTTACAAGTAAAGTTAATATTGTTATGTGTGAATTTTATCCTGTCATTATGATGTTAGCCGGTTATTTTGCTAGTTAGTTGATGCAGTTTCTTCCTAGTCTCGATGGTCTTTACATTTTGGTATGATTTTGCAGTGGCTGGTACCACTTGTTCCTTTCCATGTGTAATGCTTCCTTCAGGAGCTGTTTTAGGGCAGGCCTGGTGGCAAAATGTCTCAGCATTTGCTTGTCTGTAAAGTATTTTGTCTCTTTATACACCCCAATTTCATTTCCTTAGATTTACATTAACCTAGTTCAATCCCTATTAATGGAAGCATGGGTCACACCGGGCCTTCTGGCTTGCTATCTTGCTTTCATTCTGGACTCCTGGAATCCATCTTAAGCAATACTGCTAGGTTGATATTTTCATAATGTTATATTTTCATAGTGTGACGTCATTCTCATTCCCAGAACACTTAAAAGATATCTGAAATTTTACAAAATGTTGTTCAATTTTCTTACTGTATCACTCCATGCTCTGATAGTTTAACATGCCCATTCCAGTTCATGCTGTTCACTGTAGTGAATTAGTAGAGTTTTTTCTGTGCCAATCTTTTGGAAAATCTAGAAGAATCAATGGAAAGATCAAGTACTTTAATTTTATATATTTGATATTTCAGGTTCAGCACCATGTCTTGTTACTTAATAGTATCTTATTTACTTGGGTGGTCAATAAGTAAATAATAAAAAATATATTTTTAAATTGTTTCCATTTTAACAACTATTTTACCTTATGTCACCAAAGTTTTTCAGATTCATTTCATTCTATTTTTTTTTAGAAAATAGAATATGTGTTAATTATAGAAAAATAAACCTGAAGATTTCTAGAGCTAGTGGTCTTAGGGTCATACCAATGTTAAAAATATTTAAAATGATTGAAAAATAAATAGGGGTGTGCTGAGAATTAGATACAATACAATTTTCTATGAATCTTTAGACTGAAGTCCTTTTTTGTGCTTTCCATAGCATAATTCAACATTTTCCAGAATAATAAAATTCAGTTTTAGAATTTTTAAACATAGGAAATACACAAGCATTTATTATATTTATTGTTTATATTATTATTACAAATACTATATAAATTTACAATTTTTGAAGTTTTACTTCCAATAGATTTGACTTAAAGAAGATATTTTATTCTGAGAAGTATTTCTGATTGATTTTATGTGGTAACAAACTTTAGCCCTGAAAAGTCTACTTTTATTTTTGCTCTGTCTTCCAGGAATATATGCATTTTTGTTTTTTTTTTTCCTCAAACTGAGATTATTTTTGTTGGTTTATTATGAAATATAATTCAGAATTAAATGTCATATACAAAAGTTTAATCTGCTTAACATTGCTCACTAGTTGTTTGTCAAAGGTATTTGGTACTTTAGGACTGCATTTTCCTTTTGTGTAAAAGGAAGATAATGATTTATTTTCAGTTGAATTGAGTAAATAACACAGGCATATTGACTAAAAGTGCTTGCCTTATAGTAAGTACTCAATAAATGTTTTATTATACTCAACTTATATAGTGATTTATTCATAATTATTTGCAGTTATTGATGAAATCCAATATAGCTTTAAACAAAAAAAGCAAAGACATTATAAAGACTTGAAAAAAACACAGTCTAAAGACACAAAACACTCAGATATCACAAAGTTTGGAATTATCAAACAGAATTTTAAGTCAATATGATTAATATTAATATGGTTTGGCTGCGTCCCCACCCAAATCTCATCTTGAATTGCAATCTCCATCATCCCCTCATGTCCTGGAAGGGACACAGTGGGAGGTAATTGAATCATGGAGTGGTTTCCCCTTTGCTGTTCTTTAGATAGTGAGTTCTCATGAAATCTGATGGTTTTATAAGCATCTGGCATTTACACTCTTGGCATTCATTATTTCCCCCGTCACTCTATGAAGAGGTGCTTTCTGTCATGAGTGTAAGTTTTCTGAGACCTCCAAGCCAGGCAGAACTGTAAGTCAATCAAACATCTTTATGAATTACCCACTCTTGATTATTTCTTCATAGCAGGATGAGAACAGATTGATACAAACATGCTTAATAAAAAAGCAGATAATATATAAGAATAGGTGGGTAGTATAGGCAAAGAGATGGCAACTCTAAGAAAATATTAGAATTGAAAACACTGTAATAGGAATGAAAAATGCCATTGATGGGCTCATCAGAAGACGGGACACAGCTAAGGAAAAAAATCAAGGAATTTGAAGATTTATTATTGTAAATTTCTCTAAAAGGCAAATAGATAATAAAAATTGAAAAAAAAAGCCAAGAATTGTGGTATAACTTAAAAAGTATACCATATATGCAAGTATTCAATAAATAGCATGAGGTATTCATCACTTTATTATAAAATAGGCTTTGTGTTAGATGATTTGTCCCAATTGTAGGCTAATGTAGGTGTCTGAGCATGTGTAAAGTAGGCTAGACTAAGCTAAGCTATGATATTCAGAAGGTCAGGTATATTAAATGCATTTTCAACTTACTATGTTTTCAACTTACAATGGGTTTATTGGGTCTTAGTCCCATTGTAAGTTGGGGAATATTCCATCTCTAGTGGGCAATTACAGGATATAGATAAGTTAAGTGAAAAATAGCAATTCGATAAGAGAAAGAGGGTAGAATTAGAATAAACCTTTTATATGGTGTCTACACTGCCTGTGAAGCTGTGTGGTATTGAAATTGAACTTAGGTTAGTTTAAATGTTTATTGCAAACTCCAGGAAAACTACTAAAAATTTTATTAAATAAATATAAATGATACACTAAAAGCGGAGAGAAAAAGGAATAATATAAAATGCTCAAGTAATACCAGAAAAGAAAGAAAAAGAAACAATGAAAAACAAACAAATTACAAGTATGATAAATAGAAAACTATTTTTAAAATTGTAGATATTAATCCAATTAGTAATAACTTTAAATGTGAATTGTCAAAGTATACCAATTAAGAAACAGAGATTGTCAAAGTGGTTAAAAAACGATACAGTTATATGTGGCTTTTAAGAAACCCACTTTAAATTTAAAGGTACATGTTTAACGTACATGTTAAAGGTAAAGAGATAGAAAAAGATATAACATGTTAATACTAATCAAAATAAAATTGAAATAGCTATATTAATTTCAGTCAAAGTACATTTCAGAACAAAGAAAATTATCATATATAGCAAAAGACAAAGTGAATTGATAAAAGGAACAATTCTCCAAGAATTTGTAACAATCCTTAACATGTATACAGCCAAACACAGAACATCAAAACTGATAAAACAGTAAGGAGAAATAGAAAAATTATGCTAATTAACTTGGATACTTCAATACCTCTCATAACTTTTGATAAATAAAACGTGCCACAACCTAGTAAGGGTATAGTTAACCTGAAGGGCACCATCACTTAAAAGGATCAAATTGGCATTTATAGAATACTTCACCCAATGTCAGTAGAATGTATATTTTTCTCAAGTTCATATGAAATATTCACCAAGATAGATCATGTCTGGGCCATAAAACAAACGTTAGTAAATTATAAGCAAGAGATTATACAAAGTATGCTGTCAGATCTTGATGATGAAATTAAACTAGAAATCAGTAACAGGAAAATAACTGAAAATTAAAAAAAAATTGAGAATTAAAAAAACAGATATTTAAAACACACTTGGGCCAGATAAGAAGTCTTTGGAGAGAAATTTAAAATAGATATTTTAAGCAAAATGAAAATGAAAATACAAATGAAAGTTGGGAGCAGCAAAAGTAGTGCTTGGAGGAACATTTAGATCACTGAATGCATATATTAGAAGTGAAGAAGATCTAAAACCAATACTCTGAACTTTCACCCTAGGAAATTAGAAAAAGGGTGCAATTTAAGTCTAAGGCAAGTAAAAGAAAAATATGTAATAAAATTAGAGTATAAATTAACAACATTGAAAAAAAAGAAAGCAATAGAGAAATTCAACCATACCGAAAGCTGTTTCTTTGAAAAGATCAATGAAGTTTTTAGACCTAGAACCAGACTGTCAAAAGAGAGAGAGAGAGAGAGAGAGGAAGAGAAACATAAATTACAAATATCAGAAATGAAAGAAGGGCCTCCTTTACTGATCTCATGGACGTATGGAAAATAAAAGACCATCATAAACAACTCTATGCTCACAAACTGGATAACTTAAATAAAATAAATCGATTTCTTAGAAAACAAAACCTACCAAAACTCATGAAAGAGAAGTAGATGGTTTGATATGTTTGTATCTGTCATATACATTGAATCAGTAACTAATGTCTTTAGAAAAAAGGAAACACTTTGCAGCAGCGGCTTCTCTGGTAAATTCTACCAAATATTTAGGACAGAAATGATATCAATTCCCTACAGAATCCTCCATATAGAGGCAGAAGGAACATTTCCAAACATTTTAATGAGAGCAGCATTACCCTAATACCAAAACCATATACATTATAAAACAGGTGAACTACAAACCAATATTTTTCATAGATATAAATGAAAAATCCACAAAAAGGTAGCAAATTAAATTTATAAGTATATGAAATATATAAAATACTGCATAACATGGCCAAGTGAGAATTATTTCAGATTTATGAGGCTGGAACAACATTCAAAAATCAATTAATACAACCCATCATATCAGTAGGTTAAAGAAGAAAAATCATATGATTATATCAATTAATGCAGAAAAAATATTTGAAAAAATCCAAAACGTATTCATCATAAAAACTTTCATGTAACTGTGAATAGAGGGGAACTTGCACACTTGGTAATGAACATCTACAAATTACCTACAGCTAACATCATACTTGGTGAGAACATGTATGCTTTCCTCCAATACCAGAAACAACATTCCTAATCAGCATTTGTACTGGAAATCTTAGCTGGTATAAATGACAAGAAAAGGAAATAAAGGTTATACAGCTAGAGAAGGCAAAAATAAAGTTGTTTTCATTAACAGATTACATGCCCATGTAGAAAATCCCTTAAAATCATAAAAAAAACCCTATAATTAATAAGTGATTATAATAGGTCACTAAATGCAAACATTAATATGCAAAATTTAATTGTATTTCTATTTAGTAGCAATGAACAATAAAGTTAAAACACACTAGCATTTACAATAGTAGAAAAACATGAAATTCTTAGGGGTAAATCTAGAAAAATATTAATGGGATCTTTAAGTAAAAAAACAACATGAAAGAAATCAAAGATTTAAGTAGATGAAGCCATATTTCATACTCATGGCTTGGAAGAGTCAGTATTATACAAGTGTCAATTCCTCTCAAAATGATCTATAGAGTGAAAACAATCCAAATCGAATGTCAACAAGCTAATTTGTATTATCATACAAGTTCTACAATTATAGGAAAAGATAAAAACAAAATGGCAACAGAACAGCAAACAGAATACCAAAAAAAAGGAATAAAATTGGAGGACAGACACTATGGGACTTTAAGACTTACCACAAAACCACAGCAATCAAGAAAACATTCTGTTACTGAAAGAATAGACACATATGACAATAAAACAGAATAGAGAGCCCAGAAATAGACCTACAAAGACATAGTCAACTTATTTCTGACAAAGGAGCAAAGGCAATCAATGGACAAAGGATAGTATTTTCAAAAACAGTGCTGGAACATTTGGAAATCTATATGCCAAAAAACAAAAAATGATTTAGACATAGATATTACAGTGTTTATAAAAATTAACTGACAATAGATCATAAGTCTAAATGTAAAATGCAAAACTATAAAACTTATAGAAAAAATTAAGATAAATCTAGATGACCTTCGATTTAGTGATGTTTTTAATAAAGCACTAAAAGCATGATGGATGAAAAAAACAGGTAGGCTTTATCAAAATGGAAAACCCCTGCTGTGTGACTCTGATATGAGAACAAAAGGATAAGCCACAGATTGGGATCATAAGTTTGCAAAACACATATTTGGTAAAGGACTTATACCCCAAATATGCAAATAACTCAACTCAACAATGCAAAAACAGATCACCCAATAAAAAAGTGGGCAAAAGATCTGAACAGACACCTCATCAATAAATGTGTATAGATGGCCAATGAGCACATGAAAAGATGCTCTACATGCTGGCAAGGGTGTGGGACAACAGAGACTCTCATTCATTCCTGGTATAAATGCAAAAATGATACAGACACTTTGGAGGACAGTTTGGCAGTTTCTTATAAAGCTAAACGTAATCTAACTATAGGATCCAATAATTGCACTACCCTAAAGAACTGAAAATGTATGTCTCCAAAAAAGCTTACTTGTGCACATTTACAGTAGTTTTACTCGAGTTTCCCCAAACAGGATGTAACTGAGATATCCTTCAGTACGTAAATGAACAAACTCAGCTACATCCATTAAATGAGATACTATTCAATGATTATTTTTAAAAAGAGCTGTCAAGCCACAAAAAGACATGGAAGCTTCAATGCATATTGTTTAGTGAAAGAAGCCAGTCTGAATGGCTATCAAGTCCTAAGGATTTTAACCCACAATTATTGTGAGCTAATATGGTTCACTGACAACTAAACCCAGATTTTTGCGAATCTTGTAACTCTAGTTTTTACTTCACCACATAATCAGTATTATTGAAGAACATAAATAAACGTAGAAATGGTTAGACCTTAACATCTCTTTGGCAGTTTTCTACATGGACAGTTTTTACATGCATAGATATGGAATTGAAAATAGTGTTTTGCTACAGGGTTCTCCCTTAGGCATGCAAAATAGAAAAGGCGAAATAAAATGTTTATTGCCAGAGGCTAGGAGGAAGAAATGCAGAGGTAATAGTTAAAGGGTACATAAAGAAAATGTGGCAGATATACACCATGGAATACCATGCAGCCATAAAAAAGGTTGAGTTCATGTCCTTTACAGAGACATGGATGAAGCTGGAAACCATCATTCTCAGCAAACTAACACAAGAACAGAAAATCAAACACCACATGTTCTCACTCATAAGTGGGAGTTGAACAATGAGAACACATGGACACAGGGAGGGGAACATCACACACTGGGGCCTGTTGGGGGTGTGGGGCTAAGCGAGGGATAGCATTAGGAGAAATAGCTAATATAGTTGTCGGGTTGATGGGTGCAGCAAACCTCCATGGCACGTGTATAACTATGTAACAAACCTGCACATTCTGCACATGTACCCCAGAACTTAAAGTATAAAAAAATTAAATTTCCTCGAATTAAATATAAAAATGTGTAAAGAAAATTAAAGGGTACAAAGTTTCAGTCATAAAAAATGAATAAGTCCTAGAGACTGACTATATAGCATAAAGTCTATAGTCAAAAATACTGTATTGTAAACTTAAAATTTTGCGAAGAAGGTAGTTCTTATGTTAAGGGCTCTTATCATAATAACAATTAAAGGGAGCTGGAGGACAGTTTTGGAGATGATGAATGTGTTTATGGCATTGACTGTAGTGTTGTTTCAAGGATGTATACTTATCTCTAAACTCATCAAGTTGTATACCTTAAATATGCATGTAAATATGTACAGCTTTTTGTATAATG
This sequence comes from Homo sapiens, assembly GCF_000001405.40. Taxonomy (NCBI): domain Eukaryota; kingdom Metazoa; phylum Chordata; class Mammalia; order Primates; family Hominidae; genus Homo; species Homo sapiens. The sequence goes on along the minus strand of NC_000004.12, from coordinate 45,797,055 downwards.
ATCATACCTCAGTAAAGTTGTTAACATATTTTTTCCTTAAAAGCAATGCTGTGAAAAAGAATTATGTGAGCCACATAAGTAGTTTTGAATTTTCTAGTGGCCACATTAAAAAAATAAGTGAAATTAATTTAATAATATATTTTATATAACAATCTTATATGCAAAATTTTGTATCGACAACTTGAATACAAAAATATATAAATAGGCTCTTTTATGGCATTTTTTTCTTTTTCTCTTTTTAGAAGAGTCTCGCTCTGTCACCCAGGCTGGAGTGCAATGGCACAATCTCGGCTCACTGCAGCCTCCACCTCCTGGGTTCTTGCAATTCTCCTGCCTCATCCTCCCGAGTAGCTGGGGCTAAGGCACACTCTGCCCACACCTGGCTAATTTTTTGTATTTTAGTAGAGATGGGGTTTCACCATTTTGCACAGGCTGGTCTCAAACTCCTGAGCTCAGGCAATCCACCCACCTTGGCCTCCCAAAGTGCTAGGATTACAGATGTGAGTCACCGCGCCCGGCCTATGGCATTTTTTTCATACTGAGTCTTTGAAGCCCAGTATATTTTTTACAGCACATCCGAATATGGACTAATCATATTTTGTGTGCTCACTAGCCACGTGTGGCTAGTGGCTGTCATATTGGACAGTGTAGGCTTATAGTAAGACATCAAATGGTACTTTTAATAGTGCCTGCTAGTTTCTTAGAATACCAGGATAACACAAGAAATGCAAAACTTTCAAGAATATATGAAAAGATGTAATTCACAGCAAGCTATCGACACATCTAATGTCTCAAATGGGCACAAAAGAGGACTGATTACTTGCTTAACTAGTGTTTTGCTGTATTCTCCCTGAGGGCACGTGTGTGCTGTTCACTTCATAGTTCTCAAAATATCTGTTGGATGAATAAATTAAAGGAAAGGGGAAAGCCAACCTCTGTTCTGTTGTTTCAGACTTGGTCAGTCCCTACTCCAAGATCTCTTCCTGTTTTAGGCAAATATGCCTCTGATAAGCAATCCTAGCATAGAGGAAGGCCCTCTCTGATTCTCTGATACTACCAATGAAGAGTTGAGAACACCTCTCCAGGTGAAGGAGACTGATTCTGTAACAGGCCAGTTCTCCCGGACAATCTCACAGACAGGCCTGCTGACAGCCACACAGACAGCCCTGCAAAGCACAGACGGATTTCCACAGCACTGCCTTCACATTGAGCAAATAGTTAAACCTAGGGAAATCAGTGCCCAGCCATCAAAGCTAAAAATGCAACATATGGTCAGTAGGAGCCTTGCATAGGCTTCTCCCTAACCTGGAGCAAGTCAGAATAATAGAGACAGTCTTACATTCCTAGTACCAGGACCCTTCTTGGGTCAACGGAATCTGAGACAAGTCAAGGTAACAGAGGCAGCTGTTTGAATAGATTCATTGGAGAGTTTAAAACAGCTCTCCTGACCAAGTTGTAAAGGGGCCCTTTTAATCAGACTTAGCAAGCAGTTTTTTGCCTCTGACCTTCTAGTTTAAACAAAATTAGTTACTAATAGACAGGTGAATGCTGTACCGCATGTACGTACATAACTCCAACCTATATAAGCACTAAGAAAATTGTAACACTTTGAGTTGGTCTGGTGGAATTATCTCCAGCCTTCCCCCTGTATCTGGTTACAGCAATAAATTCCCTTCTTTCCTAGTTTGTCTGCTTCTCGTTTCTGGGCCTCGAGAAAACGCAGCCGGACCTGGCTTGGTTCCAGGAACAATTCTTCAGATTCTAGATCTGGGTATTTTTCATGATTTTGTCTCTTTTCTACTGAATACCATAAGGAAAATGAGGGGAGGAAGAAAGAAGAGCAAAAGGAAGGCAATAAGAGAAATAAAATATATTTATATAAGGGGTAAAGCAAAAGATTAAGAGGACAAAATATAAAGGAGGAAGACTGGGAGGGAGAGAGCTGTCTCAGTGAAATTTTTTCTAACAGAAAGGTCAAATAAGACTTTTTCTTTCTCTTGTAAAAGAACATGCCAGTGTTCCCCTCCTCAGCTCTTCTTGATTAACTCCTTAACCAAGCAGTCAATTTTTGATAAATTAAACTGTATAGCCATTTTAAACATCATTAACTTTGTTCAAGAGAATTTGTTTTCAGTTAATTTTATAATATCATGGAGAATGAGATCTGGACATCACTAATAAGGTAAGATAAATAGTTATCTTTGCAGACTATTTCCTGTAATTATCTTCATAATTTATCATTGTTAAAGCTAAAAATTAAAAATATACCTTGTATGATCAAGGTAGATGGAAGTTCAGTGAAATGAAAACTCTCTGACACTAAGTTAGTTTATAACACTGAGTCTTGATTTTCATTTTTTTTAAATGAGGGTAATAACTACTTCATTGGATTCTTGTAAGGCTAAATGAAATCATAGATGTGAAGAACTTAAATATAGTGCTTAGTACTGCACTAGGACTCAATATTTTTCACATTATTAGCAAAATGCAGAAGAGGAGGAATTGGTGGATAAAAGATATGGTCTCTCTCTTTCTTTTTTCCTTCCTTCCTTCCTTCCTTCCTTCCTTCCTTCCTTCCTTCCTTCCTTCCTTCCTCCCTGCCTCCCTTCTTTTCTTTTTTGTGACAAGGTCTCCATGTCGCCTAGGCTGGAATGCAGTGGCATGATCATAGCTTATACCTTATTGCACCCTCGAACTCCTGCACTCAAGTGATCCTCCCTCCTCAGCCTCTCAAGTAACTGGGACTACAGGTGTGTTGCCCCCACTCCCAGCTAATTTTTAGGTATGGTCTTATCTACAGAATATTATCAAAAACATAAGTGTAGAGATGCTCTTGATAAAGGAAAGTATGTGCACATGCTTTGGTCGTAGGTGGTGTCATAGACTTGCCCATTTAACATTTATTGTCCATTCTGCTTAAATGAGGGTGTCCCTCAGTTGTGTTTTGGAAAATCACAGACATCTAAGAGTCAATTTGAAAAGTTCTGATAACCTCACCACTGAAGAGTTTTCCTTCAGTGTTGTTCCTAAAATTCTAAGAATATAAGATATTATTATACTGCTCTTGAAAAGATCCAGTCAGTGCTCAAAATAGCTATTTAAGAAGATATCAGGGTCCATGACAGGCTGCTAAATTTAAGGAACGAAGGATGGGAACTGAGGGAATAATCAGTAAAGCAGACCAAGGATGTTTCATGTGGTGTCCTAAAATTGATGAGGGTTATCACAGAAGTATTTATAATTACAGAGAGAATGGATGTTTTAAACAGACATTTATCAAATTCTGGAAAGTATTAAAATCTCCTAGCTACTCCAGTCACTCATAAGATAGATGACTGTCTATACAGTTGTACACACTATTTATAGTTTATAAGAATCAGTAATATGCATGCTACCTACTTCACTGCTCCACTGAAAAATGAGCCTCATTGTGCTGATGTCCTATGATTGTTCTTCATTATTTAAAATGCGGTTAAGAGGTTTGAATAGTTAATAATGATTACAGATTTCCTGATCTTATAATTATCACTGTTGGCAGATTATGAAGTGTTCTGGTCTGTTGTGTATAAACTCTATTCTTTGAGTCTTGGAAAAATTTATTCTTTGTTTGGAAGCAATTTGATGCATGAAACATACTTTGTTAAAAAAAAAAAAACAAACAGCAACCTATATCTCATAGAGCAGATCTAGATCACTGAACTGCAGAACAAATCATGTGAGAACTTGCATTTTATGCTGTGATTCTTTATTTGCAAGTCCTCACGTTAATGTAAGTGCAAATTAATAGAACTCAACTAAACTATGAGGTAATACTTGAAAGAGCCAGGAAAAGTAACAAGCTGTGTAGATGTTTCCCAGGACTATTAATTAAAGATATATATATATGAATAATTTTATTGATATATATATGAATAATTTTATTAAGCCCATTGATTGCCAACTAACAAAAAGTTGAACTACCACCAAGGTAAATTCTGCATTTATTCCTTAAGAACCCTTTCTCTAAACACATTTTTTTCTGGTTTCATCTTTATATGCATTGATTAAAAAAACTTTCTACCCAATGACATTAAGATATCCCTCTTATAACTTCCTAATATTTTATATTTATCTCTTTAATTTTATTAGGTAGATTTGAAAACATCAAAAACAAAAAATGTTAAAGAGGTGAACAGTCTTGCCATGCTTGTTCTCCACCCACTAAAATTCTATGCCTCTTAGGAAGTAGTATTTTTGTTAGCTTTCTGCCTTTCTTCTTGAGATTTCTTTGCAAATATATATCCATTCAAACAGATATTATTTCCAGGCTTTTTGTACACAAATTATAACATGATTTTTGTACATTGTGTATGTTATTTTTCATTTAATGATAAATTCCAGTTTGGCATAGAAGTGTCTGGAAATTTTGAGGGTTGTAATTTTACATTCTCATAGTAAATAGAAAAATTTCCATAATTATTTATTAATGAATATTCTATTGTCTCATACATGTGGATGTTCATGGCTTGGGTTTTATCACTGTAAATTAGTCAGTTTATCAAATGCCACAAGCTTTTTGCTTTTTATTATTTTTTTAAAAGGAACAACAGCTTTAATCTGATAGTATAAAAACATATCTGTTAATTTTTCTGGAATTACTACACATCATCTCTACAGCACGTTAGATGTCAATTTTCTTAAATTATATTCAATGTGATAATTTACCTGTAGACATCTAGAAATTTGCCTGTAGAAATCTAGAAATCTACAGGTAAATTATCATTTACAAAAGTTATTTATTTATTTATGCAAATTGGTGGAATACATGATAAATGTTTCTCATGTATATAATGGCTAGTAATAAAGTCAGGGTATTTAGGATGTCTATCACCTGAGAACAATACATTTTTTAAAAGTATAGTCATCCTACTTTCCTATGAAATATTGAATTTATTCTTTCTATCTCATTATATGTTTGCACCCTTTAACCCACTTCTCTTCATCCTCCTTCCTGTCCCCAGTCATCCTTCGTAGCCTCTGTTATCTATTTTTCCGCTATCTCCATGTGTTCAATTTTTTTAACTCCCACATATAATAGAGAACATGTAATATTTGTCTTTTCATGCCTGGCTTATTTTTCTTATGACAATGACCTCTAGTTCCTTCCATGTTGCTGGAAGTGACATGATTTTGTTCTTTTTTATGGCTGAATAGTATTTCATTTTGTATAAATATCATAGCTTCTTTATTCACTCATCGGTTGATAAACACTTAGGTTAATTCCATATCTTTCCTATTATGTATATAGTACTCCAATGAGCCCATGACCTCAGGTATCCTTTGATCTATTGGTATCTTTTCCTGTGTGTAGTTACCTGGAACCTGAATTGCTGTATTAAATAGCAATTTTATTTTTAGTTTCTTGAGAAATCTCTCCATTTTCCGTAGTGGCTATACTAGTTTATATTTTTGCCAACAGTGTGTAAGAGGTCCCTTTTTGCTATATCATTGTCAAAATATGATATTTTTTGTCATTATAGTAATAGCCATTTTGACTATGGTACGATGATATCCAATTGTGTTTTTATTTGCATTTCTCTGATGATTAGTGATGTGAACATTTTTCATACACTTATTGGATCTTGTTATATCTTCTTTTGAGATGCCTGTTTATATTCTTTGCTCACTTTTACATGAATTTTTTTTTCCTGATGAGTTAAGGTTCTTTTATACTCTGGATATTAGTCCCTTGTCAGATGAGTAATTAGCACATATTTTCTTTCATCCAGAAGGTTGTCTCTTCAATCTGCTAATTATTTATTTGGTGTAAAGAAGGTTTTTTGTTAATTAAGTCCCATTTGTCTATTTTTGTTTTTCTTGTTTGTGTTTTAGCAGTCTTTGCCTAGACAAATGCCCAGGAAACTTTTCCCTGGGTTTTCTTCTAATATTTTAATAGTTTGGGGTCTTATATTTAAGTCTTTGTTTTATTTTGAGTTGATTTTTGTGTATGGTGAGAGACAGGGGTCTAATCTCATTCTTCTGTGCCTGACTTTCATATTTTCCCAGTACTATTTATTTAAGAGGGTGTCCTTTCCACCAATGTAAGTTCTTGTCAGTTTTTGTCAAAAGTAAGTTGGATTTAAATGTGTGACTTTATTTATGGGTTAACTATTCGGTTCCATTGGTTGATGTGTCTATTTTTATACCAATACCATGCTCTTTTGGTTATTGTAGCCTTATATTTTTCAGTTAAGTAATATGATTTCTCCAGCTTTGTGTTTTTGCTCACAATTATTTTGGCTATTTGTGCTCTCTTTTGCCTCCATACAACTTTTATAATTATTTTTTTCTAATTCTATGAAGAATTACATTGGTATTTTGATAGAAATTGCATTCAATTTGTAGAATGCTTTGGGCAATGTGGTCACTTTAATGATATTCATCTGATCTATGAGCCTGGGATGTTTTCCCATTCATTTATGTCATCTTCAATTTCTTTCATCAGTGTTTTGTAGTTGTTCTTATATAGCTCTTTTTTCACTTGTTTAAATTTACTGTTAGGTATTTTTATTTTTGTAGCTATAGTAAATGAGATTTCCTTTTTCACATCTTTATCAGCTAGATCATTATTAGTGTGTGTAGAAATGTTACTGATTTTTGTGTATTGATTTTGTATCCAGCAACTTTACTGACTTGATTTATGAAATCTAAGAGTGTGTCTTTTTGATGTGTGCGGAGTCTTTGGGTATTTCTTGATATATAATCATATTGTTACAAAGAAGGACAATGTGACTTCCTCTTTTCCAATTTGGATACCTTCTATTTTTTCTCTTGCCTGATTGCTCTGATTAGGATTACCAGTACCATGTTGAATGAGTGGGGAAAGTGGGCAGCCTTGCCTTGCTCCAGTTCTTACTGGAAAGGCTTACATCTTTTCCCCATTCAGTCTGATGCTAGCTGTGGGTTTGTCTGTGGCCTTTATTATATTGAGATATTTTCCTTCTATCCCTAGTTTGTTCTAAACAAACCCAATACTCTGAGTATTTATTGTGAAAGGATGTTGAACTTTATTAAATGTTTTTTTCTGTTCTATTTTGGAATGATCACATAGTTTCTGTCATTCATTCTATTGATGTAATTTATGATGTATATTGATTCTGTATATTGAACCCCCACTGGCAAGAATCTCACTTGTTATTGGTGTATTATCTTTTTGATATGCTATTGAATTCAGTTTGCTAGTATTTTGTTAAGGATTTTTATTTATGTTCATCAGAGATATTGGCTTGTAGTTTTCTTTTTTATGTGTGTGCCCTTGTCAGGTTTTGGCATCAGGGTGATGCTGGCACCTTAAAATGAGTTAGGAAGGATTTCCTCCTCCTTGACTTTCTGGAATAGTTTAAAGGTGTCTGATCCCAATTTTTCCTTGTATGTCTGCAATAATTTGGCTTTGAATCCATCTGGTCATGGGCTTTTCTTTTTTGGTAGAGTTTTTATTTTTGACTTAACCTCACTGCTCGTTATTGATCTATTCAGGTTTCATTTTTTTGATGATTCAAATTCGTTAGGTTTTATGTTGCCAGGAATTTATCCATTTCCTCTAGGTTTTCCAGTTTGTGAGTGTGTAGTTTGTCAACATAGTCCCTGATGAACTTTTGTATTTCTGTGGTATCAGTTATAATGTTTCCTCCTCACTTGTGATCTTATTTATTTGTGATTTCTCTTTTCTTTTCTTGGTTAGTCTAACTAGAAGGTTATCAATTTTGCTTATCTTTTCAAAGAACAAAATTTTCCTTTTATTTAACTTTTGAATTGCTTCTTTAGTCTCTATTTCATTTAGTTTTGTTCTAGTCTTTATTATTTCTTTTTTCTGCTAATTTCATGTTTCGTTTCTTCTTGCTTTTCTAGTCCTTCAGGCGTGTTATTAGATTGTTAATTTGTAATATTTTTACTTTTATGGTATATGCATTTATCACAATAAATTTCCCTCTTAGTACTGCTTTTGCAGTTTCCCACTGGTTTAGGTATGTTATATTTCCATTTTAATTTCTTTCAGAAAGGTTTTTAATTTCAATCTTAATGTCATCATTGATCCAGTGATCATTCAGGAGCTTGTTTTATAATTTCCATGTATTTTTATAATTTCTAACATTTCTCTTGGCAATAATTTTTAGTTTTTTAACATTGTAGTCTGAGATAATACTGAATATGATTTTGATTCTTAAAATTTTGTTGAGACTTGCTTTGTGGCATAACGTAGCCTATCCTTGAGAATGTTTCTTGTGGGGATGGAAAGAATGTATATTCTACAGGTATTGAATAGAATGTTCTTTTAAGGTCTGCTAGGTACATCTAGTCTTAAGTCCCATTTAAATCCAATGTTTTTCTGTAAATATTCTGTCTAGATGATCTGTCTAATGCTGAGTTTGATTTATTAATTTGGGGGCTCCAGTGTTGGGTATATACATACATGTACATATATATACATATATATATATATATATATATGTTTAGAATTGTTATAGCCTCTTGCTTGTTTGATCATTTTATCATATAATGACTTTTTCTGTTCTTGACTTAATTCTGTTTTATCTAATATGAATATAGACACTTACTTACTTTTGCACTTCTTATTAATTTTCTCCATAAGGTTTTGTTTATCTTCTACTAAATTTATTTATAAATTTTTGGGTGTGTTGATTTTGCTTTTGATGATCAATGTTTGGCTAAAAATTCATTAGAATTGAAAAAGGAATGGAGTTATTTAATCTTCCAAACAGAGAAGGCAGAAATTAGGAACAAACAACTCCCACATGATGACCTGTGAAAGAATCAATATGATGTTTAGTAGTTCCATTAGTTATCATAGTAAAAATTAGGGCATTTTGCATCCATTTGCTACACAAATTCAAAAGCATAAAAATAAAGGGGGTAGGGATTGCAAGAAAACAAAAGGGCATTAACTGCTATACCAAAAAAAGATGAGGGTATTTTTTGGATTTTGAACACGTAAACAGTATAAGGTCATCTTTGAAACAACTGGGAAAATTTAAGTATGTACATTAGATGACACTGCAGTATTATTGTTAAAGCAAGGTAGTTTATTTTAAAATATGTCTTTATTAGGCATACTAACGTATTTAAGATATAATGACATGATGCACAGGTTTTCCTTTAAGAAATCAGACCAAAAAAAAAAAAAATGAAAAACAACTGTAGGGACTGTGAATGGCAGTTGCAATGTATGTTTTTCCAGAGATCAGTGAAACAGAAAATAAGTTTGGCAAAATACGAATAATTATTAAAAGTAGGTGAAAGGCACATATATTTAATTATACTACTTTTTCTCTGCTTTATATATTTGACAATTTTTATAATAACCTTGAAACAAATTTAACAAAATTCTGCAGATTGTTTTCCAGGTGTCTTTAAGTTCTTGCTCCACTTAAATAATTAAATTAAGCATTATAATCTATGTATTATAATTTTTATAAGAATCAACATCTGGATCCCAAAATCAACTAGAAAAATATATCAAAGGACATAAATCATATGAAAGAACATAATCAGGTAGTCAGCAAAAATACATTTTTCCACATATGGACATATATTGAATTTCACTCATATAAAAATATTGTTTAAAACTACAGTATACTTTTTCCTACGTTATTGGCAGTATAAATATTTGTTATCACATAAGATCATACATAATCTAGGGAAGCATCCATCGTTAGACACCTTCAGGGTAGGAGTAAATCACTCAAACTTCTTAGATGATATTTTGGCACTAAATTGTAAAAATGTATCAGGCAAAATTGCACACATAAAATACCACATATATAATGTCATGTTTTTCTGCTATGATTATAATAGAACATAAATTGAAGTAAACATATATATTCATTAGTAGAGGACTAATAAATTATTTATATTTATACAATAGAAGAAAATGTATTATTGAAAAACAATTAGGCCATTATATAGTAGAAACCAATATAAACAAATTTTCAAGATATGTTAATAGAAAAGACAAAACAAAAACATTGTGTAGAGGTTAAATATGTGGACAACAATACATGTGTGCATTTGTGTGGTTGCAACAATATTCTGAACCATGTATCACAATATGTGAAACCTGCATTCTGTGCTACCTGAGATGATCTGGTCACTAATATTTTACCAAATTATTAAGCTATAATATATTTACTCATATGTTTTTTGACTTGAGGTAGAAAAAGGAAATATTCTCCAGGGAAAATATAATTTTGCTGTGGGAAAAGACTAATACACTGTCAGAAAAGTAATTAAATCCTCTTAAATGCACATGTCATTTAGAAATTATTCCATTAGTTATGATTCAAAAGCTAATATTAATGTTACTCCATCTCTTGTTTTCTGAGAATAATGTTCCATAAAACTCAGAAAAATAACCTAAGAAATAATTTCCTTTATTCTATTGTCAGAAAACCTCAAATGTATACAATGCAGGTTAACACTGACACATAGTTTTGAGCTGTATTAGATACATGATTATGGAATCCTTATTCAAAGAATACTGTAATAATGTCTAAGGTAGTTAGATAAAAAGCTGTTTGCTTTTGAATATCTTTGGAAAATTTAGTTTAGTCGTCTCCTGAAGCTCTAAGTGTGAAGGGATCAAGTGAATTTTTTAAAGGTGTCCATAAAGCAGAATATCATTATCTGATACAGAGATATTACCGATATTTAATAACATAATACTGGTCATAGTTGGCTTGTACATTAGTATTCATTACTTAAGTATTACATCTACTTTTTTGTATGTAAAATGACAGGATTATAGAGTTCTTTGTCATCATAATAAAGCAGCATTACTTCACTAAATGTGCAATTAAATGCTTCCCTCAAATTTATATTTTACTAGTGGTTTATGATACCTGTAAGAGGAATAATAGAGCCTTAAACATATTCTGTCTGTGTCAGGCTTAAACAATGTTACATAATACTTACATACAGCTCATATCTTCTATTTTTAGCAATAAGAAGAGTTTCTGAAAGAACAGAAGGCTTGATGCCTTTGAGAGGCCAAGGGTGGAGGATCGCTTGAGCCCAGAAGTTTCAGACCAGTCTAGGAAAGATGGCAAGACCACCATCTACAAATTAATAATAATAATAAAAAGTTGGGAATGGTGGTGTGTTCCTGTAGTCCTAGCTACTCAGGAGGCTGATATTGTAGGATCACTTCAGCCCAGGAGTTCGGGGCTGCAGTAAGCTATGATGGTACCACTGCACTCCAGCCCGAACAACACTGTGGGACTCTGTCAAAAAAAAAAAAAAAAAAGAATGCTATTAGCCTATAAAAAAAATTGAATTCTATTAGCTTAAATGCCATTAGCATTTCACTTTATTATTTAAAACACAGATATATGCAGCTCAATGACAACTAGAGATATCAGAGAACACATATGTGATTATACACTCATCCTTTATTCAAATTTTAAAATTTTTAAAAGAGCCTAACAACAAAACAAGAGTTGTAATTATACATGACTAAACTGATATACAGGAACTAAAATAATCAAAATGTGATTTTTATTGAATCAAATTGACTATTTTGAATAAAGTTAAAGACTGTTATAAAATTATAGTTTAATACAACTCAAATTATAGAGTGAATAAAATTACTTCAGTACTTACCTCCTCATGTTCATTCAAATTAATTTTCATGTGGTCACTATTAGCATAATCATCACTTGTGGCATATTAAGTCTGCCACTAACTTTTTAAATTAAAATTTTCAAATATGAATGCGAGAAATCAGATATAGGGAAAATTCAGTGAATAGCACATTGTTCTGTGTTTATTAAGTGCCAAGCCAGGAGTTGAGTAGACATTAAACATTTCACTAAGTCCTGCATTCCAAATGCACCAAAAAGGAAAGAACGCAATATTAATAATGCAATGTCTCACATTGCATGCCAAAAGTATTCTTTATTTCTTATTGAATTATGTAATTTTTGGCACCTCGAAAGAGTGTATTCCATAAAAATAACAAAATGGGCTATTTTGGAAAAAGATGGAACTATTTATAAGAAAAGACAATTCTTTATTCTTGGGTAAATTGTTGGGTTACTAAAACCATTAAGTTATAAATTACCATGTTTATGTCATTGGCTTTAAATGGAAACTGATTTAAGTGACTTCCAATTCAAAATATTAAAATCAGATAATTCTCTGCAACTTCTTTATGGTCTTAGCAAGTCAAATTTGAGAGTTTTAAGGTAAATGGAAGTCTCGAGTCATAAGCGAATCTGGAAATTCTAATTAGTAATGAATTATTATAGTAATCATGTGCTTCATATTAAGATATGGCATTGTCAAACCTATAAATTGTGTGCCTATTGAATAAAATGCACACTAATATTCTTCAGGACATGAGATTAAAGTGAAATTAGTTGAATGCAATGTATTTAATTTAACCGGGAGATCCTAAAATATCAAAAACTACAATAATGTTCTTGGTCATCTTTTCAAATGTTGAAAGATCTTTTTTACAAAGTACATGTATCTAAACTAATATCATAAACTATTACAGTGAACTGAATATGCTAAAACTCTACAACCTTTTCTAAATTTGAGTACAATTTCAGAATTAATAGACACTCCTTTCAAATGAAATTTGTGTATAGATATTTACTCTTTCATTCATTCAACAGATATTTTTCATATAACTATCACCAATAAGATGATAGATAGATAGATAGATAGATAGATAGATAGATAGATAGATAAATAGAAAAGATAGATAGATAGATAGACAGATAGAGGACAGATAGAGATATAGCTATAGACAGATATAGATATATGAGATGGTTTATTAGGTGAATCTCCTGAAGTGATTGTGGTGGCTGAGAAGTCCTGCAGATGGGTTGTCTGCAAGTTGGAGAATGAGGAAAACCAGTAGTGTGAATAATTTTAAGTCCAAATACCCAATAATTAAAGAAGCCAATTGCATGACTCGCTCTCAGTCTAAAGCTGAAGGCCTGAGAACCTTGGGGTGCAGAGGGTGCACAAAGTTCAAGTCCCAGAACCCAAAGGCCAGAGAACGTGGAGTTCTGATATCACAGGGCAGGAGAAGAGTTTCCAGCTCCAGGGGAGAGAGAGAAAAAAAAAAAATCACATTTCCTCTGCCTTTTTGTTCTGTGGTGGCCTCAGTCAATTGACGATGTCCATCCATGTTGGGTGAAGGTGGTCTCCCTTATTCAGTTTGCTGGTGCAAATGCTTTACCCGCTATCTGGATACTCATCTTTTATTCCAGTCAAGTTGACAACTAAAATTTATCATCACAGATAAACCATGTGTATAGACATTGTTTTATTATTATTATTATTATACTTTGAGTTTTAGGGTACATGTGCAAAACGTGCAGGTTAGTTATATATGTATACATGTGCCATGTTGGTGTGCTGCACCCATTTACCCTTCATTTAACATTAGGTATATCTCCAAATGCTATCCCTCCCCCCTCCACCCACCCCACAACAGGCCCCAGTGTGTGATGTTCCCCTTCCTGTGTCCATGTGTTCTCATTGTTCAATTCCCACCTATCAATGAGAATATGCAGTGTTTGTTTTTTTGTCCTTGTGATAGTTTGCTGAGAATAATGGTTTCCCGCTTCATCTATGTCCCTACAAAGGACATGAACTCATCACTTTTTATGGCTGCATAGTATTCCATGGTGTACATGTGCCACATTTTCTTAATCCAGTCTATCATTGTTGGACATTTTGGTTGGTTCCAAGTCTTTGCTATTGTGAATAGTGCTGCAATAAACATATGGGTGCATGTGTCTTTATAGCAGCATGATTTATAATCCTTTGGGTATATACCCAGTAATGGGATGGCTGGGTCAAATGGTATTTCTAGTTCTAGATCCCTGAGGAATCACCACACAGACTTCCACAATAGTTGAACTAGTTTACAGTCCCACCAACAGTGTAAAAGTGTTTCTATTTCTCCACATCCTCTCCACCACCTGTTGTTTCCTGACTTTTTAATGAATGCCATTCTAACTGGTGTGAGATGGTATCTCATTGTGGTTTTGATTTGCATTTCTCTGAAGGCCAGTGATGATGAGCATTTTTTTCATGTGTCTTTTGGCTGCATAATTGTCTTCCTTTGAGAAGTGTCTGTTCATATCCTTCATCCACTTGTTGATGGGGTTGTTTGTTTTTTTCTTGTAAATTTGTTGGAATTCATTGTAGATTCTGGATATTAGCCCTTTGTCAGATGACTAGATTGCAAAAATTTTCTCTCATTCTGTAGGTTGCCTGTTCACTCTGATGGTAGTTACTTTTGCTGTGCAGAAGCTCTTTAGATTAATTAGATCCCATTTGTCAATTTTGGCTTTTGTTGCCATTGCTTTTGGAGTTTTAGACATGAAGTACTTGCCCATGCCCATGTCCTGAATGGTAATGCCTAGGTTTTCTTCTAGGGTTTTTATGGTTTTAGGTCTAACATTTAAGTCTTTAATCCATCTTCAATTAATTTTTGTGTAAGGTGTAAGGAAAGGATTCAGTTTCCGCTTTCTACTTATGGCTAGCCAGTTTTCCAAGCACCATTTATTAAATAGGGAATCCTTTCCCCATTGCTTGTTCTTGTCAGGTTTGTTAAAGATCAGATAGTTATAGATATGCGGCACTATTTCTGAGGCCTCTGTTCTGTTCCATTGGTCTATATCTCTGTTTTGGTACCAGTACCATGCTGTTTTGGTTACTGTAGCCTTGTAACATAGTTTGAAGTTGGGTAGCGTGATGTCTCCAGCTTCTTTTGGCTTAGGATTGACTTGACAATGCGGGCTGTTTTTTGGTTCCATATGAACTTTAAAGTAGTTTTTTCCAATTCTGTGAAGAAAGTCATTGGTAGCTTGATGGGGATGGCATTGAATGGATAAATTACCTTGGGCAGTATAGCCATTTTCACGATATTGATTCTTCCTACCCATGAACATGGAATGTTCTTCCATTTGTTTGTATCCTCTTTCATTTCATTGAGCAGTGGTTTGTAGTTCTCTTTGAAGAGGTCCTTCACATCCCTTGTAAGTTGGATTCCTAGGTATTTTATTCTCTTTGAAGCAATTGTGAATGGGAGTTCACTCATGATTTGGCTCTCTGTTTGTCTGTTATTGGTGTATAAGAATGCTTGTGATTTTTGTACCTTGATATTGTATCCTGAGACTTTGCTGAAGTTGCCTATCAGCTTAAGGAGATTTTGGGCTGAGACAATGGGGTTTTCTAGATATACAATCATGTCATCTGCAAACAGGGACTATTTGACTTCCTCTTTTCCTAATTAAATATCCTTTATTTCCTTCTCCTGCCTGATTGCCCTGGCCAGAACTTCCAACAGTATGTTGAATAGGAGTGGTGAGAGAGGGTATCCCTGTCTTGTGCCAGTTTTCAAAGGGAATGCTTCCAGTTTTTGCCCATTCAGTATGATATTGGCTGTGGTTTTGTCATAGATAGCTCTTATTATTTTGAGATATGTCCCATCAATACCTAATTTATTGAGAGCTTTTAGCATGAAGCGTCATTGAATTTTGTCAAAGGCCTTTTCTGCATCTATTGAGATAATCATGTAGTTTTTGTCTTTGGCTCTGTTTATATGCTGGATTACAATTATTGATTTGCATATATTGAACCAGCCTTGCATCCCAGGGATGAAGCCCACTTGATCATGGTGGATAAGCTTTTTGATGTGCTGCTGTATTCGGTTTGCCAGTATTTTATTGAGGATTTTTGCATGGATGTTCATCAGGGATATTGATCTAAAATTCTCTTTTTTTGTTGTGTCTCTGCCAGACTTTGGTATCAGGATGATGCTGGCCTCGTAAAATGAGTTAGGGAGGATTCCCTCTTTTTCTATTGATTAGAATATTGTCAGAAGGAATGGTACTAGCTCCTCCTTGTACCTCTGGTAGAATTCAGCTGTGAATCCATCTGGTCCTGGACTTTTTTTGGTTGGTAAGCTATTGATTATTGCCTCAATTTCAGCTCCTGTTATTGGACTATTCAGAGATTCAACTTCTTCCTGGTTTAGTCTTGGAAGGGTGTTAAGTGTTGAGGAATTTCTCCATTTCTTCTAGATTTTCTAGTTTATTTGTGTAGAGATGTTTATAGTATTCTCTGATGGTAGTTTGTATTTCTGTGGGATCGGTGGTGATATGCCCTTTATCATTTTTTATTGCATCTATTTGATTCTTCTCTCTTTTCTTCTTTATTAGTCTTGCTAGCAGTCTATCAATTTTGTTGATCTTTTCAAAAAATCAGCTCCTGGATTTATTGATTTTTTGAAGGGTTTTTTGTGTCTCTATTTCCTTCGGTTCTGCTCTGATCTTAGTTATTTCTTGCCTTCTGCTAGCTTTTGAATGTTTGCTCTTGCTCCCTTCGTTCTTTTGATTGTGATGTTGATGTATGATTTCATTCATTTAAGAATTACTTACTAGAAATCTAACATATATACATATATATATGTATATATATATTTCACTGGGTCTTGTACTCAAGAGGATATAATACTTAACAATTTCCTAATAATTAGAGTATTTTATCAGTGGAACTGGATTATTCTGTAGTAACAAAATTGTAGTAACAAAATATCAGTTATTTAAAACACAAAGTTTTATTTCTTGTGATCATATTACAGAGTCAGCTGTAGATACTATTCTATATTATCATAGGGCTACACCCTAGGGCACAGGCTGACATAACAGCCACACTTTCAATATCTCTGGTCACTGTGTCAGAAGGAAAAAAAATCAAACCAAATAAAATCACCTCCAAAGGATAATGTATCTACGACAGTCACAAACTAAGTCATGTGTGGGTACTAGAAAGATAAGAAAATAGAAGGAAGTGATGGGCGTGGTGGCTCACGCCCGTAGTCCTAGCACTTTGGGAGACCGAGGCAGTCAGATCACCTGAGGTCAGGAGTTCCAGACCGGCCTGACCAACTTGGTGAAACACTGTCTCTACTAAAAATATAAAAATTAGCCAGGTGTGGTGGCATGCGCCTGTAATCCCAGCTGCTCAGGAGGCTGAGGCATGAGAATCGCTTGAATCCATGAGGCGGAGGTTGCAGTGAACCAGGATCACAGTACTGCACTCCAGACTGGGCAACAGAGTGAGACTCCATCTCAAAAAAAAAAAAAGAAGAATACCTTTTACAAGGCCTTTGGAAAATGAGATAATGAGATGTCAAATTCCTAGCACACTTGAAAGGTGTGACATTTAAGAATTCAGTGAAATAAAATCTTAGTGGTTGCCAATCTATGTCTAGAAGCAGAGTGAAAATTTATTCATTTGAAGATATTGAAAATAACTGAGGTGGAACAATATGAAAGGACACCTGCTGATTTAAGCCAAAGTCTGGTGTAATTAGAATAATCTCACAGCTCTATTTAAATAGCCAAGTTTCATGGCTTATGAAGCATTGCTAACTGAATACAAGAATGTTTGTTTTTTAGGTTGCTCTGCGTAATGGAATGAGTAAAATATAACACACAGGAATTGATTGGCTATTAATTTATGTTATCCCTACAAATAATTTTGCTGTATAGATTTTATTAAAGGAAACTATTAGTATATGCTCTTTGGTGAAACAGACTTGCTGGGACATCAGACTGAAATTCAGTCTAGAGAGATCCTACTGCAGAAACTTGAATTGCCCCAAAACCAACTTTGCAGCCTGGACAATGAGTCAATCAAAATAATGTACTTTTGCCCCTTCTTTTTGATAAGCCTGGCTGAAGGGGAGAATGAGGATGAACAGCTGTTTTTGTGAAAATTTAATGCAGTCATCTACTTGAACATTCTACCAGGCAAAAATTCCAGTTGTCGTAACACATGACGAGGTACTATCAAAACATAACAAGAAATAAATTAATATCAAATCCTTGCTTTTGTGTGTGCTCTGGCTAAAAACTACTTCCTATAAAATGGATAACAGGTATAAGAATGTGAAGTACTCTAAAATATTTCTCCCAAAACTAAAGGTGCCAAGAAGAGCAGGGGCAATAAATAAGTAAATGTATTTCCTGAATGGTCAATTTTCTATCAAAAAAAACCGTTTTATTTCTTTTTAAACTCTGTCTGTTAGACTCCTGAACTAACTTCCATTCAAACTGAGATACTCTTTCACATGACTATTGGATATAAACCTCTGTCTGTAATAAAACTACTAATTATCTACCCGTAAGGGAATACAACCATTCAGGAAAGATGTCTTCATTTAAGATCCAAACAAACCTTTTCTTCATTCCTTCTCCCAACATGCAATGGGCAGTGTCAAAAATTTTAAATAAACACATACCAGTGCACTTCTACAAACATTTTCCAATGATATATTTTTAAAGATTGCTTTGGAAGCTAGGTTACCATGGAAACAGGGATCTGTTGACTCATTAAGTAGGAAGCATGTATTGAGGGTTTCTATAGTTTTGGAAAATTCTTTTACATGACCTTGGGAACACAATCTAAACATTGACATGGAACAGTTCAGGGTCAAGTGGACTGATGGGATGCAACTTGATGCAGTGGGCCAACACAATAATGGAGACATCTAACAAATTCAACAACTACAACAAGCAGTTACTTAAGATCATTTTTAAATTTATTTGAATGAAGTTATCTTCTCATTTCCATGTCTGCTAAAAACCCTGCACTATATCTGGCCATTATGATGTAAAGATGGTGAAGAAATATATGAAAAGGAAAAACATATTATTTAATATATAACAATTCCTTTAAATGTGCAGAAGATCAGGCATATGAAAATCAAAATTCCCAAAAGCAAATGGTAAAATTGACGTAATATTTTTGCTACCAAGTTACATGTATTTTGAGAGACGAAGGTGTCAGTATAAATGAAGATAATAGCAGAGGTTCAGAGAATGACAGCTGTCCAATAAATAGTTGTTAAAGTACATTGAATAAAACCTCTCCTATGTATATATGACTCCTCTGTAAGGGAAAGTTCTTACCATAAGCATGAATATTCATGGAATGATGTCTACCTAAATTTCAGGAATGACAGGACACCTGAGATAAAGGTAATTGAATCAAATACTGAAATAATTTTAAGTTATCCAAAGTTCATGTGTAAGCTTCAAAAGATTGAAAATATTATATAGTTAAGCCTGTATTGCTTTAGGAATTAATCTTTCCTATATTATTAGATTTTCTTTAGAAATATAACTAATATGAATTTTAGTTTAACTTGGATTAAGAAGTATAATTCTTCAACTTAGTAATTTTTTTATGTTTTCCAATACAAAAGTATAAATACGTTTTATAAATAAAGAAAATCATTGCTATTCATATTTTAATTCTACATATTTATGCATTTTTAGAAATATATTTTCTATATATTTTTATATCCCATGAATCATTTATATATATTATCAATCAATGTTGATTCTTTATTGCTCCGATTACATTTGAATGTGCATTAAGTCAACTATAAAACTCACAATCATACACTAAAGTCATTCAAACCATCTTGATTCAGGAAAACAAGTAATATGCTCGGTTTCCCCACACTTTTACTCATATCTTTACAGACTGTGATATGTTAATATAAGTGACTCTTTATAAGTAAATAAGTAAATTTGATGTATCAAACTACTGTGACAGACTATATCACAGATAAAAGGACAATGACTGTGGAGTTAGATCTTGATTCAAAACCCAATCTTCCACTGGAAGGTTACATGACTTCTCTGAATAAAGATATCATCATCTATAAAAAGAATATCACAGTAATAAGAGCTTATACAATTTATTGCCTACTATATACTGGGCATCATCATAAAAAATCACTTATATTAACTCATTTAACCCTTGCAAGAACCCTTTGGGATGGGTATTGTATAATCCTCTCTATTTTATAAAGACACAGGCACAAGGACCCTAATTAGCATAAGGTTCATCAGGGAGCATGGTGAGACAAAGATTTGAACTCAGGAGTGTGGCTATTTTACTTATTTTAGCTTAGGTTTGTGAAGAATCTACACACATGTATAGTGCTTGCAGTTACTAAGGATTCAAAGATGCTAAGTCTCAAGGAAGCATAAAGCCTAATGTATTTGAATAAAATAATGCAAGTTATATACCCTTGCATTATGAAAAAAAGAAAAGAAGAAAGGAAGAAAAGAAAAGAGAGGAAGAACAAAAAGAAGGAAGAAGGAAGGAAGGCAGACAACTTAGAAATAAATAACTTAAAAAATTCATATAACTTGAAATTATGCAATCTAAATTTCATGGCATATTGTTATTAATGGACAATTTTATGTAGAAAGGTTTTTTTAATAATATAAATTTTATACTTTCTCCCTTCAACAATTTCCTGGGTAGTACAATAGATTTTGTGTTATTGTTCCAGCTCACTGCTCTATAAAAGATAATTTTACATCCTTGCCCTTCAGACATTATTCACAATGTTTTGTTTCCTCAACTTAGAATTTGGTTTGGCCACAGGATTTTCTTTGGTTAAGAAAATATATATTATCATGGTAAATGCCATTCCCAAACAGTGCTTTCAATTCATTTGAATGGGTTGGCTAGGGTCCCTGTATATTCCCCCTCCCTCTAAAAGAGCGCATCCGGAGATAGGTTTCTGCTTCAGCCTGGTCCTGTAGGGAGAAGAAATGTGGAGGCAAAGCCACAACCTGGTGGAAATGACTCACAGGCAACATGTAGCTTGAGTGAGAAATTAATGTTCACTGGTGACAACAACAAAGATTTGGAGGGTTGCCTGTTATGCAACATAGCCCAGCAAAAATTACTAATGCATCATGGCAATTATCCAATTATTATAACCTTGCTTAAAACTTATGTGTTTTATTATGATGTAGCTCTATGTTCATGTATTTTCTATGGCCATTATTTCAGACATTTTCCTCACAAGTAGCACTTGAGGCTTCTTCATGAAAAGTATAGATTATAGAGACTATATTCTGCTTCATTATGTATGGACTGGGTCCTAGTATCTTAAATTTTAACAAAAATCCCACAACTTTCTGATATATGTGTTTTGAGAACATGATTTTGAGAAGAAAAATGACTGTCATTCTATTAGTTCTCATGAGAACATTTACTTCTGTAAAATTGCTGTGCTTTGTAAATGCAAAATAAAGTTGATCCTGAAAATAATACATATTTTCTTAAATCAGCATTAACTGTGATTATCATAGGTTTGATAGTATTAGTAGAAATTTCAGAACTTAATTTTGCATATATTATATTTTAAAAACTGCTCAAAAATAAATAATATAGGAAGCTAATATCTTCAGCTCCATCCAATCCTTCTTTAATTTTACTTTCCTTTTGGAAGCCACTAATAACATTTGAGTGAATCCTGTTCCCTCAGACATTCTACGCATAATAAAAATCAGTATCTCTTGCTTCAAATATTGCTTTACACTATACTAACTCTGTATATCTATCTATCTATCTATCATCTATCTATCATCTATCTGTCTATTATGTATCATCTATTTATCTATCTGCCTTACGTCTTCGTCATCATCATCATTATTATGTGTCGTTCACTCTACCTACTCTTCTGAAACTTTTTTTTAATTATGAAGAATAATACTCTAGACACAGTTTTATAGTTTACTGTGCTCATTTAATAATATATTTTGGATGTTTTTCCACATTAGTATATCCAGAAAATACCTTATTTTTAAAAGTACCAATATGGAAATATCTTCTGTGAATATTTAGTAATTAGTTCAACCAAACGCCTATTGATAAGACGTGTGATTTACATATTTCATTACTACAAATATCACTGAATTATACACACATATACTTATGGAGTGCTTTTATTTTGAAGAAGAGATAAGTAAATGTTAGTTTTCTATACTATGTATTTCTCGTTTTTGTACAGCAACAGATTTAGCATGTGAAAGGTCACTATGTTTATAACACTCTCTTGGCAAATAATGGTTCAAGATAAGAGGGCTTGCTACTTGAAAAAGAAATTTAAACACTGACTCAATGGATATATGTGTAATATCTCTTACTATGATGAGCTTTTCTTTGTGATGTAAAGGTAAATATATAGCAATCATGCAAATATAGCTGCTTTTTCATTACAATATTAGCCTATTCAAGCTTCGATGCAAAAATCCTCAATAAAATACTGGCAAACCGAATACAGCAGCACATCAAAAAGCTTATCCACCATGAGCAAGTGGGCTTCATCCATGGGATGCAAGGCTGGTTCAACCTATGCAAATCAATAAATGTAATCCAGCATATAAAGAGAACCAATGACAAAAACCACATGATTATCTCAATAGATGCAGAAAAGGCCTTTGACAAAATTCAACAGCCCTTCATGCTAAAAACTCTCGATAAATTAGATATTGATGGGACGTACCTTCAAAAAAATAAGAGCAATTTATGACAAACCCACAGCCAATATCATACTGAATGGACAAAAACTGGAAGCATTCCCTTTGAAAACTGGCACAAGACAAGGATGCCCTCCCTCACCACTCCTATTCAACATACTGTTGGAAGTTCTGGCCAGGACAATCAGGCAGGAGAAAGAAATAAAGGGTATTCAATTAGGAAAAGAGGAAGTCAAATAGTCCCTGTTTGCAGATGACATGATTGTATATCTAGAAAACCCCATTGTCTCAGCCCAAAATCTCCTTAAGCTGATAGGCAACTTCAGCAAAGTCTCAGGATACAAAATCAATGTGCAAAAATCACAAGCATTCTTATACACCAATAACAGACAAACAGAGAGCCAAATCATGAGTGAACTCCCATTCACAATTGCTTCAAAGAGAATAAAATACCTAGGAATCCAACTTACAAGGGAAGTGAAGGACCTCTTCAAGGAGAACTACAAACCACTGCTCAATGAAATAAAAGAGGATACAAACAAATGGAAGAACATTCCATGCTCATGGATAGGAAGAATCAATATTGTGAAAATGGCCATACTGCTGAGGTAATTTATCCATTCAATGCCATCCCCATCAAGCTACCAATGACTTTCTTCACAGAATTGGAAAAAACTACTTTAAAGTTCATATGGAATCAAAAAAGAGCCCGCATCGCCGAGTCAATCCTAAGCCCAAAGAACAAAGCTGGAGGCATTACGCTACCCGACTTCAAACTATACTACAAGGCCACAGTAACCAAAACAGCATAGTACTGGTACCAAAACAGAGATATAGACCAATGGAACAGAACAGAGCCCTCAGAAATAATGCTGCATATCTACAACTATCTGATCTTTAACAAACCTGACAAGAACAAGAAATGGGGAAACGATTCCCTATTTGACAAATGGTGCTGGGAAATCTGGCTAGCCGTATGTAGAAAGCTGAAACTGCATCCCTTCCTTACACCTTATACAAAAATTATTTCAAGATGGATTAAACTCTTAAATGTTAGACCTAAAACCATAAAAAACCTAGAAGAAAACCTAGGCAATACCATTCAGGACATAGACATGGGCAAGGACTTCATGTCTAAAACACCAAAAGCAATGGAGGGCAACAAAAGCCAAAATTGACAAATGGGATCTAATTAAACTAAAGAGTTTCTTCACAGGAAAAGAAACTACCATCAGAGTGAACAGGCAACCTACAGAATGGGAGAAATTTTTTGCCATCTACTCATCTGACAAAGGGCTGATATCCAGAATCTACAAAGAACTCAAACAAATTTACAAGAAAAAAACAACCTCATCAACAAGTGGGTGAAGGATATGAACAGACACTTCTCAAAAGAAGACATTTATGCAGCCAACAGACACATGAAAAAAATGCTCATCATCACTGGCCTTCAGAGAAATGCAAATCAAAACCATACTGAGATACCATCTCACACCGGTTAGAATGGTGATCATTAAAAAGTCAGGAAACAACAGGTGCTGGAGTGGATGTGGAGAAATAGGAACACTTTTACACTGTTGGTGGGACTGTAAACTGGTTCAACCATTGTGGAAGACAGTGTGGGATTCCTCAGGGATCTAGAACTAGAAATACCATTTGACCCAGCCATCCCATTACTGGGTATATACCCAAAGGATTATAAATCATGCTGCTATAAAGACACATGCACACGTATGTTTATTGTGGCACTATTCACAATAGCAAAGACCTGGAACCAACTCAAATGTCCAACAATGATAGACTGGATTAAGAAAATGCACATATACCCCATGGAACACTATGCAGCCATAAAAAATGATGAGTTCATGTCCTTTGTAGGGACATGGATGAAGCTGGAAACCTTCATTCTCAGCAAACTATCGCAACGACAAAAAACCAAACATCACGTGTTCTCACTCATAGGTGGGAATTGAACAGGAGGGTCCTTGGACATGAGAAGGGGAACATCACACACCAGGGCTTGTTGTGGGGTGGGTGGAGGGGGGAGGGATAGCATTAGCAGATATACCTAATGTAAATGACGAGTTAATGGGTGTAGCACACCAACATGGCACGTGTATACATATGTAACAAACCTGCACGTTGTGCACATGTACCCTAGAACTTAAAGTATAATAATAATAAAAAATAAATAAATAATCAAAATATTATATATTTAAGTATGTATAGCTTCAGGAATTAATCCTTCCTATATTATTAGATTTGATTTAGAAATATGATTAGTATGAATTTTAGTTTAACTTGGATTAAAAAGTATATTTTTAATTTAGTAATATTTTCATGTTTGTAGATACAATAATGTAAATATGTTTATTTGTTTTATAAATAAAAATATTGCTATTTATATTTTAATTCTATGTTCTTTACACATTTTTTGCTGAGATTATCTTTAATAAAAATGAGACTTAATAGTAACCTCTGTAATCCATTCTCGCAATAAAAATCTCATTGCTGTTTTTTCTTCCTCTTTTTTATAGGTTCTGAATGTATTTTTGATAAGCTTCACTCACAGTTTCTTGCATGCATTAGTGGCTTAAGAATTTTTTTTAAATTTCTGCAGTAAACATATCCCAGCACATTGACTTACAGTCTGCTTATATTTAGGCAATCACCTAAACTTTATTATTTGGCAAGGTTTATTTTTTTCCTTATTTTGATTGATTGTTTTATTGGTATTTTTATTCCTTAGATTTTTCTCTGGTTTTCTTTATATTAATATATAAAAGCATAAAATATGTGCTTTTAAAATATGTAATATGAAGTTTTTTTTCTGATTACCTGGTGTTTAGATATTTTATGACAGCCTATTACTATAAGTCAGATACTTGAATGTAAAAGAGTAGCAGTTAATGTAATGTTTTGTTTTTCTGAGAGAAAAAGAGTACAGATTTAAATAAACCTTAGTACACTATTTTAGCAGTCTTATCTATTTTTTTCTTTCCCTATTTTTCAGTTTTATTTATATAGAGTAGAATTATTATTCTTTCATCACACATAAAATCCTAGGAGGGAATCCTCTGGCTTTTCTCTCTATCCTCCTCTTAAAAGTCATCCCAAGCATGGGAAGTGTGGTTTGTTCAGATGTGAATAACTTTATCTCACATTTTACTAGTGAGTGGGAATTTAATTTTTATGTTTTCTTTAATCTACATTTCCTCAAGAAGAATAGAACAAATACTTGTCTGCTTCTTAATATTCTGATTATTTTAAATGTATGCCTCTGAATTGCTTGTCACTTTGTTGTAAAATCACCAAGTATGTTTCGCTTTGGAGTTGGGGCCCTCTCTCTCTCTCCCTACTTTTTTGTCTATTACTGTGTGTAAAAGAGTAAGCTAGTGGCTCCACGGTAGACCAATGTGATTCTGAATCTGGCAGGAGGCAGGTGGTAACACACTTCCCCATGGGTTGAAAGTTTTTTTTGGTGACTTTCTGGAGTTAACTGGCCACTAATAATGCTGACTGTTTCATTTTGAAGGAGAGGTATGTCTTGGCACCCTGAATTCCTAACATTTTCATTCCTATAGAACCTGAGGTCTTCATAGTCTCCATCAGGAAACAATAGATTGAGTTTATTCTTTCATTGTGTTATTCAAAACCACAGCATAGTTGGCTTCATTACTTAGCACACCTAAACACTGAGATGAATGTCTAAATTGCGCATAGCAGACACCAGTTACTTAATAATTGAATGCAAATTACATAGGAGAATAGTGTATTGTCATATCTGTATAGAGAAAATAAAGTGTTAAGGAAGAAAACATATATTTTATTCCTTTATTGTCTTCCAAATATCTTCCAAATATTTATCTTCCAAATATTTACTATTTCCAAAATTGTCAGTATGGGGCGACACAACTCCTTAAGTCATTTTGTTGTTTGCAAATATTTTGCTTTCTAGGTATGTGGGCTTGTGTGTATGTGCTATAACGTTTTTCTCTACTTCCATTAATGAATGTAAATAAAATGTGGCAGGGGATGTAGATTTTCTGACCTTAGTTTGAAGAATGTCAATGTAGGGTTTAATAATCTATATCTAAGTTGTGTTTTTTTCTACTCAGACGATTAGAAATTCAAGCCACCTTAGATATTGTCTAATCTATTTCTTACTGAGATCTGGATAAGTTAAATCGCCACAAATAAAGCAAATCTGGGCAGAGGACTACAACTGTCTGCTACACATCTGGAACAGCATACTGAAGCAGTTTCTCCTGACTTCCAAGTAAAATACTATGGAAGACAAAGAGAAAAAGACCCAAACTCAAAATATAAATAGAAGCGAATGCTTAAAGACAAATTATTTCTAAAATATAAATGGAGCTTCCACTAAATTATGAGTCATCATTTTTTTCTATGAACAGGGACAGAGAGTAGATATTTTAGACTTGCAGACTATGTGATCTCTGCCACAACTTCTTATCTTATAGCCATTGGTCATTGCAGATCAAACATGGCCATGAATAAGCAGGGCTGTGTTCCAATATATACGAAAAACAAGAAGTGGGCCAGATTTGACCTGAAGGCTGAATTTGAGCCATGGGATCTATTTTGCTGGCCTGTGCTAAGTATGATGTCCACTGTATTAAGTGAACTAATCAGAGACATATTTATATTTCATCTCAAGCATCAAAATATTCACAACCAGTCAGAACGGAAGAATTGGAACATAAGTCTTCTTTCATCTTAGTCCCGTGTGTCAGAAATGTTCTCAGGTTCAGCCAAACAGTTCAGAGAAGATGGAATTGAGGATGTTTATTCCCTTGACTTCCTCCCTGCTGCTTAGGCACGGGTTGCCTGCTTTGTTTATGGTAGGCCATGATTCCTAGTGGAAAACTCTCTCCTTACAGGCATCATCTCTGTCTGCTAATAATCATTCCTTCCTACTGGACCTTCAGACATTGGTATAGTAATAGCTCCCTACATTTGTTAGCCCTGAGGTGGTAATACACTATTCCTTATTAGATTTTCTAGTCCTGTTTCAACTTTATAGTCTCATTATAAGTCTTATAAATTATCTAGTAGAAACTACTAATCCTGAATTCTGTCTAGATGTTGACTGATATAAAGAAAGAAAAGATTCATTTATTTTTGTCTTAGCATCTGAAAAGAAATCAGTATATCCCTAAGGCCAGCATTGTCATTACCTTACCTATTCCCAGACTTTCTTATTGGTATCCTCATTGTAGGCTTGGTAACTTCATGCAAACCAGACTGCAGCATGGATCAAGATGCCTATGTCTTGTACACCTAGAAGCAGCAGTGTTGAATACTTCCTCTGCTTAAGAACAGGCTATATTAGCTTCTCCTCACTTTCAATGTCCTTGCTAAATCAAGGGCTCTTGTTTTATTAGCATGCTTTCTGCAAAGGAAGAATGTAGTTGCATTGCGGGTAGAAATTGTCAGAAAAATAGAAATAGTTATTGCTGATCATCCTTACTATTTAACCATATGTTAGGTGAGAACCCTGTCCATTACACACAATTCACAGAGTATGAACATTTTCTAAACTCAACTTGACTATTTGAAATGAAATATTAATGATAATAGTTTGATTAAAATAATTTAAATATCTGTAACAAAATTAAAAATGTAGAACACCAGAACAAAAGGAGTAAACTAGAAAATGATCCTGAGTAAACTAGATCATATTGCCAACTATCCACACAGCATTATTCAGAATCTCTGTCTTCATTTGCTAAGTTTCAGGTTTTAGAAAATTATTTGACCCAAATTTTAAAATTTATGTATTTTTACCTTATTATCTGCAGTAATGTCAATGTTTTCATTACTAATTTTGGTATTTTTAGAATTCTTTTTTCCCCTATTATTCTTGTTGGGGTTTATTAGTTTTTTCATTCCTTTTTAAACTTAAATTTAATGATTTTCTAACCCAAACCTTCTGTCATGATGTTTTTCTACTTCCTTTGAGTTTAATTTCCTGACTTTTTTAACTTTTTGATATAGGTGCTGAGATTATTCATTTAGCAGGAGGAATCAAACAAGAAAAATAAATAAAAGTCATCCAAATTGGAAAGGAAAAAGTGAAATTATCCTTGTTTGCAAGGATATGATCTTATATTTGGAGCAACCTAAAGATTCCACCAAGAAATTATTGGAATTGATAAACAAATTCAATAAAGTTACAGGATACAAAATAAACATTAAATATCAGTAACATTGGCCAGGCACAGTGGCTCATGCCTGTAATCCCAGCTTTTTGGGAGGCCAAGTTGGGCGGATCACAAGGTCAGGAGATGGAGCCCATCCTGGCTAATGCGGTGAAACCCTGTCTCTACTAAAAACACAAAAAAAAATTAGCCAAGCTTGGTGGCATGTGCCTGTAGTCCCAGCTATTCAGGAGGCTAAGGCAGGAGAAT
This sequence comes from Homo sapiens, assembly GCF_000001405.40. Lineage (NCBI taxonomy): Eukaryota > Metazoa > Chordata > Mammalia > Primates > Hominidae > Homo > Homo sapiens. The sequence goes on along the minus strand of NC_000004.12, from coordinate 45,768,242 downwards.
TGCTTGAACCCGGGAGGCGGTGTTTGCAGTGAGTCAAGATCGCGCCACTGCACTCCAGAATGGGCGACAGAGCGAGACTCTGTCTCAAAAAAAAAACACACACACACACAAAAAAAAAAAAACACAAAAAAAATCAGTAGCACCTCTATATGCCAACAGCGAATAATCTAAAAAAGTAATCAAGAAAGTGACTCATTTAAAAGAGCTACAAATAAAATAAAATACATAGGAATAAACTTAACCAAAGAAGTAAAGGTCTCTACAATAAGATCTATAAAATATTGATTCAAGAAGTTGAAGAGGACACAAACAAAAAAAAAAGATATTCCATGTTCATGGATTGAAAGAATCGATATTGTTAAAATGTTCATACTACCAAAGCAATATACAGATTCAACGCAATCCCTATCAAAATGTTAATGACATTCTTAACAGAAATATAAAAAAATTCTAAAATTTGTATAGAACCTCAACTCATTTTGTAATATATACATTTAAATCTATAGTTCTAAACACTACTACATATATTAGTGTGTGTATATATATGTGTTATATTTTTATTGTTTGGTTTCAGCATGTTTTCTACTTTACATTTTATGACTTTTAAACCTATATGTTAATTAGACATCTACTAAATAATTTCCAAAATATTTGACAATTTTCTATTAATATATAGTTTGTACTGTTTCTGGCATAGTTACCTTAAAGTCAGAGAACACACTGTATGACTTCAAATTCTTGGACATTTGTTGAAGCTTGATACATCCGAGATTTTTAGTCATTTTACTAAATTTATGTGTGTACTTTTTAAAAAACAGATGTATTATACAGTGTTTGGTTCTAAGTTTTATATACAGCAACTAGAACAATTTAGTGAACCATGTTTTCTAATTACCTGTAATCTTTTAAAAATAGTTTAAAAAATCTATTACTTGAAGAATCTATCTTTTACAAATCTGTTACTTGAAGAATATCTTAATTTTACAATATGCCTGTAGGTGTGTCTATTTTTTTATTCTTGTTCTTTAAAATATTCCTTTATACATTTTGAGGTGTTTTTTAAATAAAATGGGATTATTATGTCTATTTTAAATAAAATGGGCTTCTTATGTGTATATGTATATATATATACACACACACACACACACACACAAACACACATACGATTGACTCTTCAGCAACACAGGGTAAGAAACTTTGACCTGCACAGTCAAAACTCTGAGTATAACTTTTCACTCCGTAAAACTTAACTACTAACTGCCTACTGCCTACTGCCAGAAGTTTTACTAATAACATAAAGCCAATTAACATATATATTGCATGTTATGTATTTGTATGTATTATATATCACTTTTTTTTTTTTTTTTTGAGACAAAGTTACGCTCTTATCACCCAGGGTGAAGTGAAGCAGCAGGACCTTGGCTCACTGCAATCTCTGCCTCCCAGGTTGAAATGATTCTCCTGCCTCAGCCTCCCAAGTAGCTCGGATTACAGAAGCTCACCACCATGCTTGGCTATTTTTTGTATTTTTAGTAGAGACAGGGTTTCACCATGTTGGCCAGGCTGGTCTCAAACTCCTGACTTCAGGAGATCCACCTGTCTCGGCCTCCGAAAGTTCTGGAATTACAGGCATGAGTCACCACGCCTGGCCTATATACCACGTTTAGATTACAGCAAGGTAACGCTATTCATGTTGTTAAAATGTTAAGAAAATTATAAGGAAGATAAAATATAGTTTCTATACATTAAACGGAAATGGATCATCATAAAGGTCTTTATCTTCATCTTCTTCACACTGAGCAGACTGAGGAGGAGGAGAAAGAAGTTGGTCTTGTTGACTCAGGGGTTGATCATGTTGATTCTTTCATAGGTGGAAGAGGTAGGGGAGTTGAAAGGCAAGGCAGGAGAGGCAGGCACACTTGATATAAATTTATTGATTAAAAAAAAATCCCCTTAGAAGTGGACACACGTTTCAAACACATATTGTTCAAGGGTCAATTGTTACTTATCTTATGATATAGCTTGTTCTAATTACATAAAATACATATATATATTTATATATATTTATTTATATATTTACTTAAAAATACCAAGTTGTTTTTGATTGTCATATTTGTAGATGAGAAATTGTAGTGAGAATTTAATGCTCTGTATATTATTTATATATTATTTTTTCCCGAGGAAGAGTTTTCTTTTGCTTTTGGCAAGGAATTTTATTTGAGGGAGAACATATAACTACAACCAGAGCTTAAAATGACCTGAAGCTCTTTCACCCTCTCAAGAGAACCGATTTTTTTCTGAATTATTCTTATTTCTAGGATATAGAAATTCTGACTGCCAAACTGAAATTTTGGGTGTTCACTAGGGATTTTCTTCCTTGTGGTCTCTCAACTTAAACTGTTGTTCCTTAGTTCTACAACTGTTCCGGAAGCTCTGTTTACCTTCTGAACCACTTAACTGTCATTTTCTCCTTAGCCTCTCAACCTCTCAGCTACTACTTTTGACATCAGCAATTACCCACAAGGGGAAAGCAAGACATAATTTAAGATTTACTACTTTGATCTTTACTTCTGCATTCTGGATCTATAAATCATTGCTTCCTTGGGAATTCTTTGTGGCCTTAAAGGTAATGTTATTTCATTTTGTCACTTTTTATAGGTACTTCAAGTAAGAAATTTGATCCAAAACAATCTAGTACAATATTTTCAGGTATTTTATTGTAACACAGGGATACCTAGGGTGGTATTTAATTATCTGTAAGCATGAGCACTAACCAAGACAAACAGACGGAGAGGTAACACAAAACAGGGTATTGGAGGCCCCTCCCAGGCCAGGCATTACTTTTTTAACTTTAGATTTTTTAGGTGTGATTGGGCATATTCAAGGTGATATAGCCATAGACATAACTTTATATCTTTCAATCCCAAGAGAAGGATTAAAAAAGCCATATGGTCAAGAGCCATCCTTGAGAGTCTTGAGTTAGTGGCTAGTTAAAAACAACATATATGGAAATGTTTTAACATTTTAACATTAGGTGATATACTTGGGTATACCTGCTGAATATCAGCTCTTGTGAATATTTACACCCAACTGACTCAGTTGAAGTACAAGAGGATCCTTTCTTTTTTAAAAGCAAAAGATTATGATCAATGACTATCTCTCACCTTATAATTTTTGAGTTATCAAGAAATATAACTAAATAAAATGTTTAAGAATGCATTTTTGTCCCAGGTAGTTCCAGAGCAATGTTTTTTTCCCAGATAGTTTCAGAGCAATTCTTTTTTTTTTTTTAATGTGGACTCTTCCAAATTGTATGTAACCATTTTCTCAGAAGAAATGAATACAGAGAGTTTTTGTCATTTCTCACAGCAAATTTGGAATCCTAAAGTCATTGTGAGCTTTAATTTTGTGCTTAGAAGCACAGCAAGCTATAATATGAGTAAGGATATGGTTACTTCTTTCATGACAATCATGTTCAATGGGTGACACACCTCTAAATCTGTTATGAAATCAACACTAAATAGTGGAAGTCATATGGTTTGGCTGTATCCCCACCCAAATCTCACCTTGAATTGTAACTCCAACAATTCCCAGGTGTCATGGGAGGAACCTGATGGGAGGTGATTGAATTATGGGGTAGGGTCTCTCCTGTGCTGTTCTCATGATAGTGAATGAGTCTCATGAGATCTGATGGTTTTTAAATGGAAAGTTTCCCTGCATAAGCTCTTCTCTTGTCTGCTGCCATGTGAGACATGACTTTTGCCTTCTGCCATGATCGTGAGGCCTCCTAGCGACGTGGAACTGTCAGTCCAATAAAATTCTTTCTTTTTTAAATTGCCCAGTTTTGGGTGTGTCTTTATCAGCAGCGTGAAAACAGACTAATACAATAAATTGGTGCCAGTAGAGTGGGGCACTGCTGAAAAGATACCTGAAAATGTGGAAGTGACTTTGGAACTGGGTAACAGGTAGAGGCTGGAACAGTTTGGAGGGCTCAGAAGGAGACAGGAAAATGTGGGAAAGTTTGGAACTTCCTAGAGACTTGCTGAATGGCTTTGACAAAAATATTGATAGTGATATGAACAATAAGGTCTATGCTGAGGTGGTCTCAGATGGAGATGAGGAACTTTTTGGGAATTGGAGCAAAGACGACTCTTGTTATGTTTTAGCAAAGCGACTGGTGGCATTTTGACCCTGCCTTAAGATTTGTGGAACTTTGAACTTGAGAGAGATGATTTAGGGTTTCTGGTGGAAGAAATTTCTAAACAGCAAAGCATTCAAGAGGTGACTTGGATACTGTTAAAGGCATTCAGTTTTATAAGGGAAGCAGAGCATAAAAGTTTGGAAAATTTGCACCCTGACAATATGATGTAAAATAAAATCTCATTTTCTGAGGAGAAATTGAAGCTGCTGCAGAAATTTGCATAAGTAACCAGGAGCCAAATGTCAATCCCCAAGACAATGGGAAAAATGACTCCAGGGCATGTCAGAGGTCTTCACAGCAGGCCCTCCCATCACAAGCCCAGAGGCCTGGGAGAAAATGGTTTTGTGGGCCAGGCCCAGGGTCCCCATGCTTGGCATCCTAGCCACTCCAGCTGCGACTAAAAGGGACCAAGGTACAGCTTGGGCTGTTGCTTCAGAGGGTGGAAGCCCCAAGCCTTGGCAGCTTCCATAAGGTATTGAGCCTGCAGGTACACAGAAGTCAAGAATTGAGGTTTGGGAACCTCCGCCTAGATTTCAGAAGATGTATGGACATGCCTGGATGCGCAGGGAAAAGTTTACTGCAGGAGCGGGGCCATCACGGAGAACCTCTGCTAGGGCAGTGCAAAAGAGGAAATGTGGGGTTGGAGCCCCCACACAGAGTCCCTACTGGGGCACCACCTAGTGGAGCTATGAGAAGGGGGACACTGTCCTCCAGACTCCAGAATGTTAGGTCCACCAACAGCTTGCATTGTGCACCTGGAAAAGCTACAGACACTGAACACCATTCCATGAAAGCAGCTGGGAGGGAGGAAGTACTCTGCAAAGCCACAGGGGCGAAGCTCCCCAAGACCATCAGAATCCACCTCTTGCATCAGTGTGACCCAGATTCGAGACATGGTGTCAAAGGAGATCATTGGGGAGCTTTAAGATTTGACTGCCCTGCTGGATTTCGGACTTGCATGGGACCTGTAGACCCTTTGTTTTGGTCAATTTCTCCCATTTGAAATGGCTGTATTTACCCAATGCCTGTACCCCCATTGTATCTAAGAAGTAACAAGTTTGCTTTTGATTTTACAGGGTCATAGGTGGAAGGGACTTTCTTGTCTCAGATGAGACATTGGACTGTGCACTTTTGAGTTACGGCCGAAATGAGTTAAGACTTTGGGGGACTGTTGTGAATGTATGATTGGTTTTGAAATGTGAGGACAAGAGAATTGGGAGGGGCCAGGAGCAGAATGATATGGTTTGGCTCTGTCCCCACCCAAATCTCATCTTGAATTGTAACTCCCCCAATTCCCACATGTTGTGGGAGGAACCCAGTGATTGAATTATGGGGCAGGTCTCTCCTGCACTGTTCTCATTAGTGAATGAGTCTCACGAGGTCTGATGGTTTTAAAAAGGGGAGATTCCCTGCACAAGCTCTTCTCTTGTCTGCTGCCATGTGAGACATGCCATTCACCTCAACCATGATTGTGAGGCCTCCCCAGCCACGTGGAACTGTAACTCCAATAAACTTCTTTCTTTAGTAAATTGCCCAGTCTCAAGTATGTCTTTATCAGCAGCATGAAAACATACTAATACAGAAAATGTATCAAGAAGTTACATGTGTACTTTGTGTTAGGTGTGTCAGTTTAAGAAGAGACCTTGAGGGTCAATATCGACTACCATCATTTTCAATTATACATAAGTAAACATAACACATCTCAAAGCTATAATTATCATTGTATTAACATAAATTTGTGATTGTTCCAGTTTATATTTTAATTTAGCAATCGCTTAGGTGGGTCTGTGATTTCCTGTTTTGGCATTACTATCAATATAAATCAACTTGACTTACACAGTTTGGTAAGTATATTAAAGATATGCTCTCAAAACTCTATTATAATACTGATAGCATCAGGAGATAGACAAATGCCTAGTCAGATAGAGGCGGGTACCCAGTGAAACCCCACCTCTAAGCCAAAGATAGTTTAAAGCCTGAAAGCCAAGCTACAAGTCAAATCCACAGACCAGATTGAGAATCTGTCTTCCTGTTTGGCAAGAATTCCTCTGATTGATCCCCACCCTTCACCTATTTTACGTATACCTACCCTTTCCTAATTGGTTTTTCTGTACTACCATGCCCACCTTTGAGCGGTGCCTTTTCTTTAGCCTTTCTTTGCATACTCATAAACCAATCAGCATGTCTCTATTCTGAGCCCATGAAAGCCCCAGACTCAGCCACACTGAAGGAAAAACCACTCTTTTGTGGGGGTGGGGCACCATGCCCATGAGAACTGTTTCGTAGTTCAATAAAATTATTCTCCGCCCTCTTCATTCTTTTATTGTCAGCATATTTTCATTCTTCTTGGTTGCAGGACAAGAGCTCAGGATCCACCAAATGTGGGTACAGAGAAGGCTGTAACATCGTGCCCTTGTGCCCACTGCCAGTGGAGGGCAGCTGCCCCACATGACAGAAATGGCAGGGGGATGAGCCAGCCCCAAAGCTGGGGGCCAAGGCAAGGCAAGGGTGTTGCCAGCTAAGTGTCTCCAGCTGGTAAAAGTGATTGAGAAAAATCCTGCTTCAATACGATACCACAATTCTACTTTTATATTTTTGCCTTTCCCCTCCCTTCCTTCTTTCCCTCCTTCCTTCCTTTCTCTCTCTCTCTCTTTCTCTCCTTCCTTCTTTCCCTCCCTCCCTCCCTCCTTCCTTCCTTCTTTCCTTCCTTCCTTCTTTCCTTCCTTCCTTCCTACCTTCTCTCTTTCTTTCTTTTAGATATGATCTCACTTTGTCCCCCAGGCTGGAACACAGTGGCAGGCAATCATTGCTCACTGCAGCCTTGACCTTTTGGGCCCATGGGATCCTGCTGTCTCAGCCTTTCAAGTAGCTGACTCCACAGGTGTGTGCCAGCATGCCTGGCTAATTTATTTATTTTTTTGTAAAGATGGGGTCTTACTATTTTTTCCAGGCTTTTCTTGAACTACTGGGATAAAACAATCCTCCCATCATGGCCTCCCAAAGTCCTGGGACTACCGGCATGAGCCACTGCACCCAGACATCTACTATTTTCAAATACTCTTAATGAGAAAACAATAATGAAAAGAAAGATAAGGCTAGATAAGTTTTCTTTTTCTTTCCTTTTTTACTGACTTTTTTTTTTTTATAAAAGAGCACTTGACATCTTTGTTGCACAAACACATCTAAACAAAACTAATGGCTTTAAAGATTACCTCATTTCAAACTAAATTTAATTGGAAACATAAATAAAAATACTTCCTGAAATATACATCTAATTTCCTCTTTGGATAAAGGCCCATATATGTTTTTCCATCCATAAAATTTCCAACTCCTTTGTCGCTTAGTATCTAAGAAAAAACACAGATTACCAATGCATATATATTGATGTATGTTTATGTGTGTGTGTGTATATATATATATATATGATTGTGTGTGTGTATATATATATATGATTGTGTGCATACATATGTATATATGTATGTGTGCATATGTATATATATATGTGTGTGTGTAATATCTATCTCTCTATATATAAAAGCACTCAGTACAATAAGAAAGAATGATTTAGGAATACAACCAGAAACACATTATTAATTATTCTGGATGCTGAACAAGTAGAAAGGTTGAACCTAAAATGATATTGGAATAACTTCAGAAAATCAGTTTTCTAAATCATTGCATAATGTAAGTGAATGTATCTGCATATTAAAATAGATTTCCCTTCTTAATATATTTAGAAGTAAAATTTAATTATCTTATAAAATATGTAATTTTATTTTAAAAATATTAATGGTTTTTAACTTTCTGGCTTTCCTATGCAAAAATATTTTATTCTCTAACTATATGTGAAGCTAAATAAAAGTGCAATTTGGCAAAGATAGATATTGTATTGAAGTGCATTCGACTGCATTTAAACAATATTGCCTGCAAAGATGATCACAGTTTGTTAAAATAATGAGAGCTAATCAATATAATAATCAAGTTTACATATTATTTTGTCCTTACAAAAAATAGTTCTCATGTTTTACTTTTTCCTCTAAAATCATCTTTATTATTTTTGTCATACTTGCCAGGAATAATTATCATCACTGTAATGAATAAAATGCTATGCAGCCTCACAGTTGGTTAATTAAATAGGTAAAGCAAGAAAAATACTTGAAAGGAGAACTAGGGAACATTAGAAAATTTATTTAAAATTATACTAGCAAGCTTGCCTTTTATGATCAGTGTGTGTGTGTGTGTGTGTGTGTGTGTGTGTGTGTGGTATAGTAACTGTACATGTTAGTGTATCTGATAAAAAGAAAAGAGAAAAATAGATTAAGAAGGTAATTGTTTTAAGGGGTGACTGCTTATGAATTTTCAAACTCATTTTGTTTTAGATTATGCCACACCTTTCACATTCTGTCTGATTTTCAATCACTAATATTTCAAGGACAAACGAAGAAAAATTGAGAATAAAAAGTGGTATTTAACCTGGCTACCTTCTAAAGAACGATTACTTTAATCAAATCTTGGTATTAAAAAGCAGCATACTGTATGAAAGGAATATTTGCCTAAGAATTTAGAGATATAATCCATATTCCTAACATTGATACTCTCCTGTTTTGTGAATTTGTGTGAATAACCTCATCACCCTGATTTTCATTTCACCAAATAGATAGATAGACGGATATATAGGCAGACAGATAAATATAGATATATAGGCAGATGATTGATAGATGATAGATAGATAGATAGATAGATAGATAGATAGATAGATACATCGATCTAAGACTCAATGTTTGGTACTTTTTATAGCATAAAGAATGTGGAGGTTGGAGTTAGAACTGATTTTAGAATTCAGATTTCAGTGATTGACATAAGCACATCTAAATTCATGAGTGTAATAAAAATATAATAGTGTAAAATATAAAGACTGAAATCAGATTAGGTCCAAAAGCTGATTCAAGCAATGAATTCTTGAAGGCTAACGTGATGAAACCATTAATCTAAAGTGATTCTAATACACAGAAGATATTTTACTCTGAATCTTTAAAAATCTGACTTCTCAAATAAGAGTTATATATTCATTGATGACATAAAAGAAGGACAGAGCTGTAAGAATTTGTGATTTCATAAAATGTTTACCTGTTCTTCCACCCCAGAACACAGATGTGTGATAAGGTTACCCTACTTTAGAGGGTTAGAAGGTGAGTAGGGTGTAACTGGTGGAACAATTCATGTAAAGGTGCCATGTGGCAGCCAAGTGACTCTTGTTGTGTTGATCATGGAATATAGAGCAAAGAACGGATGAAAATGATTCTTAAATGTATGCTCGAGGTGCTGATCTGAAGGATGCTAGATTCCCATCTAAAAGCATGATAAATGAGATACTGAATGAAGAATCACTGAAAACATTGTAAAAGAGAATGAAATGACTAGTACTGTTGTTTAACAGTGTGAGGAATTTTCTGGGAGTGATAGAATAAATGGATGACAGAAAGGTGTACATTCACTGAAATTTGCCTGTCCAACATCTAGTCTCCTGTATAGCAATTTACTTTGTGAAAGTACCTCCACCACTCTCAGTCAATGTATTTAGTCCAGAGTTAGTTCACAGAAGTTCAGCGCCACCGCAGAATATGCCACTCTGGCATAAAGATTATTTTGATGCTCTTGACAAAAAGCAGACACATGACATTTCTGCCATCCTTCTATTTACCTGGAAACGAAACCTAAATTCCTCTCCTGAAGTTATCTTCCCTGTCTGCCCTCTAACTTTGCATGCCAGGAATGGGATAACAACCTTTTCACCAGAAGTGAGATGGTACTAAGGAAATCTACCCAAACAAACTTTACTAACTAGCCCTTATCTACCATTAGTATCTTCATAGATTAATGCCTTCTAACAATTTGCCACCCCTTGAAGCTAAAAATCCTTTTCCTTCATCTTGTTAATTCTCTAAAAAAAAAAAATCGTTCTTAAGATGCTTCATAAGCCTAAGTTTTAAATACTCATTTGACATTTTTATCACTGAGTAATCCTGTGTGTATGTAAGATGCACATGTTGATAAACTTGTTTGTTTTTCTTTAGTTAATTTGTCTTTTATCAGGGCTCCAGGCAGTTAACCTAGAATGGGTAGAGGCAAAAATAATTTTTTCCTTTTCTACATCGCAGATCATTTTATACTGGGTCTGTGACTCAAGGTCAATCTGTTCTATAGTTAGAGTTCTAGGAACGAATCGAGACAACGTAAGCAGAAACATTTGTTGCCTGGACAGAATGAAACATTACAAAAAAAAAAATGGGAAGAGAGAAAAGAATTAAAACTAGTCCTGAATATATTGTTTGAACTGCTGCTTCCACTAGAAGAAGCAATTAAGTATCTCGTTAAAAAGAAGTTCAGTTTGGGTTGGTCCTGCCACTTTTTTTTTTTTTTTTTTTTTTTTTTTGAGACGGGATCTCCCACTGTTGCCCAAGCTGGAGTGCAGTGGCATGATCTTGGCTCACTGAAACCTCCGCCTTCTAGGTTCAAGCAGTTCTCCTGCCATAGCCTCCCAAGTAGCTGGGATTACAGGCACCCGCCACCACGCCCGGCTAATTTTTTGTATTTTTAGTAGAGACGAGGTTTCACTATGTTGGCCAGGCTGGTCTCGAACGCCTCACCTCATTATCCACCTGCCTCGGCCTCCCAAATTGCTGAGTTAGAGGCGTGAGCCACCACGCCTGGCCGGTCCTGCCACTTTTAACAAAGATGTCTGACTAATATAGAAGTCCAATGTATAGTCTGATATAAAGACAATTCTAGCTATAACTCCTAATAACACTATGGCATTTTAATATTTAAAAGTCAGCAGTGCATCAAATTTTGAGCCAACTGAGAATGTTCTTTTCAGGAGACATATTATCTGTTAGTCAATCACCTGTGGTTCCAATAAAGGGATAGCTTCACATAACCAATAATCTCAAAGGCATATAGGAACTGTTATTCCTTTGTATGTATATAGTAAGTCAAAGTGTATCATTTTCTTACCTGTAGTTATCTGAATTCTTTCTTTGACCTCTTATTCAGGTACCCTAGTGTTATCTCCTCACAAGATAGAGTATATTCAAATATTGTTAGGAGCTTTACGAATATGCCATTTTTTGGAAGATAATCTGTACTTGTTTTATATATCATGGTAATTTTTACTTTTTTGTATACAAAATGAAGACCCAGTATAGATATTCAAAACCAGAAGCCACACTCAGTTTGAACTCTAGCTCCTTCTGGATTGCTGTGTCACTGTGGGCAAGTTAGTTAATGCCTCTGGAACACCTTTTTTTTTTTTTTTTTTTTTTTTAGGTGAAGTCTCACTCTGTCGCCCAGGCCGGAGTGTAGTGAAATGATCTGGGTTCACTACAACCTCTGCTTCCTGGGTTCAAGCAATTCTCCTGCTTCAGCCTCCCAAGTAGCTGGGATTACAGGTACGTGCCGCCACACCTGACTCATTTTTGTATTTTCTGTAGAGATGGAATTTCGCCATGTAGGCCAGGCTAGCCTTGAACACCTGACCTCAAGTGATCCACCTGCCTCGGCCTCCCAAAGTGCTGGGATTACAGGCGTGAGCCACAGCGCCTGACTGGACCTCATCCTTATTATCTGTAAGATGTATTATAAAAGAATCTGTTTAATGTATCTATTCTGAGAAACTAACCTGTAAACAATTGAAAGGAACTTAGCACAGAATCTAAAATATGCTTAGAGGTCAATAAATTTTAGCTATTAAAAAACCATATTCTTTGTGTCTAAAGATGTTCTTAAAAGAGTTATTCACAGTAAAAACACTAAACACTGTTATCAACAAGGACATTTTACAGTAAATGCTTCTATTTAAGGTGATCTTATGAAGCCTCTAAAAATGTTAAATATAAGAACAGAAAATTAAAATAGAAATCTTTATATAATCATGGATTATTTCAAAACAATTTTTATTAGAATATATCCACATGAACATACACAGACATAAATACAATGAAGTAAAATGAATGTACATAAGATTGATGTTGGAAAAGGCATCAAAATAAATAAAAATAATTGTTAGATTACTGTGGTGGTTTTAAGTGTGAACTTTACTCTTTTTAAAATGTCTTTTGTTAATATTTTAAACATGTTTTGCTGTCATAGTAAGTAAATACTTGCTTTTTCATGAATAAGTATTCTCTGGGCTGAATGCTGGTTTCCCAAAAAATTCATTTGTTGAATCCCAACCCTCAAGGTGATATTAGGAAGTGGGGCCTTCGGAAGTTGATTAGGTGGTGAGTGCAGAACCCTCATGGTTGTGATTAGTGTCCTTATAAGAGACTGCAGAGAGCTAGCTAGCCACTCCCACCATGTGAGGACATGATACAAACCAAGAAGTGGGCCCTCATTGAATCTGCTGGATCCTTGATTTTGTACTTCTCAGTCTCCAGAACTGTGAAAATTTTTGTTGTTTATCAGCTGCCCAGTCTTTGGTGTTTTGGTATTGCAGACTGAACAGACTGATACAAGTACCAGGTAACATGTTTTTAAAGTCAATGACTTTGTCTAGATCAGTTAATTATTTGTGTTCCTGTGTGTCTATGTTATAGGTCATCCATAGACTTAATTAAAAAGAAGTTAGCTGCTTGTCCTGAATATCTAGGTGTTCAATTTCAGTAACTCTAAAATCCAAAGCAAAGCAGCAAACCAATAAACAAACTAAAAAACATGGTATTTCCCATAAGGATCCTTCTCTGTCAAGCTCTAATATACCTAATCTTTCTCCAATTGTATTTTGGATTATCTTTGCAGGGATGTATCTTGAAAAAGGAAATTAATACCAAAACATGCATAGTTAGATGACTTCTCAAGTTAACATTTTTAAACATTTTAATTATGAGGTAATAATTTTCTTATTTCCTAAACTCCATTTAAAAGCACATTAATCCTTTAATTTTCAGGTATTGTGGAATAACTAAGGGTCACAGTCAATATCTAATTAAAATCTCTAACTCATGTTATAATTTCTCTGTAACAGATGAAATAAATGAAGTGGATGGTAAAATAGCTCCCATAGTGACAAGTCACATGGCATATTTCTTTTTGCCTGGTTCTGTGTGCTTGTTTTACATTTTCCCCTTCCCTAACAGTTATTCTTTCTCTATTTCTCCTCATCTAAACTATTTTACTTATTTTTTTTTAATTCTGTAGACTTCTTCACAAGAAATGGTAAAATTCTTGTGACAGGTGAAGCACTTGTGGTTTCAGGGGAAGAGGTGCTCGTGGAAAAATTATGGAGTTAATTTTCTTAATTACACTATCATATGCACATATTCATATTTTAGAGCATGCTTCTTTTTTAGGTAAATGCTTGAACAATACTTCTTGTCGTCCTCTGTATATTCATGCCAACACACAAGAGCTCAGTTTGATCTTCAGGTATCATAACACCAATTTCTATGTCTTCTAATTGCCTGGAGGTCAAGTTGTGCAGACTTATCCCTAAGCTTTTGTACAATCTTACAATTTATATTTAAAGATTCTCCCCCCAACCCATTCTGATGAGTCTTATCACTTTTCCCCATGAATATATTTATTACGTGTCTCCATCTTTGCACCTCCTTTAGTGTGATTCACCCTGAGCATTTGTGGACGTTATTTTTAATGACGAGCTAAATTGCCACTTCTCTAATGAAGTCAGTGTGTCTTCATTCACAAGATAGATTTGATCTTTCTGTCCTTTAAATTCTTATGTACTTTGAGAGAGATGGGGACTGGAATATTAGAAATAGATGGAACTTAATAATAGATTAGTCAGGTAAAGTCAGTTAACGTGTGTGAATTAGGGGCAATCCGAAATACTCCATACAGGAAATTATATTTGACACATATAGGTAACAGATATAGGTGGTCAAATTATAAGACAAAGGATAAAAATAAATGCTTTTGCATTTCCTGTCCTCCTATTTTAATTTGACAATGAAGTTAAAAGTAGAATAATGGCTTAAAATACTTAATATATTTGTTACTCTGCATTCTCATCTTTGACAATATGTCACACCTAATCATTAAATTAGATAACTAATTATGATTGTATAGTGATTAGTACAGTGATATATTTTTGAGTTAAAGGAAACAGGGAAATTTTTCTGGAGATGCCTATTTTCCTATATTATGGTAAGAGAACACATAGAGACCAAACCAATTACCTATCATTATTCATCTAAATAACAAAAATACAAATAACCAAATTTTAAAAGGGGCAGAAAATCTGGATAGACATGTCTCCAAAAGAGCTATAAAAATAGATAATAAGCATATGAAAAGATGGTGATATAATCAATTATCAGGAAAATGCAACTCAGAACCACAGTGAGATACCAAATCGCACCCACTAGAATAGCTACAATCAGAAAGTCAGATAATGACAAGTACAAGTAAGAATTTGATTACATCAATCAGAAGCCTCATACACTGTTGGTGGGAATAAAAATGATGTAATTATTTGGGAGAAAGTCCGGCAGCCCTCAAACAATTAAATACAGAGTCACTATATAATCATATGTTTTAAAAATTACATTCTGTTCCCTCTGATACTAAACTCATGAACGATTTCCAAAGAACCTGATCTTTGTGAGGCAATATATTCAGAATAATTGGTGAAAACAGTTATGGCAAGTTATCAGAAATGCTTATGTTCTTTTGTAATGTGGTTTTCTAGCAACTTAATGAACTGGAACCTGAAAAATCCATTGGCTAGATTAACTTCTTATTGCTGCATGAGTTGTAATAGGAAAAAGCCATCAGACATAGATATTTCATGATCTGGGGAAAATAGATCTGTAAGTGAATCAGAACTGAGGTTGGTTCGAGCCAATCATAACAAAATGGATTCCTAATTTTGTTCCATTGTAGAAAAGATGAAAAAAGGAACAGAAATCACATTTAAATATCCCATTGACTTACACAATTTTGCCTCCTAGTCTCATGTAGTTCATGGCAATCTGCCACTGATTCCTTTACAATATTGTTCAGATCTTCTATAACTCAGTATTAGCCTTCCCCATTCATTAAAGCACCGCTGCAATAGAACCCTTTTGACCCTTCTTGCAGCCCTCGTTCTCTCTTATCCATTCTAAATAGCTCCGTGTGAATGTTCCTCAAGTGTCAATTTATCTGCTGAATTTCCATCCACTCTTATTAAAGCTTCGTATAAGGCCTTTCAAAGTTTCAGAGACTTTATCTTCATCTCCTTCTGCACCTTGGCGTACAAAGATAATACAGACCTAAGATATCTCCATTTAACTATTTGAAAATAATACATAAGACGTGTCTGCTTTCTTTCATTCAGATCTGTATCTGAATCCCTTAAAACAAGGCTTAACTGATTTTTTAAATATACTTGGCCTAACAAAAATTGATAGCGGTGTGTCCAAAACTACTAGCGTGATAAAAGTTCAGGACCATTATATCTTCACTCAGGATTTTAACATTTATTAATGTAAAATGATCCTTGTTTCATATGCCATTTTTGGCCTGAAAGACTACTGACTACTTCAATGGGTGTTAAAATTGCAGTCCTGCTTAAATTTAGGCATGCTTACTCATATCTATTTTTCTTAGGCGCCAATGCCATAGCAATTTTTATTCATATTTTTTTCTCAGTCCTTATAAACATTTTAATTGGAGTTTCAAAGAAGGTAAAACTGCTACTGTCTACTTGCCAAAGTCTGAACTCAGAAATCACCCCATATGTTACCCACTTCGGTATATAGTTTTAATTCGTTTCTCTAACTCTCCACAAATTTTCAGGTTTTATATAAAAATGTCAAATCTACTATGCATTTCTCTTCTTTACAGAGCATATAATTCATCATAACTTACCAGAGGAAAAATGCACTTAAAAATACTTGTCAGAAAATGTAAACTCAAGTTGTCTGCATTCCAAGACCTATCAAATGCTTAAAGTAGAGAAGCTATATTTAGAGAAGGTCACGCAAAGGTGAAGAGTCCTTTCATACTCTGTATTCCAAGGCTTATTTTCCAATTAATGTGCAATGCTGAACATTAGTAAATATGTTCATATTCAATGTCAGGTTCACACAAAAATTAGTATAGATCCTCATAGAATCACTGTAGAGAAATCATATTTAATGGTGAGATCTTCATTTTCTTTGATGATTACATGGAATGAAAATAATAAACCACATTTTGACTTGACTAGTTTTATTTCCAAAGGCTATGCCTATAAGTTATGTGAGAAAATGTTTCTCAATAAAAATCAGAAAATTCATTTATATCCAATCCTATTAAAATTTTGTTTTCCCAGAGATTTTCATTTTTTTTAATAGAAATCTCTAACATTCAATTTCCCTCTTTTTTTCCTGGTTATCAGTAAGTTTATAACCCAATTGTATGCTTGACTATTGTGCTGGAGAGGGAATATGTGGGTAGTGAGTGTTGAAAGTTCCAGAGACCAAGCTGAGGAAGGCTCTCTGAGCATTAGTTATTTGCTTGCTTCACCTGTGAGCAAATAGAATTAAAATCTGTCAGATGAACAAACAGAATCGAAATGCAGCACTTAGAAAGCATGGCAGAGTAAAGCTATTAACCATCCCCATTATATAATTTTAAGAGAGGGAATAGAAGAAATGTATGATGTGATCTGAAGTCTTTTATCTTGAACTCTGTCCAGAAAAATGTTTTCATTTCTACTGCATTGTAATAACTCTGTTGGAGAACAGAAGAAACTCTTTTCTTAAAAATCAAAATTAAAGGGGAAAATTGTAGTTGTGTGTCATCAGTGTCAATCGTCTTGCTATAGAAGGAGACAGGTCCTACTGAGTGCTTTTGTCCCCTCCAACACTCATGTTAAAATTCAATTCCCAATGCAATAATGCTGAAAGGTGGGGCCTAATGGGAAGTGTTTAGGTCATGAAGGCTCTACCCTCAAAAATGTGGATAGGATTTATGAGGATATGTGGATAGAGCACTCCCACAAGCCCGTTTTATAATGCAACTATAAAAAGGGCTTGTGGGAGTGGGTTTATTTGATTCTGCTCTTCTACCATTTGGGGATTCAGCACTTGTCTCTCTCTTGCTTGTCTGCCTTCTGCCATGTGAGGACACAGTAAGAAAGCCCACACCAGATGCTGTTGTCTTGATCTCGGTCTTCTCAGTTTCCAGAATTTTGAGAGAATAAATTTCTGTACTTCATAAAGTACTCAATCTGTGGTATTCTGTTATAGCAGCACAAAATGGATTAAGACAGCTACCATAAGGGAGGAGAACACTATATCCTAGCCACAGAGATCTTTCTGTGTGTACCTTCTAATAAAGTTTTATGTTCAATTCTCTCAGAACTCAGAACTCTTTAAATCTTGCAAGTAGTAAGCTAAAAGCAAATCCTGATAACATATTAGTACTTAAATTTATTTTGTGCTAGATAAAATTTCTCATTGGGGTTTGAAATGTCCAGCCAATGACTGATTAAAAAAATCATTTTAATTAATTTGTTAATGTTGAATAATTTTGAAGCTTACCCATTTGTGAATACCTAGCTCATTGTTAAGATGAAGTTTATTAATTATTCTTCTTTACTATTATATTTTTGTTTTCATGAATTTTTACAACATAACATAGTAAAATAAACTGCTTTGAAATCCAAGGAGAAAATGTATATTTTTTATTAGTTTGGAAAAGTAATTATGGACAACATTAAGCAATACTTATATTTGTGAATGGCAAGCCATAGAACAAGGTCATGGAAATAGAAACTGGTTAAATGTAGCATATTAAAGCATTAAAAAGGACATAAAGTATGTTGAACATGAAGGGAACTATGTCCAAGGAATCATGTTTATTTGAAAGTCTTTAACAGTGTTTTGGTGCTTCTTGGCTACAGCTTTAAAAGGTGGCCATAAAAAATATAAATCAGCTCTCTATTTATGAACAAGCCCAAAATACCTAAAAAACAGGTAAAATCACTTCTAACAGAAATTAACAAATTTTAAAGCTCATGTATCAGCTTTAAAACTGGATGTTCTAAAATAACATATTGTTATAATATAAAAAGTATTTTTGAAAAAGATTTAAAATTAAAATGGATCAGGAAAATTTGGGACATTTTCAAACCCAGCAATTTTGTTTTCTGAGACATTGGCTAGAATTCTAGTATAAGCAGGAGTAGAGACTCATGTTCTATCTCCAATCAAGATTCATTTATCACTTTTCCCCAGAACTTTACTTCAAGAATTCAGTGATTTACAAACTATTTATATATTATTTCATATTCACTGAATAATTAAAATCAGAAATATGAAGAATGGGCCCTAAGAGCAATATTACCCAAGACTACATAATAGGTGAGTCATTTTAAAAAATCAAGATCATACCACACTGCTATAACCACATGATATTTGACAAACCTGACACACACAAGCAATGGGGAAAAGATTCCCTTTTTAATAAATGGTGTTGGGAAAACAGGCTAGCCATATGCAGAAAACTGAAACTGGATCCCTTCCTTATGCCTTTTACAAAAATCAACTCAAGATGCATCAAAGACTTAAACATAAGACATAGGAACATAAAAATCCTAGAAGAAAACCTGGACAATACCATCCAGGATGTAGGCATGGGCAAAGACTTCATGTCTAAAACACCAAAAGCAATGGCAACAAAAACCAAAATTGACAAATGGGATCTAAGTAAAGTAAAGAGCTTCTGCACAGCCAAAGAAACTATCATCAGAGTGAACAGGCAACCTACAGAATGGGAGAAAATTTTTGCAATCTATCTATCTGACAAAGGGCTAATACCCAGAATCTACAAAGAACTTAAACAAATTTACAAGAAAAAACAAACAACCCCATCAAAAAGTGGGCAAAGGATATGAAGAGACACTTCTCAAAAGAAGACACTTATGCAGCCAACAGACATATGAAAAAACGCTCATCATCAGTG
Source organism: Homo sapiens (assembly GCF_000001405.40). Lineage (NCBI taxonomy): Eukaryota > Metazoa > Chordata > Mammalia > Primates > Hominidae > Homo > Homo sapiens. Next base: position 45,749,092 of record NC_000004.12, on the reverse strand, counting down.
GTCATCAGAGAAATGCAAATCAAAACCGCAATGAGATACCATCTCACACCAGTTAGAATGGCAATCATTAAAAAGTCAGAAAACAACAGATGCTGTAAAGGATGTGGAAAAATAGGAATGCTTTTACACTGTTGGTGGGAGTGTAAATTAGTTCAACCATTGTGGAAGACAGTGTGGTGATTCTTCAAGGATCTAGAACTGGAAATACCATTTGACCCAGCAATCCCATTACTGGGTATACAGCCAAAGGATTATAAATCATTCTACAATAAAGACACATGCACACATATGTTTATTGAGGCACTATGCACAATAGCAAAGACTTGGAACAAACTCAAATGTCTATTGATGATAGACTGGATTGAGAAAATATAGTACATATACACCATGGAATGCTATGCAGCCATAAAATGGATGAGTTAATGTCCTTTGGCAGGACATGGATGAAGCTGGAAACCACCATTCTCAGCCAACTATCACAAAAATCAGAAAACCAAACACTGCATGTTTTCACACATAAGTGGGAGTTAAACAATGAGAACACTTGGACACAAGGGTGGGGGGGGATTATCACACACTGGGGCCTGTTAGGGGGTGGGGAGCTAGGGGAGGAATAGCATTAGGAGAAATACCTAATGTAGGTGATGGGCTGATGGGTGCAGCAAACCACCAGGGCACGTGTATACCTGTGTGATAAAACTGCACCTTCTGCACATGTAGCCCAGAACTTAAAGTATGTATGTATATGTAAAAAAAATCCAGAACATAACATAAAAGTAGTGTCCAGACAATCAGTGATGAAAGATTGAGAAGTAAAAGTACTTCAGTCAAATCAGTTCATATTAAATTCGTGGCAGAGATTAACAAAGTGGATTAGGAAAAAAAAAGATCTAACTACATGCTGTGTACCAAAAAACAACAACAAACAAACCTCACTTCAAATGATACAAATAATGCTGATGCACATCTAAATTTGCTAAACTAAACAAATATTAGAACCATGGCTAAAATTTATCATCTTACTGGGTGATAGTTACATACCAGTTTATTATATTTATATTGTTTATTGATTACCCTTAAAAGTGTAATATGCATACTTAGAGGAAAAAGTATGACTATATCTCCCTTTAGAATCTTAAAGCACTTTAATATCTCTCATTCTTATTCTGTCTTATGGTTGACATTTCCCAACATTTTGGTTAGTTCTATCTTTTTTCGTCCAAACACAGAGACACCATCATTAGTTTTATACAGTAAACATTTGCTTATAATTGTATTTATAATTGTTTCCTTTTAATTTTTGCACTTCATATTTCTTCAGGAATCATTTTTATCTTCTTGAAGTATGTTCTTTAACAGTTATTTTAGTGGAGCTTATTACCAGTAAATTCCATTAGTTTTTATTCCATATAAAATACCATATTTTACTTTTATTCCAGAAACAGCATAAAGATGGGGATAAAGTTTAGTGTGAGAATTCTCTTCTTTCTTAAACTTTTGATGCAATTATTCTTCTAGCTTTCACTGTTGCATTTGAATTTTTTGTATTGGTTTGTTTGTTATTATTTGTAAATAACTAATTTATATGTTCTAGATACTTTAAGATATCTTTGATTTTGGCATTCAGTAATTATGTTATTATGTGGCTTACAATACATTTTGTTTCATTTTTATTGCTTAGCATCTATTAAGTTTCTGAAACTGTAAATTAAAGTCTTCCATCATTTGGGAAAAAATGTTCCTTCAAATATTGCCTTTTCACAATCTTTCTATTCTCTTATTCTAGGACTCTGATTTCATGAATAATCGACCTTTTCTAGCCTCTCTATCATGTATCTTCTATTTTATATTTCATATCACTTTGACTTTATGTCATGAATTCTGAGAAATTCTTTAAATGTAACTTTTATTTTGTTAATTCTCTGTGGACTGCTGCTTAAAATATCAGTAGTTCCCCTGCTTTCCTATAAGGCTTATGTTTTTATTGAAGTTACATGTTCTTAAATCTGTCTTTTCTTTTTCTGGATTTTGATTCTACCTTTTATATCGTGATATAAAATGATATAATGATATATTTCATATTTTCCACCCAATATTTCTAATATTGTAGTTAGGAATTAGCTCTAATTTAAAAAATATAAAAATAAAAATAAATTGAAATAAATTGAAAAATAAAAAAAGAATTGAACCAAAACAGATTCCTCAAGTTTAACCTCAGGATCTCAGAAATTCTAAATATTTTACACTATATCCCATATCTACTTAATTAATTATAAATTTAAAAAATCAAAATAATTTTTTTACCATTTTCTCACAATGAAATGTGATTATGTATTCTGCATGTATAACTGATACTAAAATACTTTGTCAACACTGATAGAGTGAGACCTCTTATCATAAACTGTTTAAATTATTGATCTGTGCTATTTGATATTCTAACCATAAATAAATATGTATATATTAATTTATATAATTATACAATATATAATATATACACATATATATGTGTGTATATATAGAGAGAGAGAGGGAGAGAGAAAGAGAGTGTATGTGTGTTGGACAGTAGTCTCCAAGATCACCCCTAGGTTTGATGTCTTGTTAAGAGGACTCATAGGACTCTGCATATATTTGTATTCATGGCTATGCGTGGCTATGACATGTTATTACGAAAAATATAAAACGAAGTCAGTAAAAGGAAAAGGCACATACAGCAAAATCCAGAGGAAGCGAGGTCGAAACTTTCAAGAGTCCTCTGTGATTTGAGTCACATAGGATGTGCTTAACTGTTCCAGCAACCACCTGTGACAACATATATTAAATATTGTCTACCAGGGAAACTCATTAGAAACTCAGCCCTACGTTTTCCGTGGGGGCTATTCACATAGGCACCCTTTGCGTAGCATATACCAAATTTCTAGGCTCCCAGACAGGAAAGTAGATATACAGCATAAAACCACATTTTTGTACAAATCAGTTAGGCAGAGTGAGCCACTCTTAGTTCTGAGAATAGTGCGAATGTGCCCATTATTCAAGTTTCCAGACACCAGAAAAGGCCAACTTTGAAAACAAGCTTTTCTCAGGACAGCAGTCTTAGGCCTGTGGTATTAACTATTTTCTGCATCATGTGTATGCATGTCTTCTATATTCTCTTTACTTTTATTTGACTGAGAAAAGAATAAGAACAATTTCATGCACTGTGAGAACGACATCTACAAAACCACTGAATATATACCCATATGTTCTCTCTTCCCTCGTGCTACTCCAGATGGACAATCTATGTTTCTCTGTAAAGCCAACTTCTCTGCCTGTGGATTATATTCCACCTATTTCCATTCTCTTCTCTCATAAATATGTACATTCTGTAATATCGCTATATAAAAAAAGTAATACTGGGTAAATATAATAATAAGAATCCTATTACCAAACCATCTTTATCATTAGACTATATTCCACAAGATTTTTTTTTTTATTTGGTTGTCTTGGCCAAAAGGGATTTCCTTATTTTGAAAGATTTACACTCAGTTCCTTAAAAAGTTAACACTTGTATTTTAAAAATGCAATTGAAATGTTAAAAAAAGAATATTTTATCGGAGTAATTCTTGAAATTTGAATGCTCTCTATATATACTGTCTACTTCAAACCTTTAAAATGACAAAGAATTGAGATCAAGTCATGAATCTGCCATCAAGTCACAAAATTTCTAAACCTGGTGAAGACATTTAACTTCCCTAAGGTTTAAATCCTGTAAAATAAAAAAACAAACAAATATTTTTTCTAAAAATTATCTATTGTGTACATGTTTGCAAATGTGTTTTTAAATAAGCATGTGTTCTCTATTATTTCCATAGACTTTGGAATATCAGGTTTTTGCTCAATTTTCTTCTGCTGCTATGTACATTTTTTTACAAGCATAGCATCTTTCATAGCTAAAGGATGATGGAAAGAACCACAGAAATATTAAAATCCTTATGTAGGCTTTTGTATTAAAATAACTCTGCCCCTTGCCAAGCATTCTGCTCATTCAGCTTTTAGCCATTAGCTTTGAAGGACACATAAGAAATCCTTGAATAAATTTTGTTTTTACCTCTGCTAACACCATCTGCTAGAGCTTTTCATTTGTATGAGCATTTGGGTAAATGGTCTTTTTATTCTCATGTATTGTGCTTGTAGTAAAGAACATTTTCAATATAGGTGTCCTGTGGATAATGAATATTAGGTGACTTTTCCTATATTTGTTTTTTCTCAGAAAGTTAGGCTCTGTTACTACTGCTACATGGGTTTGTTGTACATATACACCATGGAAAACTATTCAGCCATAAAAAGAACGAGATTATGCCCTTTGGAGGGACATGGATGGAGCTGGAAGCCATCATCCTCGGTAAACTAATGCAGGAACAGAAAACCAAACATTGCATGTTCTCACTTATAAGTGGGTGCTGAACAATGTGAACACATAGACACAGGGAGGGGAAAAACACACACTGGGGCCTGTCGAGAGAAGGTGGTGGAGAGAGGGAGAGCATTAGGAAAAAAATAGCTAATGCATGCTGGGCTTGGTACCTAGGTAATGGGTTAATAAGTACAGCAAATCACCATGGCACAGGTTTACCTGTGTAACGAACCTGCATATCATGTGCATGTATTCCAGAACTTAAAATAAAAATTAAAAATTACATAAAATAAATAAAAAGCATAATGAATGAATTAAATTAATATAAAATCCTAGTCAAAAAGCGGAGGTGTAGAATAATATCTATTTAGGAACATCTTCATAATGCGGAATGTACAGATCCTTACAGGTAATGTATTTCTCTGGTTATTTTGGTCCTCTTTATTTTAGCAAAACTTGGAAGTTTTCAGTGTCTTGGTTTTGCAAATATTTCCTTAATATTATCTTTAATTGTTTTGCGTTTTTGAAACCTTTTGTAAAGGGCATTTATTTTTAATATAAATTTTCAAATATTCATTGCTAGTATGTAGACATATAACTAACTTTTGCATATTAATTTTGTATCCTGTTTACTTACTAAACTCAACTCTAAATTCTTGTACCTTTTTTTTAAGCCCCAGGGATTTCATACATAGACTGTTCTATAGTCTGTAGGCAAAGACAGCCTTAGTCACTTTCTAATCTAGGTGGATTTTATTTCTTTTTCTAGGTTTAACACAATGGTCAGGATCATAAGACAATAAATGATTTATACAGAATAAATTTTGTATAATGTCTTCATACGGTTTTGGTATCAAGGTGATGGTAGTTATATAAATGAGTTGTTCAGTGTTCTCTCATCTTCTGTTTTGTAAAACAAAATGTGTTTAGGATTATAAGTATTTGTCCAGCCCCACATTCTTTTTTAACTCCCATGACAATTGTCTTAAGGTCATAAGCAACCAAAAATCATAAAAATTACATAAAAATTTCAGATATTAGACAATTGACATTGCAGGATTGTGATCTATGAGGAAAGAGATGTAAACAACATTTCTACCATTGCTTTAGTTTACTGTATGAAGTTGGTTATCAGGCCACTGCATGACATGAGGTAACCAAAACAGCATCTGACTGTTTTGAGGAGAAAGATACTGTAACTTAATGTGTCAGAGACATGGAGAATGTGTGGGATTGACTGCTGGAAAAAAATAAACTAGGAAGAGAGAGAACTCTAGCAATCTTCATAGGAGTCTCTTTAAGTCTTTGGGTGAGTCCTGATTTTTTGCATACATTGGGTGTAACTACATAAGAATCCAGAGAAAACACCAGAATACAGTAGGCCAAACAATTTCTGTAACTGAAATGGAGATGGAAAGAGTTGTGGCCTCATCACCAGAAGTAGAGGCTTCATATTACAGGTGACATTGCGCAGAGTCCTTGGAAAGGTCATGATTTGAGGGTAGATCTACATTAGTGCCAAACTGAACATGGCTCTGGACATGTGATACAAGGCTTAAAAACATACCTCAGCCTCCCAAAGTGTTGGTATTACAGGTATGACCCACCACACCCATCCATAGATTACAATTTTAAAGGTGAAAACATAATACTAGAAAAATATTTTTGAAATATTTTATTTATCTTGGGAGAAGCTGAGGAACAATTGAGCATGGACCCCACCCAGAGCACTGTGCCATAAAACAGCCATAAAACATTCAGTTTCACACTGTGGAGAGGACGGTCTGGATCTCACATATAGACCTTAATCCGAAGTTTGCCCACAAGTGGGTCCTTAATTCACCAACTGCAATAATGGAATGGATTAGACACGTTAGTGTCTCTTCAGACTGTAGTAAATGAATCACCAATCTTATACAGGTGAGTAAGCATTCCCAGGTAATTTATCGCCCTTGAAGCAGTGCATAGAAGAGACTTAAAAATCACAGTTCTCTGTTTTCCCACAAGGGATTTACAAAATACTTCTCCAGCAGCTAACTGGTAGTCTGACTTCCAGTTAACTTGCATTGAGGAGTTAAAGAGAAAATTACCGATTTGCTACTAGCCTCAAAAAGTTTGCACTTACACCAAAAGCCTTAACTTTTATAATATTCACCTAAGATACTGCATTGTAAGTCTCTTAGCTCTGGAAGTAGAAAGGATTGGCATGCATACATCTTTCTACACAGCAGAAAAGGATTGGTCTCTTTAAGTGGGTGTTAAAACACCTCCAGAGACTTTATCTTCTAGTGGCAGTGCAGAGAAGGGCCCTAAAAAATGAAACTCCCTCTTTCTTCATGGAAGGGGTTTAAGATACATTAAGACCCATAGTTGCTAAAGCTACATCCCAAAGGACTTTATCTTAAACCTAGTTACTATGGGGAAAGAAGGGACAAAGTGTTTGTTAAGTATTCTTGATTCCAGAACAAAGAGCTCGTTTTAAACAGGCATCCAAAGACTTCCAGAGGGTACACCTCCTTGGAGCATTGCAGTGAAGGGGCAGGCCCTTGCAGGTGTGACTTTCTCTACAGGAAGAGTTTATGAAACATACTCTTAGTGGCCACTTGATGGCATAGTCTCCAATGAACTTGCATCAGTGAACTAACAGGCTAAACAAACAATAGCTCTTTGTAGCCAGAGCCAAAGCTTGGCACTTCACAAGATGTCCTCCTCAATTCCCCATATATAGCCAGGTCCATCCAGTCTTTCTGGAAGGAGTTTGGCCACACAACAAGCACCACATTTCATAGTTTTCACCTCACAGTCTGCCTCTTTAGTGACCTAGCTCTGAAAAATCAAGTGACTTCAAAACACAGAATATAAACAGATATACATAAAATGGGCCCACTCCTAGCAGCTATCTTTTCAAAATCAGAAGGTGCAACCTAAATGTGAATATAGGCATTTGTGTGGGAGATAGATACCTGCACTCAATCTCATTGTGAAGATAAAAGAACTAGAACTTGCATCCAATACCCAAACACTTCTAACTAAATCTAAAATTTTAAACCAAAAAAAAAAGAACATAAATCTTCAGAAACTGAACTAAATACCATGGATTTTTCTGATTTACCCAACAAGGAAGTCAAAATAAAGGTCATGAATATGTGCATAGCATTCAAGATAAAAATGCAACAACAAGCTTAGAATTTCCACAAAGAGATATAAAGTATTAAAAAATACCGAAAAGAAATCTTGGATCTAAAAAATGCTATAACCAAACTGAAGAATTCAAGAGAAGGGTTCAACAACAGATTAGATCAAGCACAAGAAAGAATCAGTGAACTTGAAGCCAGATAACTGTTAATTAGCCATTCTGAGGAACAAAAAACAATAATAATAATAACAATGAGATGATGTAAAGATAGTTTAAGAGACTTATGGGATGCCATTAAACAGAACAACTTACACATACTTGGCATGTCAGAATAGAAAAAGACAGAAAGAGATAGAAAATATATTCAAAAAAATAATGACAGAAAGCTTCCCAAGTCTGGGATGGAATTACATTTTCAGATCCAGAAATCCCATAGGACATCAAATAAGGTGAACCATGAAAAAAATTGAGTTCCTGAACAGACCAATAACAATTTCTGAAACTGAATCCACAATAAAAAGCCTACCAAACAATAAAAGCCCAGGACCAGATAGATTCACAGCTGAATTCTACCAAATATATAAGGAAGAGCTGATATCTTCTCTACTAAAACTATTCCAAAAATTAAGGGACTCCTTCCCAGCTCATTCTATGAGGCTAACATCATCCTCATAACAAAACTCGGCAGAGACATAAGGAAAAAAACTTCAGGCCAAAATCCTTGATGAATATTGATGCAAAAATCCTCAAGAAAAAACTAGCAAACTGAATCCAGCAGCACATCATAAAGCTAATCCACCAGGATCAAGTATGCTTTACTGCTGGAATGCAAGGTTGGTTCAACATACACAACTGAATAAATGTAAGTTATCAAATGAACAGAACTAAAATAAAAAAAAGACATGATTATCTCAATAGAAGCAGAAAAGACTTTTGATAAAATTCAACATCACTTCATGTTAAAAATCCTCAACAAACTAGGCATTGAAGGAACATATACCAAAGCAATAGACATCTATGACAAACCCACAGCTAACATCATACTGAATGGGCAAAAGCTGGAAGCATTCCCCTTACAAACCAGCATAAGATGAGGGTGCCCTCTCTCACTACTCCTATTCAACATAGTATTGGAAGTCCTAGCCAGAAGAATCAATCAAGAGAAAGAAATAAAAGGCATCCAAATGAGAAAAGCAAAAGTCAAACTATCCCTGTTGACAACATGATTTTATATCTAGAAAACCCCATAGTCTCTGGCCAAAAGCTACTTCAGCTCATAAACAACTTCAGCAAAGTTTCAGGATACAAAATCAACATATAAAAATCAGTAGCTTACTTATACACAAGGAACATCCAAGCCAAAAGCCAAATAATTAATGAAATGTATTTCACAATAGCCACAAAATGAATAAGATACCTAAAAATACAGCTAAGCAGGGAGGTGAAATATTTCTACAGTGAGAATTACAAAATGATTTTCAAAGAAATCATAGATTACACAAATAGATGGCAAAATATTTCATATTCATGAATAGGAAAATAGGAAGAATCAATATCACTAAAATGGTCATACTGTTCAAAGCAACATATAGATTCAATGCTATTCCTATCAACCTACCAATACATTCTTCACAGAATTAGAAAAAAGTATTTTAAAATTTATATGGAACCAAAAATGAGCCCAAATAGCCAAAGCAATTCTAAAGAAAAAGAACAATGCTGGAGACATCACATTACCTGACTTCAAACTCTACTGCAAAGCTATAGTAACCAATACAGCATGGTGCTAGTTCAAAAACGGATACAAAGCAGAATGAAACAAAATAGAAAGTCCAGGAATAATGTTGTTCACCTCCATCCATCTGATCTTCAGCAAAGCTGACAAAAACAAGAAAAGGGGAAAGAAGTCTCCGTTCAGTAAATGATGCTGGGATAACTAGCTCACCATAGGCAGAAAATTTAAACTGGATCCTCTCCTTACACCATATACAAAAATCATATCAAGATGGATTAAAGAGAAAAATGTAAAATCTAAAATTATAAAATTCCTGAAAGATTACCTAGAAAAAATCATTATGAACATAGAACCTGACAAAGATTTCCTGATGAAGACGCCAAAAGCAATTGCAACAAAAACCAAAATTGACAAATGAGATCTTATTAAACTATAGAGTTTCTGCACAGCAAAAGAAACTATCAACAGAGTAAAGAGACAACCTACAGAATCATAGGAAATATTTGCAAGTTATGCATCTGACAATGGACTAACATCCAGAATCTATAAGGAACTTAAACAAACAACACCATGAAGAAGTGGACAAAAGATATGACCAAACACTTTTCAAAAGAAGACATATCTGCAGACAACAAGCATATGAAAAGATATTCAACATCACTCATCATTCAAGAAATGCAAATCAAATCCACAATGAGATACCATCTCACACCATCAAATGGTGATTATTAAAAAGTCAAAAAATAACAGATGCTGACGAAGTTGCCAAAAAAAGGAATGTTTATACACTGCTGGTAGGAGTATAAATTAGTTGAGACTTGTGAAAAGTAGTGTGGCAATTCCTCAAAGAAGTTACAACATAATTATCATTCAATCCAGCAATCCCATTACTGGGTATATACCCAAAGGAATATAAATTGTTCTACTATAAAGCCACATGCACATTTATGTTCATTGCAGTATTATTCACAATAGCAAAAGTATGGAATCAACCTCAATGCTCATCAACAATAGACTGGAGAAAGAAAATGTATATATATACCATGAAATACTGTACAGCCATAAAATAGAATGAGATTATGTCTTTCTCAGCAACATGGATGGAGCTCAAGGCCATTATCCTTAGCAAACTAACTGAGGAACAGAAAACCAAATACTGCATGCTCTCACTTATAAGTGGGAGCCAAATAAGGAGAACACATGGACACGTAGATGGGAACAACAATCACTGGGGCCTACTTGAGGCTGGAGGGTGGGAGAAGGAATAGGATCAGAAAGAATAACTATTGGCTACTATGCTTATTACCTGGATGAGAAAATAATCTGTACACCAAACACCCATGACACGCAGTTTACCTATATAAGAAACCTGCACATGTACTCAATGGACTATTATTCAGACATAAAGATGAAATCCTGCCATTTGCAACAACATAGATTAACCTGGAGGACATTATATTATTTTACTTAATAATAATAGTCAGGCACAGAAATATAACCACATGTTCTTATTCATATGTGAGAACTGAACAAATTTGTATCATAGAAGTAGAGAGTAGAATAGTGGTTATCAGAGGTTAGGAAGGTTAAGGGATAGGTCAGGGAATAGTGAGAGATTGATTAATGGGTACAAAATTGCAGTTAGGAGAAATAAGTTATATTGTCTATAGTATAATCGAGTCACTGTAGTTACCAACAATTTATTGTATATTTCAAAGTAGCTAAAAGAGAAAACTTTCAAAGTTCCCAATACAAAGAAATGATAAATGTCTGAGGTGATTACCCTGCTCACTACACATTGTACATGTATATTGAAATATCATACTCCATAAATATGTACAACTATTATGTATCAATTAAAATAAGAAAATTAAACTTAAGAAAGATAAACATATTTAAATACATTCAAATGGTTTTAAAACTGACCCAAACATACAATTAGAAGACACTGGTAAACTAAAGTTTTGTTTTCCTAAATCCAGGTGTCTAATAAATCATTCAGAGGTCAGCTCATTTGAATTGAAATTAATTGAGACTGACCAAAAATATATATATATAACTCTTTCATTTAATGACATTAGGAAAAAATAAATATTTTCATACATTAATGTATCTATATGTCACACTGTTGGAAGTAATATAGTAAAATATATTAAAATCCAACATTTAATATTTTTAACTATACTTTTATAAATTTATTCTGTAAATATGCCACTATTATATATGAATAATGTATAAGGCAAAGATGAGTAAGTTGTTTTCATACATATGATTTGTACATATTTCTGTTTTCCTAGTAGCAACAGATGGATATTATTTTTTACATTAAAAAAATAAAAATAAAACAAGCCAGGTGTGGTGGCTCATGCTTGTAATCCTGCACTTTGTGGGGCTGAGGTGGGCACATCACTTGAAGTGAGGCGTGTGAGACCAGCCTGGCCAACATGATGAAACCCCGTCTCTACTAAAAATACAAAAATTAGCTGGGTGTGTTGGTGAATACCTCTAATCCCAGCTACTTGGGAGCCTGAGAATCGCTTGAATCTGGGAAGCGGAGGTTGTAGTGAGCTGAGATCATACCACCGCACTCCATCATGGGCAACAGACAGAGATTCTGTCTCAAAATTAATTAATTAATTAAAAAATGAAAAATGAAAGGAAAACCAAAGGAAATATTGGAATTTGAAAAATCCACAGTACTTGCTCAAATAGTGGTAGATTTCTAAGAGATGAGATTTTGCACAATGCCAAATAAGTTATTTTTTGTTTCAGTAAATGTGGAAAAAATAGTAAGAGAAAGATAATTAAGAATTTCACAGGTACAGATGGGAAATTAAATATTTTAAAATTAACAAAGTTATTTAAATGTTATAACAATTATAATACAGATTCATTCTATCTGAAAATATTTCAAGTTCTAAAGGTGTATGAAATTTTATTTGTCCTTTCAGTTACAATAAAAAATGCACTTTTTAATGAAAAATCTAAGTGACTTTAGATCCCTTTGAGAATATTTAATTATCTTCTATTTATTCAGACTTTTTCTATACTGTTCTGCGTAAAAAGAAATAATTTCTATATAAATAAATGAGATAAGAGCAGCATGAGCAGATTAGTCCAGCTGCCTCTTCCTCTTCATGCTGCCTGGGCCATCTTTACTAGTTAAAGATTAAATAATGACCAATTTATCCAAGGCCTCCAGAGAACCCACAAGTTAAGTATCCCAATTCTATAAAAATCATTTCTATTCTCTGTATTATTGCTTGGAGCTAAAACAGAAATCACAAAACTTCTAGCATATACAGAATTTTTGACTAAAGGACTGTCACTTCAGCTTAACTCCTTATTTTCCACATTCTTCATGAATACTGGTTCTTTTATTGTGTTCTTTGGGCATCAATATAGGTATATGTGAATCTGTCTTCCAGGTGATTTGTATATTACTCACTTAAATTGTGATGAGCTGTGACTTGGAATCAGAGATCACAAATTCTGTGGCTTTTAAATGCCTTATAAATAATCACACTGAGTTTTCTTTGCAAAGATTTAGAGTAAGTACCTGCCTTAATTATTTGATATGTATACTCTAGAGTTTATATTGTTTCTATAAAGTATAGGCACTTTCAGAGTTGACGATTCACCACTTTTGAAGCATTAATAAGTATTGAGTAGGGTCTACGAATGCAACTCCAAAACAAGTTCTGTGCAAGAGAAGCATAATGGGAATAAGAATTTCCACTGTAAGGGAACTACACTGAAGGAAATGACACCTAAGCCAATCTTAAGAAATAGGATTCCACGAATGAATAAAACAGTCAAAATATTCAGTCTCAAGAAGCTTACACACAAGTGGGAGAGAAAATGAGGGAAATACACATACATCACATGTATGTTTTATATATGTGGTATATGTATATATATATATGTATATTTAATTTTAGTTGATACATATTAAGTAGAAAAATGAAGCATGCCAGGCATGGTGGCTCGCGTCTGTAATCCCAGCACTTTTGGAGGCCGAGGTGGGCAGAACACTTGAGGTCATGAGTTCAAGACCAGCCTGGCCAACACGGTGAAACCCCAACTCTACTAAAAATACCAAAAAAAAAAAAAAAATAGCTGGGCATGGTGCTGCATGCCTGTAGTCCCAGCTACTCAGGAGGCTGAAGCAGGAGAATCGCTTGAACCCAGGACGCAGAGGTTGGAGTGATCTGAGATGGCACCACTGTACTCCAGCCTGTGTGACAGAGTGAGACTCTGCCTGGAAAGGAGGAAGGAAGGAAGGAAGGAAGGAAGGAAGGAAGGAAGGAAGGAAGGAAGGAAGGAAGGGAAGAAAAAGAAAAGAGAGAGAGGAAGGGAGGGAGGGAAAGAGAGAGGAAGGAAGGAAGGACAGAAGGACGGAAGGAAGGAAGAAAGGAAAAAGAAGTGGAGAAATACAGGAGATAGGTGAAGATTTTGCTATTTCAGATTGGCTTAGTCTAAGGGAGGTGACATTTAAGTAAAGATCCAATATAATTCAGGAAAGAAAACACGTAAATAGACAGGGAAAGAGAATTCCAGGAAAAGAAAAAGCAAGTACAAAGAATGTGAGCAGGAAGCATGCTGATACAGTGAGTTAGCAGTGAGAAGTTCAACATTCTTAAGCAGTGTGAGCACAGGATATTAATAAAATGAAGTATGCTTAATACAATTTAAAAAAAACAATTAAAAATAGCTTAGGATGGACTCTCCTTGACCAAACTTTAGTCAGACTTCTTTAAGCCGTTTTTTTCAAGTAGGCCTTGAATTTGGGCTTTTCTTTTCAACTTTCTAGAGTCTGGTTTTAGCAAGAATCCTGCTAAGACAATTTAGAGAGAATCCTTCTGCCTTTGATACCTGATCACTTGGTATCTGGCAATTCCTCATCCCCTACTACCTGCTAAATATCTTACCATCCTGGCCCGCCTTCAGCAGGCATTCTATTAGGTCAGTTTAGCAAGAATTCCTCCTACCTTTGATGTCTCCTAGTAGTAAATTTCAATTCACTCGACCCTGATCCCTGCAAAGATGCTCCAGGCTATAAATTCCCACTTGTCTTTGTTGTATTTGGGGGTAACCCCAATCTTCCTTTCTTATTACAGTAATATTGACAACTATTGCAATAGTCTTGAATAAAGACTTCCTTACCATTTTTAATAAGTTTTAGAATAGTTTTTCTTTAACAGGATCATTATCAATGTTAATGTGTACATTGATGTCATAAAATTAAAATAGTCTATGATAATTCAATAAAACTGATGAAAATTCATTACAGTGAATAATTAAAAATATGATTTTTTTAAATAATGAAAGTTCATATGGCTGTTTACAGCTCAGTAGTAATGCCTCACAGTATTTATTGTCCTTTTAATAATTCAGATCAAAAAAGGTAAAAAGCTAATATATGTGTTTATGTAAAAATCATGTTTTTTTTAACACTAAATAAAGTGCTTACCCCATTTATAAAAGAAATATACTAAATTTGATGTAGCTTGATTTTGAAGCGCTACCAATTACTGCTAGGGGCAAATTAGCTATCATAAGGGAAGTATTACAATGGTTCACAATGGAGGGCTGATTTTCAGAATGAATTCAAATCATGAAATGAATGTTTCTCAAAGGGGTACAAAATAAAGCTCGACCCATTGCTGACCAAGGGGAAAGAAATCTCACTGGTAAAATGTAGAATGTAAAAAGTACTAAACTTGAGAGTGTGCTAAAGGATCGAGGAAACATAAATATGTATTCGTGGATTAATAAGGAAAGCAAGAAACAAACATTTTACATAAATGTTAATGAGGAGTGATATGGTTTGACTGTGCCCCTCCCCACAAATCTCATCTTGAATTCCCACGTGTTGTGGAAGGGACCCAGTGGGAGGTAATTGATTCATGGGGGCTGGTCCTTCCCGTACTGTTCTTGTGATAGTGAGTAAGTCTCAGGAGATCTGATAGTTCTATAAAAGGGAGTTTCCCTGCACAAGCTTTCTCTTTTTGCCTGCTATCATGCATGTAAGATGTGACTTTCTCCTCCTTGCTTTCCGCCATGATTGTGAGGCTTCCCCAGCCACGTGGAACTGTAAGTCCAATTAAACCTCTTTTGTAAATTGCCCAGTCTCCAGTATATCTTTATCAGCAGTGTGAAAAGGAACTAATACAAGGAGCGAGGTGTTTCATAGAAATTAATTGTTGCAAGCTATAGTGAAGACTTTGAGGATTTGTGATGCATGAATTCTAGGTAGTAAGAGTACTAAAACAGACTCCTACTATTTCAATCCGGAACAGAATGGAATGAGAAGAGTGTGGAAAACACAGACAGAGCCAGATTATATCACAAATATATTATTTAGTTGCCTGGCTGCCTAGTTCATGGGTTGTATTTGCTTGAGGAACTGGAAGTTTATAGCAGAATCCTCGTAGATAGCCTTCGTAACTGATATAGACAATGTTCCTGTACAATATAGCAATGGTGTACACTGCTAAACCATCATGCTCTGTATGAGGCTGTTTAATTTAATTTTAGAGTTTGGATTGTCTCAAAAAATATACTCTATTTTATTTGAAGTCTTGAATTAAAGAGCCTTTCTTTAGTTCCAGCAAATAATGCCCTGCTCTGCATGATCTCTGTGTGGCAATGTAGTCAAGATTCTGATTTCTAGAATGAGGAAGGGAAAAAAAGACTTTCCTGACATGATTGGTCCACTTGATTTTTATCCTACTCTAAAAACAACAGTTTTCAAAAGGGTCAGTCATTTTGAATTATGTGCAGATAACCTGTTTAATTTCATGTTAACCTCCTTATGACCCAAGTAGCACATATCAAAATGATTAATTCAATTAAGTGTTCTTATTAATGAATAAAGTTTAAAGTGACATTTTTTTATTAAAAGTTCTGTAGTTTTCTTATACAAATAGTTACAGTCATAACCTCAATGTGCCTTTAAAAAAGATAATAGAAATCCTTCAACTATTCAATATGAAATAAATATTCTTCCTTTTTTTATTATTGTAATTCATGGGTGAAACCCATAGGAAGGTAAAAGTGAGATGAAAATATACATTTTGCACATATGGCTTAGACTTTTGCTTTCTGATTTTCTATAAGGAGTTGTTGTAAGGATTCTGTGATACCGACTCCAGCACACCTGGCATATTAGACCACCTGACTTTCAACATGGTGAGTGGGAAAGCCAAATGTTTTCATTTATCTCAATAAAAATCTATGAAAAACAGCAAGTCGTTTCTTCTGTTACCGCTAGCAGTATGTTCTTACAAATTTTTACTCAAAAGCAGTTTTTATTTCCCTAAAAGAAACAGTTTATAATCATGGATAGGGCTCCTAACAAGAGTTCTGGAAAAATTTCACAGTTTAGTTGGCTTTAATACCACCTAAGGCATCTCTGGCATGTTAAAATTCCTAAGCTCCTTTTTTTTTCCCACATGCTGAGTCTGGGGTATCTCAACATTTTCTTCCCAATTCCAAAGACTTCATAGCATTGCTACCAATAGAACCCTTTTAACCTCAATCAGAAACTGCTAGTCTTGTTAAGAATTAGGCTAACCTGGATGCTGTGCTTATTGTGGAAGGTTAGCACCTCATTACTGTTTATCGGTCTTTTGTTCAACTCCATGGCTTAACCCTTCTGTGCATGAAATAAACTCACTTGAAAGTCTTGGTACACAATTCCCTAAGACTGGGTCAAAGTGCAAATTAGACTACTCTATGTTAAACTCTAAAGCATCTCTTCTTGACGGTGATTACTGAATTAATTCAAATGACTTCATAGTTCTGTGTTTAATCAAAATTAATGAATTCATCACCAGTGCACTGATTTGTGTGATTAGAACTAAAAAGGTCATTCTCATCATTTTTCACCTCTTTTAATCTCAGTTTTCCACTGAGGAGAGTAGATTTAATGCCTCTTGAAGAGAGATGTTTCTTTTTTCATTTATTGTGTGAATCAATTTAGTTCTCTATGAATAGCCTTTAGTCAACTTTTCATTGCACTTAAAAAGGATATACTATGAGGGAAAGCCAGTGTGTATCTATTTACTCTAAAGAATGTCCTGGAGAAGGGTTATATGTGCCCAGAGCTTTAGGAACACTTTTCTTATTGTATCTGATAATGTTTCAAAATTATCTCTTTAGGTGTTCATTTTCCCCCTACTTTCCTCCCCATTGAGTATAAATTTGTAAAGGAAAGATACTCTGTCTTATATATTTTATACTCTTCACCCTTTGCATCCATGGGTACCACATCTGTAGATTCAACCAAACAGGGATTAAAAATATTTGAAAAATATGTTAACAACCATCTGCATAGCATTTATATTACATTAGGTATTAGAAGAACTGTAAAGATGTTTTAAAGTATACAGGAAGATATGTCCAAGTTATATGCAAATATAATGAAATTTCATATAGATGACTTGAGCATCCTTGAATTTTGGTACCTGAAGCAGGTCCTGGAACCAATATTATGTTATGTTATGTTATCCCTTGTGGATACCAGGAGATGACTGTTTTCTCTCTGAGTAATGAAATGATAGTACTTAGTAATTGCTCAATTATATTTATTGACTAAATGAATGAAACAATTACATGAAACAATTGGATTATAAACCAGTTTATATGCACTATAACCCACAATTATTTTTTCTGATGCCAGGAAACTTCTGTTTCCCTGAAATTAAGATGGCAGTATCACACAGAAGTGAAGGAATAACGAACAAGAAACGTGAAAAGCTGATGTTGTTTTCAGTTAAAGAGATGAGGAGAAAAGAGAAGCCAGAGACATATATGCTGGGTATCTTTCTGTATTTGTTTTGTATTGTTGCTGCAACAAATTCCCACAAACTTGGCAGTTTAAAACATCAGAAGTTTATTTAGTTACAGTTCTACAGGGTAGAAGTCCAGCATGGGTCCACCGGGATAAAATGAAGCTGTTAATAGGGCTCAGTTCCTTTCTGGAGGCTCTAGGAAGAATCATCTCCTTGCCTTTTCCAGCTTCTCAAGGCTAATTTACATCCCTTAGCTCATAGTACTCATTTTACAACTTCAAAGCTAACAAATTTAGGCTCTTTCTCATGCTGCCATCTGTCTGGGTTTCCACTCTTTTGCCTTCTTTTTCCACTTTCCTTTTCTAATTATTTAAGACTCTTGTGATTAGATTGGACTTAACCCTGATAACACAATATATCCTCCCTATCCCAAGATCCTTAATCTAATGACGTCTACAAAGTAAGTACTTTTTGCCATGTAAGGGAGCATATTCAGAGCTTCCAGTCGGACATGGACTTCTTCAAAGAGCCATTATTCTGCCTATCACATGTGCTATTCCAGGTTGTGACATAGTGTTTCTTTACCAGGGAAATAATTTGGGGAAACTTTATTTTTGGTAACACAAGGAAAGAAGAAAATGCCATTCAGTGAGCACCAGAAACGTAACAGGAACAATGTAATAGGAGCTACAGATGCCCTTTGAACAACACAGGGGATAGAGGCACTGACCTCCCCATGAAATTGAAAATTCATGTATAACTTTTGACTTGCTAAAATCTTAACTAGTATATTCTACTGTTGATTTGGAAGTTTTACTAACAACATAAATAGTTGATTAACCCATATTCTGTATGTTATATGTATTATATATGATATTCTCACAATAAAGTAAGCTACAGAAAAAGAACATATTTAATCATGAAGAAAAAAATGCATTTATAGTACTGTACTGTGCTTATGTATACCAAAAGTTTACATCCTCTGTTTACAAGATGAATCATCTTTCTGAAATGGTGGGCAATCATAGCTGCAGACCTCAATCTACTATACATATCAAGCAATTTGACTTCGACTTTTTCTTGTAATATCACGACTTTGCTTCTTTTTTTTTTTTTTTTTTTTTTTGAGACGGGGTCTCGCTGTCGCCCAGGTTGGAGTGCAGTGGCATGATCTCGGCTCACTGCAGGCTCCGTCTCCCAGGTTCACGCCATTCTCCTGCCTCAGCCTCCCGCGTAGTTGGGACTACAGGCGCCTGCCACCTCACCTGGCTAATTTTTTGTATTTTTAGTAGAGACGGGGTTTCACCGTGTTAGCCAGGATGGTCTCGATCTCCTGACCTCGTGATCCACCGGCCTCGGCATCCCACAGTGCTGGGATTACAGGCGTGAGCCACCGCGCCCGGCCCCGACTTTGCTTCTTGGGATCACTTCTAGCGTCACTAGTGGCACTATGTATGGGTATCATGATGTTATTCAAGGTTTACCATATTGCATTAAACATGATGAAAAATACAGGGGAATCGTTAGAGGGATATGCAGTATACTGAAAAGATGAACTGAACATGTGGAGATAATCAGCATCACATGGTGTTTTAAGTGGACACCTACAGCACGAGCTCTGGGCAATATCAACATGAGGTGGCTAAACAATTATTGCAATAGT
The DNA here is from genome assembly GCF_000001405.40 of Homo sapiens. Taxonomy (NCBI): domain Eukaryota; kingdom Metazoa; phylum Chordata; class Mammalia; order Primates; family Hominidae; genus Homo; species Homo sapiens. The sequence continues at coordinate 45,729,370 of NC_000004.12, read as the reverse complement.
ACAATATGTACTAGAGTTAATTTTATGTCATTATGATTAAATACTGCATCTTCATGTTTGTTTACATTTCGTCCAACTGCCAATGGGGACATGTAGGGCCTACAAGACTGTGCATAAGTTTTTGTAAATTTTAACTTTTTATAATAGATTTGTATATCTTGATGGTAGTAAATGATAAAATAGACTAGTATCTACATATATTTTATGAATTCATGACATACAATTTTTTTTGTAATTTAGTATCTCTAGGCAGAGTGGTTCATATGAGAGTTTTTAAAATTTCACAAATCTCCAAAAAATTGTTCAATATATTTGTTTTTAAAACTCCACATGTAAGTGGATGGTTCAAATACATGTTGTTCAAGGGTCAACTGTACTCTGTTACTTTCCCATAATTTATTGCAGTGAATCACTGCACACTAAATATATATTGAGCATTTTTTATGTAGCTACCTTTCCATGTGTTAAGTAGTTACAAACAGGTTACCTAGAGGGTTAGGGTACCCATTCTCATGCTTTTAACATTCTAATGTGCCTGATGTTAATAGATACAAATAAGAAAAAATGAAAACCATTATTGAGAAATGTTTTACAAAGAAAATTGACATTGTGATTTATTATAATATAATAGGTGAAGGCTTACTTTAAGTATAACAGGAACATGTCCAACTATGTATTTTATACTAAGACTAGGGAATGATAGTAATTCATGGGAAGATCTGATATATTATTACTATCACTTGATGGTCAAAGGAAGTAAAAATCTAATTAGTTTGTTTCGATCATATAGCTACTATAATGGCAACACTGAGATCCAATCCCAGATCTTTTGACTACAAGTCAAAGATATTTTTCATGAAGCCTAATTAACATTAGATTCTGGCTACTTTAATGTGCATCAGTAGTTTCCAATTGGGGGTGATTTTGCATCCCCTTTTCCCTGGAAACATCTGGCAATGTCTGTAGGCGTTTGTTGTCACAACCAGAGGTATGACTAGAATCTAATGGGTCAGAGATTCTGCTAAACATTAATACACTTAATTCCTTTCTGAACAGCAAAGAATAATCCACTCCAAAATGTCAGCGTTGTCCAGGATGAGGCAGTCTGATCAACACAAATGCAGTGAACAAGAGCAACTTTAAGAAAATTGGAATGTAAGGACCCTGGAAATGTGGAGAAAAAATTATATTTTCTATGTAAAGAATTTATAAGTTTAGGTGTTTAATGAATGATAGTGATAAAGTAATATCACTAATGATGTTGGTGATGATGATGATGATGATGACAGTTGTATATACAGGAAGAAAGTATGAGAGTGAAGAAGAGTGGCTATGAGTTGACAAAAGGCTTCTATACTCACAGACACTGGGTAGGTCTCATTTCAACTGGCAGATATGACTTGGCTGTCAAGTCCTATTACTCTTAGAAAACTCTATGTCCACTGTCAGTCTAACTCAAATGTTTGTCTCATACGATATCCAGAGTTCCAAATTCTTCTTTTCCTCAGGTCGCTGAGAAATAAGATCACCATGGCTGGTGAAATTTTTAATGGCAATCTTGATTGGTATTGTGAGAAAAATTAGTGACATTTATTATTAAAAATTAGTCTATCAATGTATGATTGATGAGGTAGACAGAAATATCCTACATTTATATTGTGCTCTCCGGTTTTCAAATATTATGTATAAGTATTATTTCACTTGGACCTCACCCTATGCTGAATTATGCATAGAAGTTATTTTCCAAATTATTTTCATTTAATGAGAAACTCATCTGGTTGTTGATTTGTCTTTTACTATTTTACAAAATATTGGACTTGCAGCTAAAATCTGGAATATAAGATCCTTGACTAGGTAGGTTTCTTTGTAACTATCCTAAATATCTTTTTAATGATGCAATAATAACAGTCTGTATTTTATTTGAGAGTGTTTAAAGGTTTTAAAAAAATATAGTTAACTTCTGCCTAATTTAATTTTAATAAAGTTTTTTAAAATAAATTGAGGAATAGCATATATACAAAAATGACAGAAAGCCTAAGTGAACAAATAAGATTTTTACAAAATTAAACACAGTGTAACCTTTGCTAATCAAGAAACAAATTACCAGTCCCAACAAATCTCTGCTTTGCTCCCTTCTAATCACTCTCTTCAAGGCTTATTTTAAAGGACGTAAAATTTACATTCAATAAAATTTATTTTCTAATTTTTCAATCCATGAGGTTCAGTAATTTTATATACCAGTGTAGTAGTGTTTACCATTGCCCAAACAAGACATAGAACATTTCCATCAAACCAAAAATTTCTTCAGGTACCTTTCCAATCAATACCCCTCCCATTTACATAACCACTTTTTAACTTATATAATCATAGATTTTATTCTTGGTCTTTCACTTTATGTGAACGGAATAACACTATATGTTTTGTACGTATGTATGTATTTGTGCATGCTCAACATAGTATTTTTGTTTCACTCATTTTGTTGCAACAGTAAGTAGTTTGTTCCATTTCTATTGATGAAATCAATTGTATGAATGTACTACAATTTGTTTAGTCTCGGATGGACACATGGATTATGTTCAGTTTTAGGTTTTTATAAAAAAAGATTGTTATGAACATTCTTTTACATAAGTTTTAGTGAACATATACATTCATATATCATGGACAAATGTCTCGAAGTGTAACTGTTGTGGGTAGAGGCATCCCAAGGCTGCCGGGTATTCTTAACAGTAATAATATGTCTAAAGGAAAATCAATACAGAAGTAGATGTAATTATTCTGTTTTGTACCATAAGCAAAGCCGTAATTTAAGCAATGTAGTAAGGAAGTTTTTTTTGTTGTTTTGTTTTCTAACAGTGATTCTTTTTTCAGATACTGAGAATTTTCAAAAACATGCAGTTAACAATAACAAGATTACAGATTCTCATTATTTGTCTTAAATTAAAATACAGATGAAAAATTAGCGCTTCTTAACTCCTTTGGATGAAAAATAAGTTATTAATTTTTATGGGTACATAGTAGGTCTAAATATGTATGGGGTACATGAGATATTTTGATACAGGCCCACAATGTGTAATAAGCACATCAGAGTAAATGGGGTATTGGATACCTTATGCATTTATCATTTCTTCCTGTTACATACATTCCAATTGTACTCTTTCAGCTATTTTTAAATGTACAATAAGCTATTGTTTACTCTAGTCACACTGTTGTGCTATCTAATGCTAGATCTTATTCATTCTAACCATATTTTTGTGCTCATTAACCATCCCACTTCTCCAACTCCCAAATAGCCTTCCCCGCCTCTGGTAACCATCATTCTACATCTATTTCCATGAGTTTAATTGTTTAAATTTTTAGCTCTCACAAATGAGCAAGAAAACACAAAGTTTGTCTTTCTGTGCCTGCCTTTTTCCAATTGCCGTAGTATCCTCTAGTTCCATCCATGTTGTTGCAAATAACAGGATCTCATTCTTTTTATGGCTGAACTGAATAGTACTCCATTGTGTATATGTATCTCATTTTTAAATCCATTAATCTGTTAATGGACATTTAGATTAATTACAAATCTTGTCTATTGTGAATAGTGCTGCAATAAACATAGATGTGCTAATACCTCCGCAATTTACTGATTCCCTTTCTTTGGGGTACATACCTAACAGTAAGATTGCTGGATCATATGGTAGTTCTATTGGTAAATTTTGAGGCACCTCCATACTCTTCTCCATAGTGGCTGTACTAATGTACACTCCCACCAACAGTGTGAGGGTTGCCTTTTCTCCACACCTTCTCCAGTATTTGTTATTGTCTGTCTTCAGTTTTAAGCTATTTTAACTGGGGTGAGATGATACCTCATTGTCATTTAGATTTACATTTCTCTGATGATCAGTTGTGTTAGGCACATTTTCATATACCTGTTTGTCATATGTATGTCTTCTTCTGAGAAAAGACTATTCAGATATTTTGCCCATTTAGAAATAGGATTATTAGATTTTTTTCTTATAGAGTTGTTTCAGCTCCTTATATATTCTAGTTATTAATCTCTTGTCAGATAAGTAGTTTGCAAATATTTTCTCCTATTCTATGGGTCATCTCTTCACTTTGTTGATTGTTTCGTTTATTGTACAGAAGCTTTTTAACTTGATATGATCCCATTTTTCCATTTTTGTTTGGTTGCCTATACTTTTGAGGTTTTATTCAAGAAATATTTGCCCAGACCAATGTCCTGCCAAGGTTTTCTTTTAATAGTTTCATAGTATGAGGTGAGGTGTTAGATTTAAGCCTTTAATCCATTTTAATTTTATTTTTGTATATGGTGAGAGACAGTGGTCTAATGTCATTCTTCTGGATATGGATATCCAATTTTCCTAGCACTATTTATTGAAGAGATTACCTTTTTTCTAATATGCATTCTTGGCACCTTTGTCAAAAATTAGTTCACTGTAAATGTGTTGATTTATTTCTGGGTTCTCTATTCTATTCCACTGGTCTATATGTCTGTTTTTATGCTAGTACTGGACTGTTTTAGTTACTATAGTTTTGTAGTACATTTACAAGTCAGGTAATGTGATTCCTTCACTTTTGTTCTTTTTGTTTAGGAAAGCTTTGGCTATTCTGTTTTTTTTTTTTTTTTGTGGTTCCATATAAATTTTTGGATTATTATTTTTTATTTCTATGAAGGATATCATTGTTAATTGGAAAGGTATTGCATTGAATCTGTATATTGCTGTAGGTAGTATGGAGATTTTAACAATATTAATTCTTCCAAAATCTATGAACTCGGAATATCTTTCCATTTTTGACATCCTCTTCATTTCTTGTATCAATATTTTATAGTTTTTATTGTATAGATCTTTCACTTTTTTGGTTAAGTTTATTTCTAGGTATTTAATTTTATTTGCAGTTATTATAAATGGGTTGCCTTCTTGATTTCATTTTCAGATTGTTTGCTGTTGGCATATAACAATGCTACTGACTTTTGTATGTTAATTTTGTATCCTGGAACTTTATTTAACTTCTCAGTTCTAACAGTTTTTTGGTGGGTTCTTTAGTTTTTTCCAAATACAAGATCATATCATCTGAAAACAAGGATGATTTGACTTCTTCCTTTTCAGTTTGGATGTCTTCTATTTCTTTCTCTTGTCTGACTTGCTCTAGGTAGGACTTTCAATACTAGGTTGAATAACAGTGGTGAAAGTGGGCATCCTTGTCTTTTTCCAGATATTCGAGGAAAGGCTTACAGTTTTCTCCATATAGTATGATACTAGCTGTGGTTCTATCGTATATGACTTTTATGTGTTGAAGTATGTTTCTTCCATACTTATTTTTTGAGGATTTTTATCATAAGGAGATGTTGAGTTTTATCAAATACATTTTCAGCATCAGTTGAAATCATCATGTTTTTTGTCCTTCATTCTGTTGATGAGATATATCACATTCATTGATTGGTGTATGTTTGACCTTCTTAGTATCTCTTGGATAAATCCCACTTGATTATGATGAATGGTCTTTTTAATGCGTTGTTGAACTGTTTGTTAATATTTTATTGTGGATTTTTGCATCAGTGCATCAAAGATATTGGCTTGAAGTTTTTGTTGTTGTTGTTGTTATTGTTTGATATCTTTGGTTTTGGTATCGGCATAATACTGATCTTATAGAATGAGTTTGGAAGTATTCCACTCTCTATTTTTTTGAATAGTTTGGGTAGGATTGGTATTAGTTTTTTAAATGTTTGTTAAGTTCAGCAGTAAAACCATCGAGTCCTGGCCATTTCCTTGCTGAGAGACTTTTTATTATGGCGTTGATCTCATTCCTTGATGTTGGTCTCCTCAGGGTTTGGGTTCTGTCATGGTTCACTCATGGTTCAGTCATGGTTCAATCTTACTTGCATGTGTCTAGGAATTCATCCATTTCTTCTAGGTTTTCCAAGTTACTGGTATATAATTGCTCACCGTATCCTCTAATGTTCCTTTAAATTTTTGTGATATAATTATAGTTGTAATGTGTCCTTTTTATATCTCTAATTTATTTATTTGCCTTCTCTTTTTTCTTAGTCTGGCTAAAAGTTTATCAATTTTGTTTACCTTTTCAAAGAACAATTTTTAATTTTGTTGATCTTTTCTTTCAATTTTATTTATTTCTGCTCTGATGTTTATCATTTACTTTGTTGTACTAATTGTGTGTTTGGTTTGCTCTTGATTTGCTCTTGCTCTCCCAATTCTTTATGATTCATCATTAGGTTGCTTATTTGAAGTTCTACCACTTTTTTAATCTATACGCTTCTTTTTTTTTCTCTTAATGAGCTTTTTATTATTATTATTATTATAGTTTAAGTTTTAGGGTACATGTGCACAATGTGCAGGTTGGTTACATATGTATACATGTGCCATGCTGGTGTGCTGCACCCATTAACTCGTCATTTAGCATTAGGTATATCTCCTAATGCTATCCCTCCCCCCTCCCCCTACCCCACAACAGTCCCCAGAGTGTGATGTTCCCCTTCCTGTGTCCATGTGTTCTCATTGTTCAATTCCCACCTATGAGTGAGAACATGCAGTGTTTGGTTTTTTGTCCTTGCGATAGTTTACTGAGAATGATGATTTCCAATTTCATCCATGTCCCTACAAAGGACATGAACTCATCATTTTTTATGGCTGCATAGTATTCCATGGTGTATATGAGCCACATTTTCTTAATCCAGTCTATCATTGTTGGACATTTGGGTTGGTTCCAGGTCTTTGCTATTGTGAATAGTGCTGCAATAAACATACGTGTGCATGTGTCTTTATAGCAGCATGATTTATAGTCCTTTGGGTATATACCCAGTAATGGGATGGCTGTGTCAAATGGTATTTCTAGTTCTAGATCCCTGAGGAATTGCCACACTGACTTCCACAATGGTTGAACTAGTTTTCAGTCCCACCAACAGTGTAAAAGTGTTCCTATTTCTCCACATCCTCTCCAGCACCTGTTATACGCTTATTTCTATAAATTTTCCTATTAATAGTGCTTTTACTGTATCCCATAGGTTTTGTAATGTTGTGTTTACATTTTAAATTGTTTAAATACAATTTTTAATTTCCATTTTAGTGTCTTCATTGACCCACTGGGCATTCAGGAGCATATTGTTTAATTTCTATGTGTTTGTATAGTTTTCAAAATTCCTCTTGCTATTGATTTCTAGTTTCATTCCATTGTGGCTGGAGAACACACTTGATCTAATTTCATTATTTTTTGAATTTTTAAGACTCATTTTGTAGCCTAACATAATATAGGGTCTATCCTCAAGAATGATCCATGTGCTGAGGACAAGAATGTGTATTCTGTAGCCATTGGATGAAATGTTCTGTAAATATTTATTAGGTCAATTTGATCTATAGTGCCAATTAAGTCTCATGTTTCTTTGCTAATTTTTTGTCTGGAAGTTCTGTCCAATGCTGAAAGTGGGGTGTTCAAGTCTCCAACTATTATTGTATTGGGGTCTATCTGTCTCTTTAGCTCTAGTAATATTTGGTTTATATATTTGGGTGCTCAAGTGTTGAATGCACATATATTTATAATTGTTACATCCTCTTGCTAAAATGACTCCTTTAACATTATATAATGACTTTCTCATCTCTTTTAATGGTTTTTGTCTTAGAATCTATTTTATCTAATATAAGTATGGCTACTTTTTCTTTTCTTTTTTTTTTTTTTTTTTGATTTCCATTGACATGGAATGTTTGTTTTCTTCCCTTTATTTTTAGCCTATGTGCGTGTTTACAGTGAAGTGTTGTTTCTTATAGGTAACTGATCATTGGATCTTTTGAAAAAACTGATTCAGCCATTCCATACCTTTTTATTAGAGAATTTGATCAATTTATATTCAATGTCATTGTTGATAAGTAAGGATTTACTACTACAATTGTTATTTGTTTTCTGCTTGTTTTGTGTTCTCTTCCTTTCTTCCTTCCTGTCTTCCTTTTGTGAAAGTGATTTTCTCTGGTGCTGTGTTTTGATTTCTATTTTTGTGTAGCAGATGTAGGTTTTTTATTTGCAGTTACCATATGGCATTATGATAAGCCATTGTATAAATCATTATTTTAAGCTAATAACAAACTCGGATTGTAAAAACAAACTAGCAAACAAGCAAAGAGAAAACTTATAAACTGCACTTTAACTTCATTCCCCATGCATTTTAACTTTCTATTGTTTCTATTTGTATCTGATTATATTATGTGTGTCTCGAAAAGTTGTTATTATTATTATTTTTGATTGTTCCTTCTTTTGGTCTTTCTGCTTAAGATATGAGTAGAAAACAATTACTGTGTTATAACATTCTGTATTTTTTCATGCACTTACTATTACCAGTGAGCTTGGTGCCTTCAGATGATTTCCTGTTGCTCAGTAACAGCCTTTTTTTTTCTTTTTTAATTAAAGAAGTCTCTTTAGTATTCCTTATAGGACAGGTTTGGTGTGGTGTTGATGGAATCCTTCAGCCAGCTTTTGTTTGTCTGGGACAGTCTTTATTTCTCCATGTATGAAGGATATTGAAGGATTTTTTCACTGGATATACTATTCTAGTATAGAAGGGATTTTTTGTTTGTTTTGTTTTTTTTTCCTTCAAGACTTTACATATGGCATGACACTCTCTCCTAAGATTTCCACTGAGAATTTTCATATTAGAGCTCCTTCATATGTGATTTTTTAATTTTCTCTTGCTGTTTTTAGAGCTGTTTTCCTTTATTTATCTTTGACCTTTTGGAGTTTGAGTATCAAATTTCCTGAAGTAGCCTTATCCGGTTAAGTCTGCTTGCTGTTCTATAACCTTCTTGTACTTAAATATTGGAATCTTTCTCTAGGTTTGGAATATTATCTATTACTATTTCTCTGAATAAACTCTCTACCTTGATCCCTCTGTCTATCTTCTCTTTAAGGCCAATAACTCTTAGATTTGCCCCTTTGAAGCTATTTTCTAGATCTCGTAGGCATGCTTTACTCTTTCATATTATGTTTTCTTTTGCCTTCTCTGGTTGTGTATTTTCAAATAGCCTGTCTTCAAGCTCACTAATTCTTTCTTCTGCTTGATCAGTTCTGCTGTTGAGAGACTGTGATGCATTCTTCAGGTCGTTAATTGAATTTTGTAGGTCCAGAATTTCTGATTGTTTTCTAAAAACTGTTTTAATCTCTTTGCCAAATTTATATGATAGTATTCTAAATTCCTTCCATGAGTTATCTTGAATTTCACTGGGCTTCCTCAATATATCTATTTTCAATTCTCTATCTGAAAGGAGGTAATTTATTTCTTGCACCCTAAAATGGTCATTGGTGTTTTACTTAGTTCATTTGCTGAGGTCATGTTTTCCTGCATCGTCTTAATGCTTGTGGATGTTCATCTATATCTGGGCATTGAGGAATTCAATATTTATTTTAATATTTGTAGTCTGGGCTTATTTGTAGCCATCCTTCTTGATAAGGCTTTCCAAGTATTCAAATGGAATTGAGTGTTTTAGTCTAAGTCTTTGGTCATCACAGCCATATCTGCATTAGGGGACACCCCAAGCCTAGTAATGCTGTGACTCTTGCAGACTCATAGAAGTACCACCTTGGTGGTCTTGCGTAAGATCCAGGAGAATTCCCTGGATTATGAAGCAGTGACTCTTTTTCTTTCCCTTTAATTTTCCCCAAGCATAGGGAGTCTGTATGTACTGACCTACCTGGAGTTGTGGGAGGGGTAATGTAAGTAGTCTTGTTGCCTCCACCACTGGGAGTATGCTCAGTTACACCTGAAGCCAGCACAGTACTAGGTCTCACCGAAAGCCTGTGGCGACTACTTTTTGGCTACTGCTGATGTTTACTGTAGGCTCAAGTCCTCTTTAGTCAGCAGTTGATGAATCCTACCAGTTTGTTTCTTTCCCTGCAGCATTACATTCTGGTCCAAGTAGGGTCTAGAATTGCTGTCTGGGAGCTAGACCCGGAATCAAGAACTTTAGGAATCTACCTGGTGCTTTATTTTACTGTGACTGAGCTTGTGCCCAAGTTGTAAGACAAAGCCCTGTTACTCTTACCCCTTCCTTTCTGAAGCAGCAGGAGTCTCTTCCCATGGCCATCATACCTGACAACTTGCTGGGTCACACCTGAAGCCAGCATGGTACTGGGTCTTTTCCAAGGCACATGGTGACTACCGCCTGACTACCACTTATGTTTTTTCAATGCCCAAGGTCTCTTTAGTCAGCAGGTAATGAATTATTCCAGGACTGAGTCTTTCCCTTGTGGCCCAGGGTGGATCTAGAGATGTAATCTGGGAGCTAGGCCCCGAAATATGGGCTCCAGGAGTCTGGTGCTTTGTTTTTCTCTGGCTGAGCTGGCATCCAATTTACAAACAAAATTCTCTTGTTGTTTCACTCTCTTTTCCTCAAGAGGAAGGAGTCTCTCCCAGAGCTGCAAGTTGTGCTACCTGCAGTTGGAGGAGGAGTGACACAAGCACCCCTTTGGCTGCCCCAGTTGGTGTCTCACTGGGTCACATGCACCCCAAGCCCGCTGGTTCTAAGGCCAGCACACCACCAGGACTTGCCCAGGCTTTTCCATCCTTGTGGCGTAGACTACCTTTCAAATTTATTTAGGACCTCAAAGCGCTTTAGTCCATGATGGTAGGCCTAGCTGGAACTCATATTATGGCCTCTGAAATGGATGATTCTGCTCTGCTACGGCTGGTCTAAATGCTCTCTCCATGGGCACTGGCTGAATTCTGCCCTGTATTGCTTTCCATGGTGACAGGGCAGCACTGCATTCCAATGCAACGTTCCACAATCACTTCACTTTCCCTCCCTTAAGCACACAGATTGTCTCCATGCCATGCAGCACTGCTGCAGTTGGGGAAAGGTGGTGTAGGCAATACATGGATCATATTTGTCTCTCTAACACTCAGTAAAAATAGTACTTAAATCAGTTGTGCTGAATGTGATCCTACATTGTTGGAATGATACATGACCTTCATCTCTGCCACCATTCCCACATCAACTCATTATGCCAGCAATGGGTGGCCAGTGGTGGAAGCTGGATAACATAAATTGGTAGAGTTATTTTCTCTAATTGGTTTTTTAGTGCTTCTTCCATGCTGGATGCTCTCTTGTGGAAATTAACATGCAGTACACATTTTATTCCCTCTGTAATAGGTCCACCCAAAATCCTCCGCCTCAGACCTCCTTCCAATTTTGTAGTCTAATTTTCCTACAGTTTCCTAACTAGCTAAGTTATTCACTGCTTTACATGAGTAATAGCTTTTAACAATTTCCCTTACATACAAAGTGAATGACCAAAAATTCCTCCTGAAGATCTTCCAACTGGGAGGATTTTCTCTCAACTATCTCTCTCATTGATAGTCCCGAGTGGGGCTTTAATACCTCTTTCAGCTTGTTTCAACATTCCATGTTACCCATCTCTGAACAGAACTGAGAATTTTCCTCCATCAGGTGAGCATTAAGGAGCAGCCTCACAAAAAAATAATCATAGCCAAAGTGGTGGATGACATGGATGTCTTAGTCATCTTCTTGTGTAGTTTGCTATGACCTCTGGCTCTGTTCATCCATAATTTTGGATGCATTATTTTCAATTTTTATAATTTATTTGTCCTAGTCTTATCTTCACTTATGATTTGTTGGATCTGACAGAACCCAGTGCATGAGGGAATATTTGGGCCTCATGGTTAAGTTGTGTGCCATGATCAAGACTCCATTGTTACTAGTGCCCAGTGGCATGTCAAGATTTTGAAAAAATTATGCATACTTCTATACTACAAATGACATGAGTTTCCTCTGGCATCTTAGGAATCTACATTTTGCTTTTCCTCTTGGTGCTACCCATAAAATTCACCTGACAGTGTTTCCAATTTCCTATAGCTCTAGTATCATTGTGCCCAGCAGGTTTTATGATAAAAGAGTCAGAGTTGATTACACCAGAGGATAGAGCTGCTGGACAGCACTTTTCTGATCTGATCTCTACAGCAAGTAGGAATCTTTCATGTCACTTAGTTAATGAGTTGGAGCTATATCTCCAAGTGTGGAATGTACTTCTAAATCTTGAAGAAGCCTACTAGGTATTGTGTATTATTCTTAGTGATATGACGGGTAAGATGAAATAATTTATCCTTGATTTTAGAGGAAGAGTTTCTCACAGGCTCCAGACTACATCAAAATCTTCATTAATATAGTGTAAATTTGAATATTTGTAGAGTTAATATCCCATGCTTTTTGCTTGTTTGGTGCAAATGGCACAATATTATTGAGACAGAGGGTCTATATGCTGTTCTGTGGAAAATCCAGGTGGTTCCAGTAATTTTAGCTTAAACTATAATGAAGGTGGGAGAGTTTATGTAGTCTCAGGACAGGTTGTAAATAAATATTGCTGTCTATAACGTGTGGATGTGAACTGTGTCTGAGCTTCCTTCCTATAGAGATGAAAGATAATGCAATATACCTAAAACTATGATCGTCTGTTTTAGAAGAAATATTATTTTATGTTTATAGCAGTACAATATCATTTTCCAGTTCCATCTTGGTTGTGAAGGGGCCAGACTAGTAAATTAAATTGAATACGATGACAGTCACTACTGCTGCATCCTCATTCTTTATGTTTTTATAGATGGCACTAATTTTGGTAGTTTTCCTCATGGTTTTATTTTATTTTTTAAACTAGCTTTCTTAGCCAGAAGAATGAACTAGTTTTAGAGGCTTTCACTTAGGCTGCCTGACTGCAGTGGCTTTAAATAAATAAAGGTAAATAAACCAAAATGGGGTTTCAGTGAAATACCAAGTATTTCACAGGTAAATAAGCCAAAATGGGGTTTCTATAAAATACGAAGTATTTTATCCCTTATTATACATTCCCAGACTGGAGAAATAACCAGTCGGTAAGTCTATGGAGCCAGTTGGATGTACAGTGTGCCAGACTTTTCAGATGACTCCATTTACTCGCCCCCTATCCCAATGCTAACAGAAGACCATGATATGCTTTGTATCCTATGTATCAATGTAATCAGTACAGAAATACATAGAATGGTGCTATCTCTTTGTCCTCATGTATACTTAGCTAAGCAAATGGCCGTAGGTTGAAGTCCATTACTGTACACATGTGCAATAAAATCATAGGGTCTTGGAGAACTTCCAGTTGATAGTTTTGTTTGGGAAAATCAGCTCAGTCTGGAAACTGGGCAATAGATTGTGACATTTGGGGGAAGTTGCTCTCATCTCCTTGATTATCCATTCTTGCATTTCTTTGATTTTATAGATTGAGCACCACCCTTGCTGACTGCCTCTGGACACACCATTTTTGTTGAAAAACAAACAAACAAACCATTTTTATATGTCTCTGTGAGTTAGAACTCACTTTTACCTCTCACTCAGCTACCTTTCTTCTGATGGTTAACTGCCACCATCTTGCCTCTCTGGTTTCTGGATCCTGTCATCCTCATAACTATCAGGGGGCTCAGTCTATAACAACACCTCCTACCATCATCACCAGCTTAGAGAGGACAGCCAATGCTGAATTTCCCACTTGTGATGGTGCCTCTCTCAGAAACAAGTTTCTTAACTTTTTGGCCTTCGTATGAAACATAGGCAGGTTTTGAATTTCTAGCCTTACGTTGTATATCAGTCAGAGTTCTCCAGAGAAATGGAACCAATGGGAGAATTTATATATTTATATACTAAGAGATTATTAGAAGATGTTGGTTTACACAATTATAGAGACTGAGATGTCCCGCAATCTAGTCTGCAAACTGGAGAACCAGGGAAGCCAGTAGTGTAGTTTGAAGGCATGACAGCCACAAAGCTGTTGGTGTAGATTCCAGTCTGAGCCTGAAGGCCTGAGAACCAGGAGTGAAGAGGTCAGATCTGTGTCTCAGCTGAACAACTGGGCAGAAAGAGCTCATTCAACCTCCCTCTCCCTTTGTGTTATGTTCAGGCCCTTGATGGCTTGAACATTGCTTACCCCCATTGAGGAGGGCCATCTACTTTATTCAGCTCACTAATTCAAAAGTTAACCCCTTCTCAAAATACCTTCACAGACACATCTAGAAATAATGTTTAACCAAATATTTGGGTATTCCATGGTTCAGTCAAATTGACACATAAAAATAACCACCACATATACTGTATCCATTACCACATGCTCATTTAACTGTCTTAAAAAAAAACACTTTTAAAGGTATAATTTATATCTAATAAATCACATATTTTAAAGTATACAATTTGATAATTTTTGACATATAAATACACTTGTGAATCCATCACCAGATTCAAGATAATAAGCATACCCATTATGTCTAAGTTTCTTTATTCCCTTAAGCAAACCAACCCTGCCCCACCACTACCTCCCATCCCCAGGCTATGACTGAATTGCTCTTTGTCACTATACAGTTAGTTTGCAATTTTTGAATTATAAATGAATGGAATATTTCACAGGGAAAATTTGTGGGGTGAAGAGAGTATTCTTTATATTGATTGAAGTGGAATTTACAGAACTAAGGTATTTGTCAAAATTCATAGAAATGTGCATCTAAAAAGGATAAATTTTATTGTCTGATAATTTTACCTCAAAAAACTGACTTATAAAAAGATAAAATATTTAATGAGATTCAAAAGTGTTTCTAATATAGGCCAAGATCAAAAAGTGGTGGCTATGGGGATCCAATCCAGCCTGTTCGACTCCAGAGCTTAATTTTTGATCACTTTAATTATGATGTAAACTTATTTTAATATGAGTTACTTTAATGTGATAATTTAAAAAGTTCATTCATGCACTGTTTAAACACTTCTAGACTTCTGTGATATTATTGTAGTGATGATTTCCTTTGAAATCCAAGTAAAAGAGGTTTATTTTTACAAACATCAGGACTCTGCCAGGGGACTTCCTTGACTCTTTTTTCCTATCCCACACCTCACCAAAGACATAAACAACAGTTATTGAAAGTAGCTTAGCTTAAAATAGCTCTAAGAGTTGACAAAAGTAAAAAATTATATTTGGGTTATAATTTCATGCCAACTTACATCAGAAATTATATTTGATAGTAATAAAAGAACACACAAACATAGAATATAGGTACTACATGAAATTCCAGACTATTGACCTAATATTCCTAATTGATACTTAAGGAAATCAAAGTCCATAAAGTTACATGATTCATTTGCTGTTATCTAGGTACTTGGTTGAGAAAGAGTCAGAACTACGTCCTGAGTTCTCTGACTCAGACCAATACTCTTTCTTTACTCATATATAATTATCTTGGTGCTGGGAACCAATGTTCTCCTGAGAACTTGAGAAGAGTCATGGCATTTTTAATAAAGCTTGAGATTAATCAATGTGTAGGTCTCTCACCTATGATGATTTATGTATTTACCTAATAGAAAATATATCCTAGTTGAATTACACAAAGTTTGGCAGAAGGGAGCAGGATACTTTCAGGAAAGAATAATTATTATAAAAGCAGTCCTTAAAAGATAATTAGGAATTTTAACGAATCACATTATGGAATATTGAACAAATCACTTGATCTCATTTCTGCAGTCAACTCACATTCATTTTACTTATTACTGTAGAGTGAAGAGAGATACCATTTCATTACTGAACTCATGTAAAAGGGCAAAATCGCCCCTGTATTGTCTCTTTCATAGTGGTGAGCTTGCTCTAGTACTTGTCTTAGTTCCTTGAAGGATATTATCATCAGATTACAAGCTTATATACATTTGTGGTGATTGACTGAGTATACCATTCCCATGAAGTCTTGTCTTAGGAAAAGCAATAATGTCTCCACATTGCTAAATAATGGTTTTCAAACTAAGTATAGACGTTAGTTATTTAAAGCCATTCTAATTTCCTCTCTTATACTGAGCGTAGGTAATGAAAAGTGTAAGATTTTTGAAGTTTTAGAGGAGTTGGCTTTACATTAAAATTTAAAAATAAAGTAAATATGGGTAAGACAGTAATTTATATAAAGTCTGTGTGTCCACCCCAATAACATTGTTATCATTGGATATAACCTTAATTTTTGTTCATTCATAAATCATACATGGCTATCAGTGTTATTCTGAGAAAGGGCCTATTGTATAGTATAAAATATCTCTAGTTGCAATTTAATTATGTTTCTATAACAACAAAATGGAAAAAAATGAGTGATGCCTCTTATGAGTTGAATTGTGCCCACCAAAAAGATATGTTGATGTCATAACCCCCCATACCTTAGAATGTAATCTCGTTTGGAAATAAGATGGTTAAGGATGTAATTAGTTATCATAAGAACATACTGGAATAGGTTGGGTCCTTTGTCCAACATGATTGATGTCCTTATAAGAAGAAGAGAAGCCACACATAGAAACACATGAGGGGAGAACACTATGACACAAGGGAGTCAGAGATCAAACTGTATTCCAGCCAAGGAATTAGGAATTAACAGCAAACCACCAGAAGCTATAGGAAGAGGCAAGAAAGAATTCTTCACTATGGGTTTCAGAAGGAGTTTGACCTGCCAACAGCTTAATTTTGAACTTCTAGCCTCCAAAACTGTGAGACAATAAATTTCTGTTGTTTTAAGACACCTAGTTCATGGTTCTGTGTTGTCAGCCCTAGGAAATGAATACGTTGCTCAAGTGTCTTTTCAGTGCCCGTAGATCTAAAGCGTTTATGTAAGAGAAAAATAATCTTAATTTTCTAGATAAGTGAAAATTCAGACAATATATTTTGCATAAATACATTGCATTAATCATTTTTTAAACATTTCGTATATTTCATGATGCTTTGACATCTTGAGGTCTTGTGGTCCCAGGCTCCTCCCAGGCTTAGCTAATTTCTGGAGACAGCAAACAAGTTGGCTTTGATTTGCAAACCAGCCAGTCTAGGGAGTCCATACCCCAATATCCTCTTCTTTCAAACTGTTACACACAAAGTCACTATTCCTCCTGCCCTGAATCACCCTACAGACTAACCTTATAGCCAGAACCCACTGAAATTATTCAAATTATCTAATCCTAAATTTACTCAGTATGTCTATGCTGTCTCCCTCATTCCTTCCTGTGAGAACCACAATAACGGCTTCGGCTCATGCTTTCCCTGTGCTTTTTCTGCCTTCTGACTGAACTAGGTGCTCTCTCATGTGTCCCTGTGTGGGAACTGAGCCCTCTCTTCTTGGGAACCCAAATTAGTAAACTATTCCTTTTCAAGGCTTTTGTTTTTACATCCGTCATCTTACCATATGTGATTGAAACAAAATCAGAGTATATTTTAAAATGTACATTCACTTTACTGCTATAAATGAACCTGTCAGTATTAACACTGGCAGAACTAGGACCAAAATAGCATTACTCTTTCTTAAAAAAAATGTGTAGAAATGCTGGATAACAACATACATTTTATCTATAATTCTATTGTTGCGTAAAGTTCTATCAACCAGAAGGCTAGATTCTATTATATTGAAAGCATTCCCAGGTTAGAAGATAGAATTTTAGTATCTTTTTGTCTGAACTCTGCCACTCACAAATAGTGTAGTCTTAAGAGAATCAACTACATATATCTGTACTCTGTTTCCTCTTTTGTCTAATCAACATAATCCACATATGTACTCCCTATCCGATAGTATTCCTCTGAGTAATGCTTTCTCACACATTTACTGTAAACTCACAATGTGACAGTCAACATGCTAGGCCACCACACTAAATACAAAGATGAAGCCTATTTGTCATTTTCCATTGAATAAAATAAAAATGTCATGTAAATATGCCATGGAGAGTCAAAAGAGCTATGTGGACTTAAACTGTTTTTCATCATTATTACTTTTATTGACTACATGTTAAAATTCAGATAGCATTAAAAGCATCAACAAGACCTGTAACATAAGATATAAAACATACAAGGTAGGTATAACTGATCAATAACTTCATATTTAAAGATTTATTTTCAGGAATCTGGGAAGCTCTGTGTTAAATCCAGTCAATAAATTCCAAAAAAACAAACAAACAAAAACACATTATAAGCCTGAAAGAACACATAATGGGAGACAAGAGATGAAAGGCCCCAGTATCCAAAATTGAGCAATATACCATACTGCTCATTCTCAACTCTTGTTAGTTCTGGATAATGTGTCCAGGAGCCTTTCTTAAAATCTCTCAAATTTATATGATATACATTCTCTGCATAAAAGGAGGTCCCTACCCATCAATCACTGTGCAAAGTGTAGGGTTTTAATTTGTCTATTATCATTTTACAGTTTTTTGCTAAACAATACAATATTATTTCCTTTCACAAAAACTGAATGAGTATTGCAAAATGGAAGTAAATATATGTGTGTGTATGTGTCTGTGTATTTATACATACTAAATATGTCCCATTAACATAAGTTTTATCATTAAAATACTGTTTTGAAATAATTTATAAATCATATAAAATACATTTTGTAGTGATAAATAAATGAAAAACTACAAAGTAGTTTTATAATATGTCAGGGATATACCATGCTGACATAGTAAAGAGAATTAAAAAATAACAATGACTTTCTTTTGTGAGATGTGGGCTGATTATTACTTTTTCCTGAATATCCACCTACTTTATTCTGAGTTCTTGTGACTTTTAGGGTGGAAAATAAAAGCTTTGCAAAATAAATCTACACATTAAATTGACCTATTCCAAAGCATTTTATTTTAAAGAGTAATAGCTTTAATATGTCTTTTTCTAAATTATATTTTTTAAAGTTTATTTTCCAAAAATTGCATTTTGGTTTGGGTATTTAAAAAATAACTGTAAGAATGCACCTCAGGCTTTTTAGGCAAATAGAAAAATATTAGTAAGCTATATTCAAAAATGTATAAGAAAAAATTATTTAGCCATATCTTTCTTGTAACTACATGTAACTTATACTGCAGAATTTTATTTAACCTGATTTTTAAAGCTTTTGCCATTTAATTATGGCTAAAATGAGTGGTATTTGCCTAATCCATTTTCCTAAGCCATCTGCCACACAATGCTGCATATTTATTTCTAAGACGTGATCTGTCCTAAATTTGTGAAAATAAAATACAGTTTATGTTTAGGATCTAGTCATTTATTTAAAATTTTAATTTCAGTTTTGGTTTTGGAAGATGTAATTCTATAATTTATGTAAGAAATTTTTTAACATTTTTCTAGTTCCTTATATGTATGAAGTTTTTTTCCCTGAATATCATTATCTATATATAAATACAAAGCAGACATTGTCATTTGAGAATTTCTCTTTGAGCTAATTCACTTTTTAATTTAATGCTGCAACACTGTACTATTTTCCATAAAGACCTAGCATCTGTATTCTTTTAGAAAAAAGGTTTTCTCTACTAATCATTTTTTAAAATACATTAAAAACTCAAAATAAACCATAACAGAGTTAATCACTAATTGTATATCCATTTAGTAAAAAAAGTAACTTATTAGTTAATATTAGTCAATATTAATATTAATCAATATTAATAAGTTACTAAGTAATTAATAAGATAATTAATATTAATCACTAATTGCATATCTTTTTAGTAAAAAACAGTAACTTATTTAATATGGTTCAGTTGTATATTAATTTAGTGTACTTTCATAACAAAGTCAGTTTAGCCAAAATTTTGAGCTCCTCTTAGACTTTCATATTTCATTCTGAAATTGACCCATATCCCTTCCAAAGGAGTCAGAAAATGATTGGGGTATGGGTAGAGAAAAAGCGGTTTTGTCGTGTCTTAGAAATTTGAGCATATAAGAAGTGGGTCATTTTCTGCCAGAAGCTGCTCTAGTAATTATTTATTTATTGGTTGGAGGTTAAAGAAGACTTTAGGGCAGCAATATGGTTGGGAATGTGTTTAAGCTACACTGTTTATAGATGCAACCCCAAGCTCCTTCATGTGAGAATAAGATATTTGTGAATTGCTTAAATATGGTGTAGATTACTAATAACTTGAAGACTTACAGAGATCCCTCTCCACAACCTACCTGTTTACAGTGCTACCAATTCCTTCCCAGAGTGCCAAAGAATAGTCCTCAAGAACAATTATAAAAGGTTACCTATTTTTTAGTTTCATAGGAAGAAAAATATAGTCAGGCACCAAGTCATTTCTCCTGCACAAAGCTAAATTAGAAAATAAAGACAAAATATTCTGCAAAGTTGGCAAGCAACAGAAAAGTATAATAGCCTTGATAGAAAGGTAAAATATAAAAAACTTTCATGAAATAGGGACCATGTCTTGTTTTCTTGTATGTATATGTGTATATATACATACACACATACACATACACACACATTTATACATATATGTATATGCATATATATATATATATATATATATATACACCAAGAAATATATATAAGTGTGTGTGTGTGTACATTTTACCACATTGACAGTGTCACACCCTTAGGTTATAGAGTTATGAGTTTGAGGGTTAGGATATCCCGTTCAATTACATATTTATTTAATCAACCTGTTATTGAATGCCTAATGTTTCCTTCGATTCTATATTCTAAAAATATAATAAGAACAATGACAATTCCTGAACACCACTATTTTCAGGTAGAATTGGATGGAGAGACAACTGCAAAAAATGTATTTTCACATAAGTGGTGTGACCTGTTTAATACACGATGCTATTAGAGCATATAGGAGGGACGAATCATAACCCATTTCTGAAGATCATTCATATTTCTTTAGCTTAAACAATTTTATATTAAAATTACTTTGAAATGTAGACTATTATCAAATCATTGCTTTTTAAAGTGTTAATGTTTATTGTGATAATCATAGTTATGCTTTAGATAATTAGTTTTAGAAAGCAAGAACAGAACCTTTTGACCTTACCAAATAATTGTGGCATAATGAAATCTGATGTCCCATTTACAAATAGTAAGAATTCCTCACCTATATAAGAATATCTAGCCATTCAAGAAGCTCAACTTACCCCAAAGAGAAATAAATGAAAAGAATACCACAAATAAGAATACCAGAAATAGGTATATATTTGTCAAACTGCTTAAAACTAATAATAAAGAGAAAATCACTAAAGCAAGAATAAAAAGAGTACAACAACAACAACAAAAATCTGTAAAGAGATTAGAAAAAGTCAGTGCAAAATTTTATACCCAGTAAGAATATTCTGTAAAAATAAGTTTCAAATAAAGACATCAGATATGTGAATTTGTAACCAGGAGAAGTTCACTAAGATAAATTCTGAAGATATAATACAAAATGAAATGGATCTAACGAAGGAAAGAAAAAAATCAGGAATGGCATGTAAGTGTTTATAGGACCGACAAAAAGTTTGTGTTTCTCTGTGTACTTTCTTGATATGATAATTAAATTATAAAGGAAAAATAATAGCATTATAAATTGAGGCTTAAAACATAAGTGCAAATGAAATATATGACTATATAAGAAAAAGAGTGTGAAGATAAATGAAATTGTAGTCTTATAGGGCTACAAATATAAAGCACATAATATAATTTGGAAAATAAGGAGTGTGATTTCTTAAGTGAAGTGGGAAGTGGAATAAAATGGCACATATTAATTCTAAGTTAATTTTAGTATGTAAAGAATGCATAATGTAATACCCAGAGTAACCAGAAAAAATGGATAGATGACAGATATAAAAAAGCCAATGGAGAATCCAATATAGAAAATGCAATGAAATACTGAAGACTGACTATTCATATGCAAGAGAATAAAGCTAGACCCCTATATGCCACCCTATACAAAAATTATCTCAAGATGAATTAAAGTCTTAAATATAACACCTGAAACTATTAAAATCCTAGAATAAAACCTGGTTAAAACTCTTCTGGACACTGGCCTAGGGAAAGAATTTATGGCTAAGACCTCAAAAGTAAATGCAACAAAAAGAAAAATAGACAAATGGAACTTAATTAAACTGAAAAGCTTCACAGCAAAAGAAATAATCAACAGAATAAACAGATAACTTACACAACAGGAAAAAATATTGGCAAATTATGCTCTTGACGAAGGTCTAATATCCAGAATCTATGAAGAACTCAAACAACTTAACAAGAAAAACACAAGTAACCCAGTAAAGAGTGGGCAAAGGACATAAACATTCATTTCTCTAAAGAAGACATACAAGCTGCCAACAAACATATTTTTAAAAAGTGCTCAACATCACTAATCTTCAGAGAAATGCAAATTAAAACCAGAATAAAATATCATCATGTACCAGTCAGAATAACCAGAAGGTGAAAGACACCTTCATTTTGTATGCTTATCATGGCACTGTTCACAATGGCAAAGGCATGGAATCAACCTACATGTCTATCAACAGTTGACTGAATAAAGAAAATCTGGTATGCATACACAATGGAATCTAAGCACCCACAAAAAAATAAAAATAAAAACATGTCTTTTGAAGCAACATGAATGGAGCTGGAGGTCACTATTCTATGTGAAATAACTCATAAACGGAAAATCAAATGCCACATGTTCTCACTTATAAGTGGGAGCTAAACAGTGGGTACACATGGACATACAGAGGGAAATAATAGACATTTGGAATCTTCAAAAGCAGGGAGAGGGGAGAGGATAAAGAGTGAAAAATTATCTGTTGGATACAATGTTCACTATTTGGGTGATGAGTACACTAGAAGTCCCAACCCCACCAAAATGCAATATATCCGTGTAACAAATGTACATGCATATGTACTCTCTGAATGTGAAAGAAAATAAAATATAAAAACAGAAGGCAAATTGCACTGTGAAACAAAAGGAGAACAGACAAATGGAAAAAACCATAGAAAGATGTAATTATACCAATAATTACATTACAAACAGACTAAATTCTTCAATTAAAATACCAAGAGTATCAGATTTGACATCAAAGCAAATCTACTAAACCTACTAAAAACTTTCTTCAAAAGGTGTGTAAAAGAATAGTATTACACCGGACACTTTTTAAAAATGACATGACAGATTTTATTTGAGCTAAAGTAGTAAGGAAGAGAGACTTGAGTATAAAACTGAGGTCAACTCTGAATACAGCAAAGACAGTTAGGAATTTAGAAATGCTCCTTAACTTACGATAGGGTTACATCCTTTAAAACCCAATATAAGTTGAAATTATTGTAAGTCAAAAATGCATTTAATATACCTAACCTATCAAATATCACAGCTTAGCCTAATCTACCTTAAATGTGCTCAGAACACTGACATTAGCCTACAGTAGGGTAAAAGCATTTAACACAAAGCCAATTTTATAGTAAAGTGTTGAATGTTTTATAGACTTTACTGAATAATGGGCTGAAAGTGAAAAACAGAATAGATTGGCTATTCAAAGCATGATTTCTACCGTATGCATATTGCTTTCACATTAACTTAAAGTTGAAAAATCAAAAGTTGGTCACCCTTTGGATGGCCAAAGAACAGAGTGAAAGGGTCAGTTGATGGAAAATTACTAAGAAGAAATAGCAAGGGTAAGGGGATTCTTGCTAAACTGGCTTAACAGGACTCTTGCTAAAGGCAAGCCAAAGAATTAGACATTAGGGTAGAGACAACAAATTTAATCAGATATCAAGAGTGGGAAGATTCTGGCCACACTGACTTAGCAAGATTCTTTTCTAAAACTAGGCTCACCAGGCAAGGGGTATGGTGGCAGTCCAAAGGCAGAGAAGCCAGCCCAAGTCAGGATCTAATTGAAAAGAAGACCCAGAAGAGCATGACTAATGTTTGATCAAGGAGGAAGTCTTTGTCTGGTGCATTTTATTTTATTCTTTTATTTTATTTTATTATTTTTATTTTTTGAGACAGAATCTTGCTCTGTCACTCTGGAGTGCAGTGGTGCAATCTCAGCTCACTGCAGCCTCTGCCTCCCAGATTCAAGCAGTTCTTGTGCCTCAGCCTCCTAAGTAGGTGGGATTACAGGCACACACCACCACACACGATTAATTTTTGTATTTTTAATTCAGATAGGTTTCTACCATGCTGACCAACTCCTGACCCCAAGTGATCCACCCCACCTCAGTCTCCCAAAGTGCTGGGATCACGTGAGCCACTGTGCCTGGACTGTCAGGTGCCTTTCAAAATATAAAAGCAAAAGTAGAATGAAGGAAAAAGTGAAAAGATATATGAAGTACAAATAAAAGTCACATGGAAGTTTGTGTAACTGCAGTAAAATAATAAAAGGTAGACTTGGAGTGATGGAGAGTAATGTCTTATAAAGTTAATAGACCAATTCATCAGGAAGACACAATTATCCTAAATTTTTTATAGCTAATATATGAACCTCAAAATATAGAAAATTTTAAAAAATGACAAATAAAGAGAAAAACACTATCAACTAGATTGGCTTTTGTGATATATAATAGTGAGAGGTACAGAAATCAATAAAATAGAAAACACAAATTAAGGGCAATTTTATAAAGCGAAGTTTCTTAATGAATAAATTGACAAAATTGATAAATATCTGCAGATTATAACCAAGATAAAAGGAGCAAATCACATATTACCAACATCAGGAATTGAATAACAGTTATTTGTACAGATGTTATAGAAATTTTAAAAATATTATGAACAATTTATGAAAATATGTGCAACATAGTTGAAAAGGACACAGTTAAAAAAACAAAATTTGGGAAATATAATTTAGGACACATTTTAAATATGAGTATTTCTATGTTGAAAACCGAAATTTATTTAAAGAATCAAAATAAAACCTCCACACAAGAAAAATATGGCACAGATATTTTCATTTGTGAATATTAAAAGAAAAATCTGGGGGAAATTTTATGAAATGGATATCCAAATTTTTTCATAAAACTGAGGAGCGAATAATCTGTAACTCATTGTGAGGTCAAAATAATTCTGATACTAAAGCTTGATACATATATAAAAATTGAATAGAGATCTATATACCTAAAGAACATGAAAGCAAAAATCATCAACAAAAGTTTATTAAATAAAATTGTTATTATGATCTAGTGGGTTTTTTTCAAGAATAAATGGTTAGTTACGCATTTGAATATTAATGTGTTTCAGCATTTTAACAAAATGAAAAAAATTATTATCTTAATGGCTACAACAAAATTCAACACATCTATGATAAAATTCAACATCAGTTCAACGTTCATGATAAAATCACTAAGAAAATTAGAACAGAAGATAATCTTCTCAGTTGCATAAGGAACATCTGGTAAAATTGTCAGATAATATCACATTAAGGAAGAGGTATTGAAAATTTTTCTATCATGCTCATGCGTTGGAAAATTCAATTTGTGTTAAGATGTCAATTCTCCACAAATTGATCTATAAAGCCAATTCAGTGACAAAATATTATTTTCAGAGAAATTGATAAGTTAATACCAAGATTCATATGAAAATTAAATGGACCTAGAACAGCTAAAGTGAACTTAAAATGAAGAAAGTTGAAGAACTTGCACAACCTAATTTCAAGACTATGGAACTACAGACATCCAGACAGTAATGTGATGGTGAAAGAAGTTGAGGATGAATGAAAGAGAATAGTGCAGTTTGAGCTAGAGTCACACATTTACTGCCAATTGATTTCCAAAAAAAAAACCTAAAGGCAATTCAAAGGAAATGATATACTTTTTAGAAAATGGTGATGAAAGAATTGCATATCCATAAAAATAATAATAAAAAATCTATCCTAATCTCACACCATACTAAAAAATTAACTCTAAATTGATAATAGACATAAACGTCAAAGTGAAATCTAAAATATTTCCAGAAGGAAACAGAAGAGAAAACCTTTGCAAAAGTTGGATAGGCAAGTGATTCTTGGTGCAAAAAGTACCTATTTTAAAAAGTAATGAATTAAACATCATAAAAATAAAAAAGTATCTTCTTCAAGAAATAATAATGAAGAAATATAAATGCAAAATACGAATGAGTAAATATTCAAAATTCAATTTGCAGACAAAGCACATGTGTCTAAAATACATAATGAACTCCTACAGATTATTAATGAAACACAAACAATCCAATAAACACTGGGTAGATAACTTGCACAGAAACTACACTAAAGAAGACAAATCGGCCGGGCACAGTGGCTCACGCCTGTAATCCCAGGACTTTGGGAGGTGGAGGTGCGTGGATCACGAGGTCACGAGATCGAGACCATCCTGGCTAACATGGTGAAACCCCGTCTCTACTAAAAATACAAATAATTAGCCGGGTGTGGTGGTGGGCGCCTGTAGTCCCAGCTACCTGGGAGGCTGAGGCAGAAGAATGACATGAACCAGGGAGGCGGAGCTTGCAGTGAGCCGAGATCACGCCACTGCACTCCAGCCTGGATGACAGAGTGAGACTCCATCTCAGAAAAGAAAAAAAAAAAAAGAAAAATCAATGGCCAATAAGATGAAAATATGTTCAGCATCATTAGATGTTAGGAAAATAAAACTAAACCCCACTGCAATCCTCATTTCACACTTATTAAAATGACTAAAATTTAAAAGTGTTGGAAAGAACATGGAGCAATTTGATCTGTCCTACATTGCTGATTGGAGTGTAAAAATGGTACAACTACTTGAGAAACCAGTTGGGAAGTTTACTACAGAATGAACCATGGTGTTACCATATATCTCAGCCATTTCACTGCCAGATATCTACCTAAAAGACAAACATTTGTCCACAAAATTCCTGTACCTGAATATATATAACAATTTAAATTTTTAATGTCCTAAAACTATAACTCAAATTTTATCAGCAGGTAAATACATGAACAAATACAGGTGAATACATAAATTTTCCAAGTTCATCTGAAGGAATATTGTTCAGAGATAAGACAAAATAAACTGCTTACACGCACAACAACATGAATGAATCTCACATACATTTTGCTGACTGAAAGGAGACAGTCACAAAGGAGTACATACTGCATGGTTCCATTTATATGAATACCTAGAACAGGCATAACTAATCTATAGTGATTGACATAAGATTAATGGTTCCCAGGGGAAGAGGGTTGGGTAAGATGGCATAAGGAAACTGTTTTTTATCTTGACTGAGGTGATTGTTAAATGAGTGTATACATTTGTCGAACATTTCACCTAAAATGTATGTAATAAATTATTATCTGCATATTTACCTTAATCAAATTGATTATAAGAAAAACAAAAAATAATATAAAATATTTATTTTCTTTTTATGTAATAAATTAAAAGTAAAGTAAAAAATTAAAGTGATAGTGCATTTTATAATTTCATTGTTTCTCTCATTTATGTAAAATAATTATTATATTCTTACATGTTAATTTCCCCTAGTTATTAAGTCCCCTTTTTTAATGAAATGTAAACACTTAAGCACAATATTTTTCTCCTGGAAATTTTCTAACTATTATTTGGGTAGTCTAGCTTCTGATGTTTTTGATTGGCCATAGTCATTGTTTTTCTACATTGAGAGAGAGAGACAGAAAGAGCGAGAAAGACAAATGAGCAAATTAGGTGCAGAAGGAGTCTCAAGTGGGAGCTCTGCATCAGTGGACATAATGACCATCACTGTCAGCTGAACATAAGAGGACAAGACAATTAGACATCACAAAGAAAAAAAAAAAAACATGGAGAAGAAAAGCTGCCAAAATGTTCCACTAATTAAATCTTTTGGCTGACTGGAAAAGCAGGAGAGGACAGGATGCAACAGCTTTTCCATTGAGCTTCAGTTATGTAATTGATGAAAATGTCCCTTGTCATTGAAACATAAGGCCACAAAGATGTAGGTAAGCTATTACATACGCCTTTAGACTCTATTTTACATGTTAAATATTTAAAAATGTTATAAAGTTCAAATAAAATCATGACTATATAGTTAAGTATAAAATTAAGAAATGTAAATTAAGTTTCTTCAGGGAATGTGGACATTTCTGTGTCTTCTCTGAGCCAATCAGGCATTGTGCTAGTTGTGCTACATGAATCTACATGATAGAGTTTCTGACCTGCAGATAGTAGTTTAGGCGTGATGATGGATATATAAATGACTAGCAGGTAATAATTTGAAATATTGATCACTTAACTTTTATTTATTTGTTTGTTTGTTTGTTTGTTTGTTTATTTATTTATTCGAGATAGAGTCTCACTCTGTTGCCAGGCTGGAGGGCAGTGGCACGATCTCGGCTCACTGCAACCTCCGGCTCCCAGGTTCAAGTGATTCTCCTGCCTCAGCCTCCCAAGCAGCTAGAACTACAGGCATGCACCACCACATCCAGCTAATTTTTGTATTTTTAGTAGAGACGGGGTTTCACCATGTTAGCCAGGATCATCTAGATCTCTTCGTGATTCGCCTGCCTTGGTCTCCCAAAGTGCTGAGCTTAACAGGCATGAGCCACCATGCCCAGCCGAACTTTTCATTCTTACTTTTTGTCTATTTAACTGTCTTCCAATCATTCGTAGTCATCCATTATGCCTTGAGGAAAATTAACATTTTGATAGGTGATGCTGAGAAGAACAAGGACAATACTTAGTTTTTATTTGTTTGTATTTTACTTCAAATATTGGCTATTTGGTACAATAAAGGAATGTCTAAGCAAATCAGGGCTATGAGATATGTCTTAGGTGGAAGTGAACTGGGAAAAGCTGAAAATGAGGGGTCTTGAGGGAGAAGATATGAACAAGCACTGTTTTGAGGCAGACTTAAGGAGGCTTGTAGATGTTGAGCTATTGTGCACCATTCAAACAAGTATCAGGCTTGCAGATAAGTCAAGTAAGCTCTAACGCTCTAGAAGAAGCAAAAACCATTTTGAAAGAAATGCCAGTCTAGTCAAACTCCTCTGTCCATGCAATTTTTTTCCAACAAACTTCCCAAACAGCTAGTGAAATTATTTCAGAATTCTTTGACATTCACAGAGCCATGAGAGGATAAAAACGTGTACAATTCAACATGTGCACTTGGGTATAACTGAATTGTTCTTAAAACATATCTACTTTCAAATGTAATTGTGAAAACGTGTTAAAATAAGGTTATGGACTAAAGAACTAAACACAAGGAAAAAAAGACAACTAAAATTCCTAGAGAAAGAAAAAGTCTGCCTTGGAGTAGTTGAAATATCTGCACTTTCATAACACAGGTAATATAGGTTCCACTATTTGCAGTTTTAACTGCTTTCATATTCAAACATGCTTAATTATTTAATCTCACCCATTGGATATCATCACCTCCAGTTCACAAATAAGGAAGCTGAGTTAGAAATTAAATAACTTGCTAAGTAAAGCAAACAAACAAAAATTAAAAATAAAATAATTTTTATTTTTAATTAAAATTTTAATTAAAAAAAATCTTGCTCAATTCTACATAGCGAACAAGTGTTTGTTGGGAAGAGAGTCATCAAGGGATGTATGAAGAATAAGAGCATTCCAAAAAATAACACGGAACAGTGAATTGCGTGTTCAGAGAAAAGTATACTTTAAGATTGGATATGTTTGTGTGTATTATGGATTCATTTATGGTGCCTTCATCCTGCCACCCAAGACATATTTAATGCCACAGAATACTCTGTTAAAGAGTAGCTGAATAGGCCGGGCGCGGTGGCTCACGCCTGTAATCCCAGCACTTTGGGAGGCCGAGGCGGGCGGATCACGAGGTCAGGAGATCGAGACCATCCTGGCTAACACGGTGAAACCCCGTCTCTACTAAAAATACAAAAAATTAGCCGGGCGAGGTGGCGGGCGCCTGTAGTCCCAGCTACTCGGGAGGCTGAGGCAGGAGAATGGCGTGAACCCCAGGGGGCGGAGCCTGCAGTGAGCCGAGATTGCGCCACTGCACTCCAGCCTGGGCGACAGCGAGACTCCGTCTCAAAAAAAAAAAAAAAAAAAAAAAAAAAGAGTAGCTGAATAAATAGCACATGGTAGGGAGAGAAGTACTGAGACATATTTACGAGAGAAAAATGTTTTAGTGTTTCTTATCATGTTGAAGAAGAGTGAACGGAATAATCAAGAAAATTTTAAATTTGTATGGTATTATTTTCTTTAAGGCTATAGTTCATTTGCAGCAAATAACAGGAAAATAAAGGTAAAGATGATATTGATCAAATGATCAGCCGTCAACTACAAATAACAATATTTATGGGCAGAGGAATTGATATGATTTAAATAAGATTAACAAAGTGGATCATAAGCCTCAATTCAGTAGTACATGCATGAATCATACACTGATACCAGTCTTTAATAGTAAAACGCCAAAGGGACAACAGCAGAACATTTCTGGCGTTATTAGTATAAAGATGCAGAAGCAAGCATAAAAAATTACAAAATGGAGAAAATGGAGAAAAAATAAGAGGTTAAACACCAGATTTAAGTAAACAGAGATAGATTTATAATAAAGATAGCTGATACATAGGTCCCACTATTTACTATTTTAACTGCTTTCGTATTCAAACATGTTTAATCATTTAATGTCACCAATGAAGTATCATTATATACAGTTCACAGTGAGGAAGCTGAGTTAGAGAGAAATTAAATAACTTGCTTTGTAAAGCAAACAAGCAAGAAATTAAAAAAATAAATAAATTCAGCAAAAAAATCTTGCTCTATGCCACAAAGTAAACAAATGTTTTATTTAATATTATTTATTGTTAGATAGATATGTATTAGATTTTGTGTTCTTATCCAACATACTATATTTTCTCTCTACATTAAATTAATAATTTAAATTATCTAGAAAGGGTGTGATAAAAACCCTGAGTATTTTTATGTACTTATATATTCTTTAAAATTATCTTATATAGTGAAAACAGAAAATATATGTTAATTGTTCAATTCCTTTTAAAATGGCTTAATTTTGGTTTATTTAATTGTCAACATTTTAAATTATTGGTTATCTGCCTTATATACCTACAAAAATAAATTTTAGAAGCATTAAATAATTTAAGCTAATATTCAGTGGCATCAGTCTCAAGGTGTCCATTCTAGAGGTGATTCTCAAATAACAGGTGTGCTTTTCCTCTTTTATCCTAATGCATATCTTATATGTTATTTCTTTGTAGTTCTTTCTCCTTTATTTTCCAAAAAGCATAAAATCATGAGAGACTAATTACAGTTTTATTGGTAAACATTCAAAGTATTGTAAACCTGACATATAATCTGAACTATCACTTTATGGGATTGAAATTCTGTGAGTCTAATTTTTTTGTGTGCTTCATTAAAATGGTGACTATTACCATTTTTTTTAAAAAACCTGGAATTGAATAGTTATCTTTGCTATAGAATTGTGAGTAGTTAAAAAAAAGTATGATAGATATTTATGAGAAAAAGTCACCCACAATCACCCAGAATCTTATATTCATGCTGTTACATTTGATATTTTAGTTTGTCCATATTTTATTTTTGCATATATATATACATATATACCCACATAAATATATACTATATATGAATGAACTCATACTACACAAAGTGTTTTATGATATTTTTTCACATAAAATAAATATACAATACATTGGTTTGCCTTATTGATTGATATAACCAAATAATACAAATTGTGTGGCATAAA
Organism: Homo sapiens; assembly: GCF_000001405.40. Classification (NCBI taxonomy): domain Eukaryota; kingdom Metazoa; phylum Chordata; class Mammalia; order Primates; family Hominidae; genus Homo; species Homo sapiens. The sequence goes on along the minus strand of NC_000004.12, from coordinate 45,697,910 downwards.
ATGTAAATAAATGTAATAAGACGTATTTGTTCAATTAGATTTTCAGTGAGCCTCTGCTATAAGTAAGTGACACAAAATTTAAAAGTTGAAAATAAATGGTCACCTTCCTCAAGGATGCTAGATCTCTGTGTTAGTCTGTTTTGCATTGGAGTAAAGGAATACTTGAGGCTGAATAGTTGATAAGAGAAAGAGGTTATTTGGCTCACAGTTCTGCAGGCTATACAAGAAGCATGGTGTGGCGATTGTTTGTGGTAAAGATCTGAGGAGGCTTTTAACCATGGTGTCAGGTGAAGGGGAAGTAGGCATGTCATATGGCAAGAAAGGGAACAAGAGGCAGAGAAAGATGCCATGTTCTTTTACACAACCAGTTCTCTTGTGAACTCACTTATTACCACGAAGATGTGAGGACATGAGGAGGACACCAAGCCATTTATGAGGGACCTGCCTCCATGACTAAAACACCTCTCACTAGGCCCACATCCAAAATTGGGAATCAAGTGTCAACATGAGATTTGGAGGGGACAAATTTCCAAACGGTATCAGTTTCTTTTGGAAAAGAAAAAAAGAGTAAAGAAGTTTACTTTTAGATTGCAATGTTAGGAAATAACAACACAAAAGGAAAGAAAAAAATGGTTTTTTGAGAAAGGTGTTGAAAAATACAGAGGATTTGTTAAGTGGAATTGAATTACTGGAACAAGTTCATGCAGTCAGTTAATTATCATTTTTTTAAATAATAGTGATGTATAAGATGCTATGTGTCATCTCTCAACCAAATACTTCAAAATTATATATATATACGCCTATCTTCAGGAAATGAAATGGGGAAGAAACCCCATCCTGCAACAAGATAAAAGACATAAAGCTCTTAACACAAGCCTAGCTGTCAAAAATAGTTTGACCTTAGTATTATTAGCTGCCAAGCAGTGAGCCATGCATTTTTGATAATCATCTAGAATTTTTTTCAAAATAGCTACAAACTGAGACAAATTCTCCTTTTAGGGCAAAGAAGCAGAGACTCAGAAAAGTAAATACCTTTCCCCAAATCATTCAGCTCTTCTGGGCTGGAGTTAGGAGTAACACCATTCTCTGTCTGACTCTAAGGTCCAGGCTTCATGCATTAAACAAAGATGCCTCTTCTTTCTGCAGTTACTGATGACTTATATTTGCAATCGTATATATAGTACAATTATTATTTTAAAATTATTGAGAAAAAATATAATGGAATATAGCAGAAAATATGCTGTCTTTCACAGAGTGATGATTTGTGATGTAGCACATCTACTAGATGGGGAATTTTAAAATTTGCATGTAGCTGTAGCAGAATGTGGGAATAGACATATGTCACTCTGTGATTTTGAAGATAGTTAATATCTTGTTGGGTATACAACATTACTTGATGTCAGAAAAACAAATTGTCTGACTTAATGAGCAAGAAAAGTGACATAATTGCCTAGAGAACATGATAGACCTAACAAAAATGCATGGGGAGTTCGAAATTGATCATTAGGACTAGCAGAAAAGTATGTAAATGGTTATAAGATCAATAACAATTGAATGGGTGATAATTAAGGAAACAAAAACTGTAAGGAATGTTTGGATATGTATAAATAAGTGTTTATTATGCCCTAAATTGTAAGTCAAATGATATATGTTGACTGAGTTACATCTTATAACATTAAAAAATTCCTAAGGACACAAGAATAAGGAAAGTTCTCTCTCCATCAACCATAGAGGTAATAGCATGGTTAGGAAAGGAGACTTTGGAGCCCAGCACCTTACTGGTGCTTTTTCTAATATTGATAACATTATTTAATCACTCTTTGCCTCAATTTTTTAAAATGTTAGGTTGGTACAAAGGTACTTGTGGTTTTGGACCATGAATTTTAAATCATTATAACTAGGCTCAAACACATCTTTATTAATCAAAATAGGAACCATTACAATCAACACAATTTTGCCAATGAGAAATCAGTTTGTTTATTTTTATAGCATAAAAATCTGTGCTTTGGGATTTGACAAACTCTTGGAGAGCATTTTCTGCATCCTGCTGGCTGTGGAATCATTTTCCCCACAAAAAGTTGTCGAGATGCCTGAAGAAGTGGTAGTTGGTAGGCAAGAGGTCAGGTGAATAAGGTGGATGAGACAAGACTTCGTAGCTTTGAAGCATTAGTTGTGCGAAATCTGGTTGGGTATTGTTATGGAGAAGAATCGTGCCCTTTGTGTTGACCAGTGCTGGCTGCAGGCATTCCACTTTTCGGTGCATCTCATCGATTTGCTGAGCATACTTCTCAGATGTAATGGTTTTGCCATGATTCAGAAAGCTGTGGTGGATCACACTGGCAGCAGACCACCAAACAGTGATCATGACCTTTTTTTGGTGCAATTTTGGTGTTGGGAAATGCTTTGGAACTTCTTCTTGGTCCAACCACTGAGCTAGTCATCATCAGTTGTCATAATTTTTATCGCACGTCACAATCCAATTGAGAAATGGTTCATTGTTGTTGCCTAGAATAAGAGAAAACAACACTTCAAAATGACAATTTTTTTTAAATTTTCACTCAGCTCATGAGGCACCCACTTATTGAGCTTTTTCACCTTTCCGATTTGCTTCAAATGCCAAACAACCATAGAATGGTCAACGTTGAGTTCTTTGGCAACTTCTCGTATAGTTGTAAGAGGATCAGTTTCAATGATTGCTCTCAATTTGTTGTTGTCAGCTTCTGATGGCCAGCCACTATGCTCCTTATCTTCAAGGCTCTCGTCTCCTTTGTAAAACTTCTTGAACTACCACTGCACCATTTGTTTGCAGTTCCTGGGCCAAATGTATTGCTGTTGCGAGTTGTCTCTGTTGCTTTACAATCCATTTTGGACTCAAATTAGAAAATTGCTAGAATTTTATTTTTGTCTTTTGTCTAACATCATTTCCATAGTCTAAAATAAACATAAAATAAACAGCAAGTAATAAATCATTAGCAAAAAAAAAACAACAACAAAAGCAAGAAATGCCCATTGAAATGATGTATAACATAACCACATTTAAGAAAGTATCCTAATATCAAACGGCAAATTCCAACAATGCAAAAACCATAATTACTTTTGTACTCACCTAAGATGGGAATATAATAGTCTTTACCTCATAGGTTATTTAGTTGCCTGAATAAGACAAAACAAAATGTAAAGTGCAGAGTTCTGTGCTTTGTACATATTCAACATTTGGTGAAACATAGCTTTTATTATTTCTGCTGCTGCTTAACATGCTTCATTGTGTCTGTGGCTTCCTTGACTCTTTCCAGAAGAATCTTGAGAAGCAAACTGCGTTATGGTTGAGACAGATTTGATCCAGACCATTCTTATTTTTAGTCACACAACTAAACTCCTAGATGAGTTGGGAATCACCAAGCAAGTTAATTAAATATTGTTAGAAAAGAGTCCTCTTTGAGAACCTCTTCAAAGCTGTATCTATTGAGCTTGCCAGGTGCCCCAGGAGGTCAATTAGGAAAATGAGCTAAACTGAAACTAACAATCAAGACTTTATTCATTTACTGTGACAATATAAGCAAGTAGACAAAAAGAAAGGCATCAACTCCCAGTGTTCCATTTCTTCCTGCAGGATGGCAATAGGAGAGGGTCTGAAGACAAAGCAGCATAGGTGGGGGGAATGATCTCAATGCTGAGGAGCCCTAAACAAGGGCTCCTTCATTCTTATGGACCTAACGAGCCCAGGAAGAAAAAGGAGGATTGGCTAACAAAGGAATAGCAGAGACCATGAGTGGAGAAGAGTGCCTTAGCCAAGGTCTTCTGATAAGGAGGCCTCAAAATGGAGGTTCCTGGGCTAGGAATGCAAATATTCTTATGAGCATAGCTGGCCTTGGAAGGCCTGAGTCCTTGACTCAAGCTCCTCCAGACACTGAAATGCACTGGGTGTGCACCAAGTTTGGTATGTGGAGGGCAATTTTCCCATGTGAGGCCTGCAAAGTAAAGCAAGTCATTGCCTATGGTCAGGCCTGAAAGGTCACACAGAGGATTTTGGCCTTCAGCCAGACTCCTCACTGTCTACAGATAATTTGTGTATGCTGTTTCATTACATTGGATTTACTCTTAAACAAAATCTCAGAACACAACTTTAAAAATAAATGGCATATTTCTCACACTATGAAAAAATTAATTCCCACTTTCTAAAACAAATCCAAACCAAAAAAAAAAAGTCACTTTTCCTTCTGCACAAAAATGCATTTAAACAAAAATTTTCATTTGGTATAAATTGTTGACATTTTGCCAGGGTCATTTTCGTGCCAATATCTACCTCAACTTTGGCAAAAAAGAAAGTAGATTTTGTTTGCTTTTACATGTTGAAATTGCATATTCACGATGATATGTAGTAGGAGCAATAACTAATAATAAAAACTATGATTTTTGAGAACTTACTATTTACCTAGTACTGCTTAAAATTTTTGTTTTCTGTGTAATAAGAGTAATCTATAAGATAGAATCAGAAAAAGACAAAAACCAAAAAAAAGACCCAAAACAAAATAAATCACCAACTTGTTTATTTTTACCAACTTGTTTATTTTTACCAACTTGTTTATTTTTACCAACTTGTTTAGTTTACTTTCAAATCTACTCAATGCACTTTTTCATACCTGATATTAGGTTGTAAAGACAATTTTGTGACTTTTTTCCTACTCTTAGAAAATAAGATTAAAATGTCTAGACCAGTTTACTAATCTCAACACTCAAGTTCATTTATTGAGGCTTCTTCCCTTTGCTAGTTTAAAATTCATTTAGGCTGTGAGGCCTACAGTGGGGAAGGGTGTTGTGACTGATTTTCATTTCTTCTTCTTAGATATCTTCTACTCATACTTCCTCCTTCCTAGGCAGTATCTTACATCAGGATTGGAACTGATGCAGAGGAAATGAAAATTAAGGAAAGGTCTTTATTAATTACTCAAAATAATCTGGCTCAGATATTTTCTAGGTATAGCAGGGTCTCAATGGCAATCTGTTTTGTCATTGGGAGATTATATTTTTTCCTTAGAGGGACCCTTTCTTGGTACCTCTTTTTGTAGCCTCCTTAATAGTTTCATGCTCCTTTTCTAGCTGGTTACTTCACACATGTCTCTCCCCTGATACACACACACACACACACACACACACACACACAAATGCATATAATGACCTATAACAGGCATCTTGCCTCTTGTTTCTGAGGTTACCTTATGAGAGGCATAAATTACTCACGGATGGAGTTAATTTAAAAGGACCCTAGTGTGGCTCATGGGACTCAGAGCATATGTAAGAAATCAACACTTTCATCAGTGAAAGGAAGCACAGCCTCCTTCGAGCAAAGCCACCCTTCTGCACTGTTCCAACAAGCCAACAGCTCCATCTGCAGCTCTAATGTTTTATACTTCTCATACTCAAAATGTGTTAGACGACATATCACCACCCCACAAATAACCTAGTCCTAAAAAACTCCTGTCTGTGTAACTATGGCCTTCTTACACTCTTGATGTAGGCCTTCTATGTGAGGTAGTAATGGCTGTGCTGCCCCACATAGGTGGCTTAGCTAATCAATTTGCAATGTATGGGATGTGAGCAATGTGCATTCACAAGCTGTGTGACTCAAACTGAAAATGAGGGAAACAGAGAGGATAACTTGTAGCTTTTCGTTATACATACATAAACAACAGATAAGTTTCTAATGCTTTCTAGCTTGGTGATGATGTGCTTTTTTTTTTTTTTTTTTTTTTTTAATCAACAAGGCTGTTTACTTCACCTGGGTGCAGGCGCGCTGAGTCCGAAAATAGAGTCAAAGAAGGGAGATAGGGGTGGAGCCGTTTTATAGGATTTGGGTAGGTAGTGGAAAATTTTAGCCAAAGGGGCTGTTCTCTGGTGGACAGGGGCGGGGGTCATAAGGTGGTCATTGGGGGAGCTTCTGAGCCAGGAGAAGGAATTTCACAAGGTAATGTCATCAGTTAAGGCAGGAAACAGCCATTTTCACTTATTTTGTGATTCTTCACTTACTTCAGGCCATCTGGATGTATACGTGCAGGCTTGGGCTCAGAGGCCTGACATTTCTGTCTTCTTATATTAATAAGAAAAATAAAATAAAATAGTGTTGAAGTGTTGGGGCAGCGAAAATTTTGCGGGAGTGTTATGGAGAGATAATGGGCGATATTTCTCAGGGCTGCTTCGAGCGGGGTTGGGGCGGCGTGGGAAGCTAGAGTGGGAGAGATTAAGCTGAATGAAGATTTTGTGGTAAGGGGTGATATTGTGGGGTTGTTAGAAGGAGCATTTTTTGTATTAGAATGATTGATGATGGCCTGGATAGGGTTTTGGATGAATTGAGAAACTAAACAGAAGACACAAGGTCTGAATAAGAGAAGGAGAAAAACAGGTACTAAAGGACTAAGAATTGGGAGGATCCAGGACATCCAATTAGAGTGCCCAAGGGGGATCAGCGTAATTACTTGCTTGGTTGGCAAGTTTAGGCTCTATCCTTGAGATTTTTTATGTTATCATATACCAGGCCAGATTGATTTAGGTAAAAACAACACTTACCATTTAAAAATATACACAGTCCTTTTTTTTTTTTTTATCAGTGAGTAAATTGAGCCCTCAGCAATTTTGGAGGAAAGAGAAATGCAAAGCCAGCAATTGTTTGTTAAAGGATTAGAAACTGCTAGGAGAGAGTGAGTGAGATTGATAGTGTGGAGATAGCTGGGGAGAGGTAGAGGGTGGCATAAGAACGGGAACAAGGATAAGAGTGACTATAAAAGTAAAGAATAGGACTTCATCAGGGTGAAAAGTATTGGAGTGTACCCTGTCAGCTTTCTAGGCTTGGTGATGATGTGCTTATTTAAAAATCTCAAGTTCTTCCCAAGATGCTTTAAATGGAATTTTAGTTGTATCATTTATTTTGTCTTCAAATGCAATAAGTCATTTTTTGTAAGGTCTGGGCCATTCTGTCAGAAATAAAAAGAAAACTATCAGGTACTTTGGGCAGAATTAATCTTCAAAGGAGTTTGGCAAGTTTTGAACTTGCTTTACATTTCTGTCTGCATGGAAATTGCAAGACTGTGACTCTAAACTGTAGCTTGCAGCAATATTCTCTTCCCTAAGGGGGAATCTGCATAATTTTCTCTCTTCTACTCTCCTTTTGAGAATTTTGGGCAAAAATTTATAATATTGTAGTAGCATATGGCATTATTAGTAAGGCCTTATATAAAAAGCTTTTATTATGAATATCGTGAAAATCTTTTTTATTGTCAAAAACATACCATATCCTTCCCATAAATTGGTTGAGAGTTGGATCTCTCTCTCTGGAGAGAAAAAAGAAATCTGACTCAAAATTCAACTTGTTTTTAACTCTAGTTCCTGGAAATTCTATGGAGAAAAAAAAAGGAAATTTATTTCCTAATCCTATTTCATGGGAAAACTTACCTTAAAAAATGATTTCATTTCTAGCTCTGATTTAATTAGCATCTATAAGGGCAGTAGATCAGGTAACTCACAGACCTATTGAAAGAGTCTTCAATCAATATATATTGATGTATAAGTAGTCAGTCTTGTTAAGCTCTAGATTTTTCTTTTTCCAATAATATGTGTGGCCAAACGTTATAGATGGTCCATGTGAATGTAAAGTCCACCGACTTTCTTTCCAGGCTAGGTATAAGTGGAAGTATTATTAAACTATTGCTGTTTAACACATTATCATCAAACATAGAAGCTTTGAACAATAGACATTCATTATTTCCAAGTTTCTGTGGATTAGGAATTGAGGAGAGGCTTAGCTGGGTGGTTCTGGCTCAGAGTCTATCAAAAGTTGCATTTGGGATATTGGCCAGAGCTGCTGTCATCTGAAAGCTTGAGTGAGGCTTAAAACTCTGCTGCTAAGATGTCTCACTCATGGTAGCCATTGGCAGAGGGCTTTAATTTATCTCTGGCTATTGGCAAGAGATCTCAGATCCAAGAGTTGGCAAAATGAAAACCACAATATCTTTTATGGCCCAATCATAGAAGTTGCACTCCATCATTTCTGCAATATCCTAGTGGTCACATTGGTCAGCCCAACTTAATGTGATAAGGGACCATACTAAGAGATGAAAAACATGAAAGAGGAATCATTGAGGGTCATGCTGGAGCATGAACACCATACTCTGCCCTCAGATTACCAAAGATGATTCATGTTCTCCCTTACATACAAAATTTATCTCCCCACAGTCCTTTAGACAACAAAATTCCTTCCCATTATAGCATCAGATCAAAATCTAGAATCTCCTCATATACATCAGGTCCAGGTACAGATGTCACTTTTCAAGTATACTTCTTTAAGTGCTGTTGCCAAGTATGTTTTCTTTCAATCTAGAGACCTGTGAACAAAAGTGACAAATTGTCTGATTCTTCCACCAAAACACAATGGTAAATGGAGTCATAGTCATAAAATATTTAGTGGACAAATTGTCAAAGTCATGCTAGGACATCTCCTCTAATTATAGGACAAATTATTGCATTTCATGTTTCCTATCACAGTGGCAGAACTTCAGTTCCTGGTGGGCCTCTGTGAGATCTGGAGACAGTATATTATACATCTAGGGGAAATGTTCTGGTCAAGGTAATGGGTGTTACAAAGGGCTGGCAGCTGTGCATAGAGCCCTGAGCAGGAATTTTCTCAGCAGCAGGTCCAGGCTGTGATGCAAGAAGACCTATCTCTTGGAACATTGTATCTGGAAGACCCTTCAATTATGGTGGTATCAATGGTGAAAAAAGACCCTGAAGACTATGAGGCAAAATGTATGGGGAAGTCCTAATGTAGAGCCCTGGGGTGATAAATCAAGGCTATCATAGCCACTGCAGATAATTCAATGTCTTTTGAGAAAAACAAAATACTCCTATCATACTACTTGCTCCTAATAGAGACATCATGCCTAATGATGGAACACCACACATCCAAAACTCTCCATTATGAAAGGAGCCTTATGGGACCCACAAAGTCACGAGACACACTCAACATTGTAAGTTACCTCTGGGCTCTAACGTAATAAGAGCCAGAGGGTAAAAACAAAGTGCTTGAGCAGTGTGCAACCTTAAGATATCCCCAGGGATCCTGCCTCTTGTATTCCCACTCTTGTATAATCCCATCCTGCATTGTTTTAGGCTGGGCATATGTGACCAGTAAAATCTGGCAGAAGTAATGGAATACCACTTTCAAGATAGGGTTATAAAAGACACTGCGGCATTTGTTTCTGTTACATTCTTTCATTCTCCTTCTCTCTCATCACTGTCTCTGGGGAAGTTAGGTGCTATGTTGAGATCAATCCTATAGATAAGCTTACATGGTGAGTAACTGAAGCTTCCTGCCAACAGCTGGGTGAGTGAGATTGCAGTGGATCTTTCATCCCTAATCAAGTCTCCAGAAACTATAGCCCCAGATGACAGCTTTATTGCAACCTCATGTGTGACCCTGAGTCAGAACTAACCAGCTAATCTACTTCCTGATTCATGACTCTCAGAAACTGTGTAAGAAAATAAATGTTTTCTTTTGTTCGTTTTATGCTGCTATTTTTGAGATAATTTGTTATGTTGCAATGTATTGCTTTGTCTGGGACTGTCCCAGTTGTATCACTAATTGTTCTATGTCTCAGGAAGTGCACCAGATCAAAACACACCAGAACAACTGGTCATGTATAAGTCATACAAGTAGAAACCCAAAACCTTATGTACTCACCAGTCTTGCCCCAGTAATCTTTCCTCATGTTGTGCCTATGGCTGTATGGGGCCCCATACAACCAGCTGGGAAAAAAAAAATCCTAAAGTTTGTTTATGTTTGGTTCAATTTAGTATGTAGATACAAGCCAAAAATGGATGTCAGCTTCACAATGGCCTCATTTAGGTATAGCTTTGAAAGCCAATAACAAGGGAACATTTATTCCCTCAATGAAAAGAGGCTTGAAAGGTGTGTCACTTGATCTTTGCATTGTTTAGAAGAATAACTGACCCTGGATTAATATGTATACAAACTCATGGATTGTGATAAAGATCTAGCAAGCAAGCCTATCAAAGATCTGAAAGTATAAAGAATGGAAGTATAAAGCAAGCCTTTCAAAGACCTGAAAGTATAAATATCTTTCTACTAGAAAGATCTAGGAAAATAAGGGGTGCCAACAATGATCTTAAAGGAGCTGCTGCCCAATTGTAAATGGAGAAATTGATCTATGTGGTCCATTAGATTAAACAGTGGTACATGCAGTGATGTGGCAAGTATATCTCCATTTGTGGAAGGTCTTTATGCCCAGCTGCAGGCTGTGTGCTCATCACAGAGCCTCCTCTTGTCAATTTCTTCAGTGCATCTTCAGGTGTAAAGAACCACCTTGGCTGGAGTGATGCTTGTCCTTAGAGAGCCTGCCTCTAGTGATTGAGTGATACAGCACTGTAACAGGCAAGCTATTTCTGCATAGTTCAAGACACTCTGATAGGCAGTTCTTTCTCCAATCTCCTTTTTTTTTTTTTTTTTTTTTTGAGAGGGAGTCTTGCTCTTGTCGCCCAGGCTGGAGTGCAATAGCATGATCTCAACTCACTGCGACCTCCGCCTCCCAGGTTGAAGCGATTCTCCTGCCTCAGCCTCCTGAGTTGGTGAGATTACAGGTGTCCACCACCACGCCCAGCTACTTTTAATATTTTTAGTACAGCCGGGGTTTCACCATGTTGGCCAGGCTGGTCTGGAACTCCTGATCTGGTGACTCACCCACCTAGGCCTCCAAACCAATCTCCTTTCTAAATTGTTTGGAGACAGGCATTTTCAGGCCTCTATCATAGTTTGACAGTCTCTTTTGTGCAGTCCTGCTTCTTCCCCCTTCCTCCGCAGATGTGGATTCCTAATCAACAGCTGACACCCCAAATACCTTCTCAGTGTCTGTTTTCAGAGCACCCATGCTGTGACAGTGATCTTCCCAGGAGCAGTTCAGGCAAAATACCTCATAAATTTGAGAATTAGGTAAATAGTATGCAGGGAGTTTCATGTTAGAGGGGAAGTGAGCCTCTCTGTTCAAGTTGTGGTGATTCTAGTTTATGTATCTCCATCTTCAGTAGCCGATGTTAAGCAATCTAAATAAACTTGAGCAGGTTATCACTTCCTGGATAAGTATTCCTGAGTCTTAAGAAGGAAATGCTTGTAGCTGAAAATTATTCCTTTTGTCACCCAGAATTTCTTCCCCTATCTCTGGTAACTGAACTGAAATGTCCCTACTTATGCACGTGGCAGCCTCTTCACTTCTTCAAGTATTTATTTGAGTGTCACCTTCTCAGTAAGGGCTTTTCTTGCCACCCTATTTAACCTTGCAACCCTTTCCCTCCACCAATCTTTATCCCAAGTCCTTGTACTTTTTTTCCCCATAATCCTCATCACCTATCAACATAGTTTACTTGCTTATCTAATTTACTCACTTTTTAAATAGAATGTATGTTCTATAAATGCAGACACTTGTTATCACTTTTATTTTTCAGAGTTATCTTTCCCACACAAAACTTGTTTGGAACATAGAGGGCACTTAATAAATGTATCACATAAATAAATAAATTCTTCTGGGGACTTGCCCATTACTGCCCTGCCAGTTTATATGTTTGGGATGTGGTTACCCAGATCAAAGGACTTAAGTTCGGTCAAACAGAGCTAGCAATTCCTTGACTGTAGTTACTGTTCATTAAAAGGATATGTGTCTAATTCAAGCCAAAAACATTTAGTTTTCCAGCACTTTTTTTTTTTCTTATTATACTTTAAGTTCTAGGGTACATGTGCAGAACAAGCAGTTTTGTTACGTAGGTTCACATGTGCCATGATGGTTTACTGCACCCATCAACCCATCACCTACATTAGGTATTTCTCCTAATGTTATCCCTCCCCTAGCTCCCCACCCTGCAACAGGCCCCAATGTGTGATGTTCCCCTCCCTGTGTCCATGTGTTCTCATTGGTCACCTCCCACTTATAAGTGAGAACATGCGGTGTTTGTTTTTTTGCTCTTGTGATAGTTTGCTGAGAATGATGGTTTCCAGCTCATCCATGTCCCTGAAAATGACATGAACTCATCCTTTATATGGCTGTGTAGCATTCCATGTTGTAAGGAAGGGATCCAGTTTAAATTTTCTGCATATGGCTAGCCAGTTTTTCCAGCACCATTTATTAATTAGGGAGTCCTTTCGCCATTGCTTGTTTTTGTCATGTTTGCCAAAATCAGATGGTTGTGAATGTGATGTCTTATTTCTCAGATTTCTATTCTGTTCCATTGTCTGCTTTTGTACCAGTACCATGCTGTTTTTGTTACTGTATCCGTATAGTATAGTTTGAAGTTGGGTAGTGTGATGCCTCCAGCTTTGTTCTTTTTGCTTAGGATTGCCTTGGCTATTTGGGCTCTTTTTTGGTTCCATGTTAATTTTAAAGTAGTTTTTTTTTTTTTCTAATTCTGTGAAGAAAGTAAGGGGTAGATTTTCTCGTTTTTTTTTTTTTTTTTGAGACTGAGTCTCACTCTGTTGCCCAGGCTGGAGTGCAGTGGTGAGATCTCAGCTCACTGCAAGCTCCACCTCCTGATTTCACACCATTCTCCTGCCTCAGCCTGCCCAGTAGCTGGGACTACAGGTGCCTGCCACCACGCCCGGCTAACTTTTTTTGTATTTTTAGTAGAGACGGGGTTTCACTGTGTTAGCCAGGATGGTCTCTATCTCCCGAACTCATGATCCATCCACCTTGGCCTCCCAAAGTACTGGGATTACAGGTGTAAGTCACCCCACCCGGCCTGTAAATGGTAGTTTAATGAAAGTAGCATTGAATCTCTAAATTACTTAGACAGTATGGCCATTTTCACAATATTGATTCTTCCTATCCATGAGCATGGAATGTTTTTCCATTTGTTTGTGTCCTCTCTGATTTCCTTGAACAGTGTAGCACATTTTCTTTACCCTATCTGAGAAGACTAATTTCTAAGCTTATCTTCCCATACTAAGTTCTGCTGGTGAGCTATGCAGATGTATCCCTAGACATGTTGTTCATACTGAATTTATTTTTCCATACAGGGTACATATTTTAGAAAATATTTTTGTTCTTAGTTTGGAAAATAATACAACACTAATAATTCATTAATAATGGTAAAATCATATGTGACTTTTCAGTTTCATTTTGTGAGATTCTGATTATTATCTTACCAAGTATTCCTGAGGTTTGTTTATCCCACAGCATATGGCTACTTTTTGACCACATCATAGAAAAAAATATAATTTTTCTAAATGTAACAACCATTGATTTCTTTTGTCTGAGTAAACCATAGACACTTTTAATGATTATAAAGAAATATTTTTAATTTTATATACTTTAGAAAGTAACAAATGGTATAATTAGATAAATAATAATCATAATCTCATCTCCTAAATATAAACACCATTAGTTTTTCTTTCTCCAAATATTTTTATATGTGTGCCTATGTTAAATAGATAATTAGAATAATATATAGTGGTACGTTAATAAGACATTGTAACCTAAATGTTTCCAAATTTCCCCATTTCAGGTTTTTTTTCTTTCCTTTAATTATCCAATTAGATAGCTAGAACCTCTATACTAGGTTCTATAAACAATCTAGCAGAGTAACCTCCTCTTGATTTGGAGTAATTCCTATGAGATAATTTTTCCTTGATATTTCTTTCTGACTAAAAGATTTAAAATAGTGGATTTTCTAAAAGGTTTCATAATTCTTCTTCACCATGTATTATTTTCCATTACAGCTCTTGCATTTCTTCATTTTGTCATCGAGCCTCTCAATCATTCAGTCACAATTTTGGTTATGTCACTTATTACTCATTCATTTTTACTGATCAATTTGACAAGTCATTATAACAAGTTTACTAGCCACTATGTAACACATTTGAGATACAGAGATAAGACAGAGGTAAAGAAGTTTCCTTTAATAATGAAGCTAAAATCTACCTCTCTTTAAAAAAGGGTGTAGATGAAAGCTTGCCATAATCAGTCCGCTGGCCTTCTTAAACAAATTTGGATATTGTGCAATGTAGCATGGCGGTAATGTGAGTGTGGAAACTTAATTACTCCGATATCTTGCCTATGAAAGTAATTATCTCAATTCATTTTAATTCATCACTTTATCCGAAACAGTTGAGTCTACCACTTCAAGGCAACAATTTCAAATGTACTAAATAATGTTTATGAGAAAAATAAAACACTTGATATGTTAACTATTGATCCAGACATCTGCATGTGTTTGGGAAATGATTTGTCATATAATTTAATTTTCTTTCTAAATAAACATTAAATCAGTGGGCTTGCCATTTGTTGGGTACACCTGCTTGTTTCTTTCGGGTGATCGTCATCTGTTCAATGGAGTTTTTATAATCAACATCTTAATTAAATACCTATTTCTTTTCAGTCTACATCTAAATTTATTGATCTATCAAGCTGTTAGCATCAAAAATCAGACAGTGAGCAGATACATTAAGGATAATGACAGAAATAATCACTTATATAGTATTTTTTCCCACTAAGGCTTTAAAATCACACACACACACGCAGACACACACACACACACACACACACACACACTTTGATTTATATGATAGCCACTATAAAATTAGTGGATTTATCTGTGTGCAGTGTAATGCACTGGTAATCCCAGCTATTTGGAAGGCTGGAGTGGGAGGATTACTTGAGTCCAGGATTTTGAGGCCAGCCTGGACAGCATAGTGAGACCATACCTCTTTAAAAATAAAATAAAATAGCCAAATTTAAAACTCTGAAAGGAAGTTTTCCTTCTCACCCCTTTGAACATAAATTTTATATCACACTTATCTCAAATATGATTTCCTATCTGTGAATAATGTGATAAAGCCAGATTGCTGCTCTCAAATTTAGATAACCAGTCATTTATTCACTGGGAATCTATGTCTATTCTGCCCTTCATTCATTGCCTTGCTTACTTTTAAAGGTTCATATGAGGAGAACATTTGAATATTGTATTTGTAACAATTGAAATACAACCAGATGTGCAAGGATAGTGATAACAATAGGCATAAAAAATTTCATGGAATGTTCAGAGGGTCATTTGCCCCCAACTAGATTTTATGCTCTGAAGAACACATAAGATGAAAAATTTACTAAACAAAGTGAAGGGTCTGAAAACAAATAATAGTGAATATGTATAGGAAATGCTATTTACTAGTTTTTTTTAAGGCTTATCTAAGCCATGTAATTCTGTCCCAGAAATATACCTAGGTTGGTCATAACTACATCTAAAGTGAGTGACTTTAATGAATATTTTAAATGGTAATTATTACTTATAGTTTATATTGGGTATTGCTTTAAAACTCAAATTAGATTGAATGTCAACTTGACATTTTATTTGACCCTGCAATTCTTGTGAAATACTGTAAAGGGAATTTATGGTTGTTATAAATAAATTTATTTTAAAAAATCACTTTTACTGACTGTTTAACATAATAAGATAGATAAATACCTGGTAAATTTGATATTCATCATTAAAATATCCATGCATGTGCAGATAAAAATATGAATAACTGCTGACTAATACCTCCTAAAGATGAAGATAGAAAATCATGTCCTGAAAATACTTATTTATTCATTTATCCTGTAATGTGAGATACACTTATTCAAAATATGGACTGTGTCAGGCATTGTCCTAAGTAATGGGAGAAAAATGGTATAGAAAAGCAAATGGGCTTCACAGTACATAATTTTATAGGTTACACTGGGGAGAAAATTATCAATCATACAATCCTACTTACGAATATTTAAATATTCACCGAAGTAAGTGCTCCGTAGGAAAGATGTATGAGTCACTGAAACCTTTTAGAAGAAACTTACCCAGATCTTTGATTTTAGAAAAGGCTTCTTTAAAATATGTGATAGTTAAGTTGATACACTATAGATGTGTAAGAGTTAAGTACCAAATACATAGCCCCTGTGGTGAAGGACAGACTATTTGAAGAAATGACAAAGAACCAGGGTGACAGGAACACACAGAAAAATGGAGAAAGTGATACAAGATTAGCTAAGAGAGTTAAAGCAGAGTCCAGAAAATGCAATTAAGTAGGCTAGAAGTAATAGGCAGCCAATGAAAAATGTCAAAAAGAATGATAGTAGAGATGGGACATAATTTGAACTAATTTTTCTGTTTTTTTAAAGTAATTTTATTGTGATATAATTTACATATATAGTATACAGTACAATGTGCCCTTTATAAAGTATGCAGATCTATCAATTTTGACCAGTGCATACAATCAGATAAAAAGTTGTCGGGCCAGTCGTGGTGGCTCATGCCCATAATCCCAGCACTTTGGGAGGCCGAGGTGGGCAGATCATGAGGTCAGGAGATTGAGACCATCCTAGCCAACACGGTGAAACCCTGTCTCTACTAATAATACTAAAAAATTAGCCAGGCATTTTGGCACGCACCTGTAGTCCCAGCTACTCGGGAGGCTGAGGCAGGAGAATGGCATGAACCCAGGAGATGGAGCTTGCAGTGAGCCAAGATCGCGCCACTGTACTCCAGCCTGGGCAACAGAGCAAGACTCTGTCTCAAAAAAAAAAAAAAAGTTGTCTGGTATACTTGATCTAAGTCCCAGTATCTTCTCTAATTTAGGGACTTCTCTTCTGAAAACTGGCTCACATCTGAAAACTGGGCAAGGGATGTCAACTTTTTGTTTGAGACAATTTTCCTCAGTCTTCTGATCATCAATTGTTGATATTTTTTCTGGTAGTAAAAGCTAAGAAATACCCTTTCTGACTGGCCTTTGTGATATCAGTTTATATTAACCATCTCTGTGGGTCTTTTTCCCTTGGATACCATTCTGACCCTATGACTCATGAATATTGTGTTCATTTGGCTCTTGGCAGTTAAGTATCACCACTATTCTTTATTGTTTTAAGGTTCTTTTATTTCTATTGTTATCAGTAAGCTTAAATTATTATGGCCTCTCCTATCTTTGGCTCTGACTTACCAGGACGACCACTGACTACTAACGGTTTTAGTAATGTTGGTGTTTCTCTTACCAGCACATGCTTTATAGCTTTGTTGAATATAGCTTAACCTCTAAGTCTTCCTGTGGAACATAATCTACTATTGGATCTCCTGGCCATACATTATATATCTATTCCTAGATGCCCACTTTCTTGGGACTTTTAATTTCTTCCTTCATTGTCTGCCACAGAAATTCTACCATTTCACCTTTAATCAGTAAGGGCCAGCACTCTTTTCAAGTTTTAGGAGCCAGCCGGGTGCAGTGGATCATGCCTGTAATCCCAGCACTTTGGGAGGCCAAGGCGGGCGAATCACTTGAGGTCAGCAGTTCAAGACCAGCCATGGCCAACACGGTGAAACCTCGTCTCTACTAAAAAATACAAAAATTAGCCAGGCATGGTGGCTTGTGCTTATAATCCCAGCTACTCAGGAGGCTGAGGCAGGAGAATGGCTTGAACCTGGGAGGCGGAGGTTGCAGTGAGCCGAGATTGTGCCACTGTACTCCAGCCTAGGTGATAGAGCAAGACTCTGTCTCAAAAAAAAAAAAAAAAAAAAAAGAGCCTTCCTAGTAGCCAGTTGTGTCATTTCCTGAGGTCCTTACCAGGTGCTAATATTGCATCTCAGTTGGGTGCTCTCAAATCAATAAACCCTTCTTCATCCAAATGTAGGTTTTGTCCTTTCACCTCCCAATTTTTTTTTTGAAATCTATTTAAGTGTTAGTCCATTTATGTTGCTATAAAGAAATACTTGATGTTGGGTAAATTATAAAGAAAATAGACATATTTTGGCTCAAAGTTCTGCAGGCTGCACTGAAAGCATGGTGTTGGCATCTGCTCCTGGGTAGGGCCCCAGGAAGCTTCCATTCCTGGCGAAGGCAAAGAGTGATGAGGCATATTACATGGAGAAGGGGGCAGCAAGAGAGAGAGCAGACTCTTTTAAGCAACCAGATTTACATGAACTAATAGCAAGAATCACTCATCACCATGGGGATGGCGCTAAGCTATTCATGAGGGATCTCCCCCTTTGATCCAACACCTCCCGCTAGGTCCCACCTTCAACATTGGGGATCACATTTCAGCATAAGATTTGGAAGGAGGGAACAAACAACCAAACTATATCAATTCATGCATGTACTTTTCCAGTCCCCTAAAATATATTTTGGCCAAGTCCTCAGCTCTTTTGAGGTATAATCCTTTTCTTCTCTTATCGGGATCAGCAGTTGGCAGAATGCTGTCTGGGTTATGCTGGAAGTTTGCCATAGTTATGGCTTAGTGGCTGGGAGAGGAATCATGAGCATATTCCAAAAATGACAGACATTGCCTGCAGATGAGAGGCTTATGCAGTGTCCCAAAGCAAATTGGGAGTACTTAATCTAAGTGGAAGGAGTGAGACAAAACTCCTTAGGTCAGAGCTAAGAGCAAATTGAAAATATGAAGAATGACGATAATCAACTGAAATTTGACAATATCCAGAGGAATTTACCTGATATCCCATTTCAACTGTCAAGGTCCTATTTTTTCTAAAGCTGACACTGATGCAAAGAGAAAGACCAATTTGATTACCTATCGAACCATCTGTGGCATTCTAACACTTGATCAAGTCCTGGATCTAGTCATTAGATCTGTATGTTCTTCTGTTATAGAAGGTGAAAGTCTCTTTCTAACCTATCGGGCAGGCCCTATTGATATTAGAGGGTGGCAGGGAAGTGCTGGGAAGGGAAAGGCGAGGTCCCTGGCTAGGGCTCCACCCCCAGGCCTGTGCCCACAGACCTAGGTGAAGACAGGCACTCCTGCCCTTCAAGCCAAAATGTTGCATTTTCCAAGACCACCCTGGCCTGCCACACCCCCATCCTGTGCCTATAAAAACTCCATGACCCCAGCAGGCAGAGAAGCAAGCAGCTGGATGTCGAGAGGAGTGGACCGGCAGAAGAAGATACAAGTGGCTGGACATCGAGGGGACGTCGAGAGCACACTGGCAGGCCATTGACCAGAAGAGCCATGCGGCATTTGGCTGGGGCGGCTGCAAGTCCTGACTCCAGGGGAAAACCATTTCCCTTCTGGCTCCCCCATCTGCTGAGAGCTACTTCCACTCAATAAAACCTTGCACTCATTTCCAATCCCACGTTTTAATTGATTCTTCTGGTACGCCAAGTTCCATAACCCCAGGATACAGAAAGTCCTCTGTCCTTGTGATAAGGCAGGAGTCTATTTGAGCTAACTAACACAAGCTGGCTGTGGATGGCTAAACTAAAGGAGCACCCTGTAACATATACCCACTCGGGCATCAGGAGCTGTAAATATTCACCCTTAGACACTGCCATGGAGTTGGAGCCCCACAGCCTGCCAGTCTGTATGCTCCCCTAGAGGTTTGAGCAGTGTGGCACTGAAGAAGCGAGCCACACCCCCATCACATGCCCTACAAGGGAGACAAGGGAAATTTTCTCATTTCCCTGTGGTTTTTACACCTGGCTTTCAGTAATCTGTTAATTGCCTAGAGCTTTCCATATTTTTTTTTCCAGAGTGTAATGCTTAGCAATATCCCTCCAATATCATTTTCTTTATAATTTTGTTACTCCCCCTGTACTTTTCAAACATCCAACATATCAAGATAGCTGGTACATTCTCTACTACGCATATATCATCCTAATTCATACCACTGGGATTTAAACAATTGGATTTACCTTATTGTGCCAAGGGCTTTCTGAATTCCCTCTATTACAACAGATATAATCCTCATTGCCATATTATTTGTGAGTGATCCAGCTCTAAAATGCCATTTTGTAATCCTCTTTCTCTGATCTCTCTCAGTGTCACTCATCCCAGTCTAGTTTCTAAAGAAGGATATATTGAGGTGTATGTGTGTGTGTAGGTGTGTGTGTGTGTGTGTGTGCACAGTATTTACTAGGAATTCACACAGGTGGAATAGAGGGGGAGAAATAGGATTAGAAATGGTGAAAGATCAATTTGCCATGTAGACACAGAAAAGACACAGGGCAAATCCAAAAACAAGTCAGCATTAAATAGGCTTCATCAGAGTTGTCCCATTTTGGGACAAAATGGATGGGCCATTATATCTGCATCAATCATTATTATAGTCTGTCCTAGTACAGGTGTTCCCTTCTGTGGAGAAGTTCTACTGAGGCAGTCCAAGGGATCACCTGCACTGGAGTAGCCTTTTGCAACTAAGTCAAGCCAGAAAGTACTGATAATAGGCAGCAAGTCATTAGAAGAGAATCTGGTAGCTGCATTTTGTGTTCATTACACAGTTCATTATACTTTTGCAAGTATAAATTATTGATTTAGTAACCTGGACGTAACATACATAGAAAATAACTAAATCAATGCACAAAAATAGACAAGAAAGGAAAGCAAAATAAGTGCATGAGAAGAAATCAAAGCATATTTAAAATGTAATTGGAGTAACAGGACTAGAAGAGATTAGAATGAAAGCAATATTTGAAGTTATAATGTCTGAGACTTTTTACAACACACAAACAAAAAACACAAAATGACTGAGGATGCTCAGCAAACCCTGCATGAAATAAATTCAAAGAAAGCCACATTGAGTTATATTCTGGTGCTGGATATAAACTACTGAAGATTAAGACCAAAGTGAAATGTTAAAAGTAACCAGAGGATAAAGACAATGTATTCTAGGATCAAACACAAGAGGAAGAGCTAATTTTACATCAAAAACAATGACAGCTGGAAAACATGAAATGCATTATTAAATCACTAAAATAATGTAATTGCCAATGTAGAATTGTATACTTAGTAAAAATATCCTTTTACAAAGATGAAACAAAAAACATTTTCAAATAAGCGAAAAATTGAGGGTATTTATTGTCAATAAGACTGGCAGTATAAGGAAAAGTTACCTCTAGATGGATTTCAAATCTAAATATGAATAGGAAAGAAGGAAAACTTTTAGAAGAAAATGTTTAAGAACAAATTATTGACTTGGAGAAGACAAGGATTTATATTTAAAAATGATAATTTAGACTATAGAGTAGGATCTTAACATTTATCAAAACACCAACAAAAGGAGAGTTAAAAGACAAGTCACAAAGTGGAAGATGATGATGATGATGTGTGTGTGTGTATGACATACACCTGCTGAACAAAACATATACATAAAATATTTATAAAATAACCATGTTATCAATAGCAAAGAGACTGAAAAATTGACTGAAAAAATATGGAAGTATATTCCATGTTCATGGATTGAAAGAATTAACATTGTTATAGTGTCCATACTTCCAAAAGAGTTCTATAGAATCACTGTAATCCCTATCAAGAATACACAGGACATTCTTCTCAGAAGTTAAAAAAAAAGAAAGAAAAAAAGAAGTTCTAAAATTTGTATGGAACCAAAAGAGACCTCGAATAACCAAAGCAATTCTGAACAAAAGAACAAAGCTGGAAGCATCACATGGTATGCTTTTAAAATATTCTAAAAAGTGATATTAACCCAAACAGCATGATACTAACATAAAAACAGACATATAGAACACGGACCAGGTTAGATAACCCAGAAATAAATCCAGGCACTTTCAGCCAGCTCATTTTGACCAAGGTTCCAAGAACAGGCATTGAAGAGAACATGACAATTTCTTCAGTAAATGCTACTGGGAAAATGGGATACCCTTAATGCAGAAGAGTGATACTAAGCCCCTATCTCTCAACATGCATAAAAATCAAATCAAACTTGATTAAATGTTTTAATGAAGCCCTCAAACTACAAAACTACTAGAGAAAAACACTGGGGAAAGACTCAGGATACTGGTCTGAGCAAAGATTTTTTTGAGTGAGATTTCAAATATCAAAGAAAACAAAAATTCCCAAATGGAACTACATTAAGTTAAAAACCTTCTGCATAGCAAAACAAATCAACAAAGTGAAGATATAACCCACAGAATGGAAAAAAATAATTTGCGAGCTATCCATTTGAGAAGGGATTAATAACCAGAATATATAAGAAACTCAAACAATTCAACAAAAATACCCCAAATAATCTTTCAAAAATGGACGAAATATCTGAATAGACATTTCTCAAAACAAGGTATACAGATGGCCAAAAGGTATATGAAAAAATGTTCAACATTATTAGTCATCAGGGAAATGCAAATCAAAACCACAGTGAGATATCATCTCACCTGGGTTAGAGTGGCTGTTATCAAAAAGACAGACAATATCAGATACTGGCAAGGTTGCAGAGAAAGAGGAACCCTCCTACACTGTTGATGGAAATGTAAATTGGTATAGCAACAGGAAATACTGTTCCTGAAAATACTAAAAATAGATCAACCATATATATGATCTAGCAATCCCTTTTCTTGGAATGTATCCAAAAGAAAGGAAATCAGAATATTGAAGAGATGGCTGCATTCCCATGTTTATTGCAGCACTATTCACAGTAACCAAGATATGAAATCAACCTGAGCATCCATCGATGGATAAATGGATAAAGAAAATATGGTACAGGTACACAATGGAATACTATTCAGCCATAAAAGGAATAAAAGGCTGTCATATGCAGCAACATGTGTGGAACTTATGTGTGGACATTATGTTAAGTGAAGTAAGCAAGGCACAGAAAGATAAGTATCACACATTCTCACTCTTATGTGGGAACTAAGAAACAAAATGATCATGGGAGGTAGAGAGTAGAATGATAGTAACAATTTATTAGGGAAGGATGAGGGGCTAGTTAGAGAAGTTAGTTAATGGATAAATATATATAGTTAGATAAAAGGAACAAGTTCCAGTATTTTATCATACGTTAGGATGACTGTAGTTAACAATAATTTATTGTATATGTCAAAATAGATAGGAAGATTTGTAATGTTTTCAGCACAAAGAAATGATTAACGTTTGTGGTGACAGATTTCCCAATTACTGTGATTTGATCATTACATATTGTATGCATGTACCAAAAATGGATGTACTCCATAAATATGTATAACTATTATGTATCAATTAAAAAGCAGAAAAAAATGAAAAACCCAATTGAAAAAAGAAAAAGCAAAAATCTAAATCAGGTACTACATATACAAGGATATACAATGCACAATAAACATATGAATAGGTGCTCAGTTTTACTGGGTACAGGGAAAATGTAAATTAAAAACCAATGTAATATGAAGTGTTGGCAAAATGTAGAGCAGTTGCAACTATCACCCACTACTGATGGACATTTAAGCCATTATTACTTCTTTGGATTCTTTTCTTTCAGCATCTGTCGAAGCCAAGCATATGTGTACCCTATCAACTTGGAATTTTACTCCAAAGATTATATTAATAAAAAAGTATATGTACACTCTCTAACTTCATGTACATGAATTTTTATAACACTGCTCCTTATAATAGTAAAAAATTAGATATTCCCCAAATAACCATCCAAATTAGAGTGGATAAATGGTGCATTTACACAATGTAATACTACACAGGAATTAGAATAAACAAACTAATGTTATATGCAACAAAATATTGACCATAACAACGAGAGTATTAAACAAAATTAGCCAGCCACAAAAAAGTACATATTCTGTGATTCCATTCCTATAAATTTCATATATTGGTATAAGAATATTATGATAGTTATTATCTATGGTGAAGTATCAATGATATCTGAAAAAGGCCTTCTTTTTTGCTAAAATGTTCTTTATTTGGGTTGTAGTTATGTAGCATGCTCTATTTGTAGAATTTCATTAAACTGACATTTATGCTTTTTTCACTTTTTGTGGTATATTTCAATAAAGATTAAAAAAGAAAAGAGAATTTAGGATGACTAACTGTGAATGTGTGAAAAAAATGTTTTTTGGGGTTCTAGAACTAGAAAATAAAAGAGACATTGAAAACATATATACACCCTCACATAAAAGAAAAAAGAAAAATGTAAAATATTATATGTGAATTATACACTATAAGTTGTTCTTAACTTATTTTGGTTTAGATGTTCAAATTGAAATTTTCATGTTCTGTAACATAAATGAACTTAAAAAAGAATATAATTATTTTAACTTGTCAGTTAAACAGGAACATGTGGAGATCAGAGTAAGAGAAATTATGTGAGGTGGCTAATCATGGTTATTTAATCCAAAATTCATATTTCAATAAAAAGAACTTTTGCTGGAATTTCTTTTTTGTTACAATTATCCTACTCTGAACAGTTTGGTAGAAAGACATAACAAAAGTTCAATACATAGCGTGTATAAAACATCCCATTATGATCACTGATTTCAGGACTTCATGAAGTTTGCATCTTTAAAATGTGCCTTGGACCACATTTTCTTTATCCAGTCTGTCATAGATGGGAATGTAGGTTGATTCCATGTCTTTAACTATTGTGAATAGTGCTGCAAAGAACATACACGTGCATGCGTCTTTATAATAGAAAGATTTTTAATCCTTTGGGTATATACCCAGTAATGGAATCACTGGGTCAAATGGTGTTTCTTTCTTTTAGGTTTTGAGGAATTGCCACACTGTCTTCCACAATGGATGAACTAATTTACTCTCCTACCAACAGTGTATAAGCATTCCTTTTATTCTGGAAATTTACCAGCATCTGTTATTTTTTGACTTTTTAGTAATAGGCATTCTGGCTGGTGTGAGATGGTATCTGATTGTGGCTTTGATTTGCATTTGCATATGTAAAGCTTTTTCACATACAATTGTTAGCATATGTATGTCTTCTTTTGAAAAGTGTCTGTTTATATCCCTTGCTTACTTTTTAATGGGATTGTTTGTTTTTTTCTGTAAATTTGCTGAAGATTCTTATAGATGTTGGATATTAGATCTTTGTCAGATCATAGTTTGCAAAAATTTTCTCCCATCCTGTAGGTTGTCTAGTCTATTGATAGTTTGTTTTGCTGTGCAGAAGCTCTTTAGTTTAATTAGAGCCTGTTTGTCGATTGTTGTTTTGTTGCAATTGCTTTTGGCGTCTTCATCAAGAAATCTTTGCCTGTCCCTATATCCTGAATGGTATTGCCTAGGTTGTCTTCCAGGGTTTTAATAGTTTTGGGTTTTATATTTGAGTCTTTAATTCATCTTGAGTTGATTTTTGTATAAGGTGTAAGGAAGGGGTCCAGTTTCAATTTTCTGCATATGGCTAGCCAGTTATCCCAGCACCATTTATTGAATAGGGAATCCTTTCCCCACTACTTGTTTGTGTCAGCTTTGTCAAAGATCAGATAGTTGTAGATGTGCAGCCTTATTTCTGTGTTCTCTATTCTGTTCCATTGGTCTATGTTTCTGTTATTGTTCTGGTACCAAGCTGTTTTGGTTACTGTAGCCCTGTAGTATTGTTTGAAGTCAGGTAGCATGAAGCCTTCAGCTTTGTCCTTTTAGCTTAGGATTGCCTTGGCTATCTGGGCCCTTTTTTGGTTCCATATAAGTTTTCAAATAGCTTTTTCTAGTTCTGTGAGGAATCTCAATGGTAGTTTAATAGGAATGGCATTGAATCTGTGAGATGTTATTTGGACATTATTACTATTTTTACATTATTGATTCTTCCTATTCATGAGCATGGATTATTTTTCCATTTGTTTGTGTCATCTCTAATTTCTTTGAGCAGAGTTTTGTAGTTTCCTTGTAGACATCTTTCACCTCCCTAGGTAGCTTATTCCTAGGTATTTTATTATTTTTGTGGGAGTTGTGAATGGGATTGTGTTCCTGATTTGCCTTTCAGCTTGACTGTTGTTGGTGTATTGGAATGTTAGTGATTTTTGCACATTTATTTTGTATCCTGAGACTTTGCTGAAGTTTTTAATCAGCTTAAGAAGATTTTGGGCTGGGACTCTGGGGTTTTCTAGATATAGGATCACGTCATCTGCAAACAGGGTTAGTTTGACTTCCTATTTGGATTCCCTTTATTTCTTTCTCTTGCCTGATTGCCCTGACCAGGACTTCTAATGTTATGTGGATTAGGAGTAGTGAGAGAGGACATCTTTGTTTTGTACCAGTTTTCACCATGGAATACTCTGCAGCCATAAAAAGAACAAGATCATGTCCTTTGCAGGAACATGGATACAGCTGGAGGCTGTTATCCTTAGCAGACTAACTCAGGGACAGAAAACCGTATAGTGTATATTCTCACTTATAAGTAGAAGCTAAATGTTGAGAATACATGGGCACATACAGGGAACAACACACACTGGGGCCTATTGGGGGATGGAGGTTGGGAGGAGGGAAAGGAGAAGGAAAAATACTAGGCTCAATACCTGGATGATAAAATAATCTGTACAACAAACGACACAAGTTTACTTATGTAACAAACAAACCTGCTCAGGTATCCCTAAAATTAAAATAAAATTTAAAAAAATAGAAATCATCTGCAAAAAAATAATAACATAAAATGTGCTCTGGAATTTTTTTTTTTTTTTTTAGAAGGAGTCTCTCTCTGTCACCCAGGCTGGAGTGCAGTGGTGTGATCTCAGCTCACTGCAACTTCTGCCACCCGGGTTCAAGCAATTCTGCTGCCTCAGCCTCCTTAGTAGCTGGCACTACAGGTGCGCACCACCACATACAGTTATTTTTCTATTCTTATTGGAGACGGAGTCTCCACATGTTGAGCAGGCTGGTCTCAAGATCCTGACCTCAAATGATCTGCCTGCTATGGCCTTTCAAAGTGCTGGGATTACAGGCATCAGCCACCATGCCGGCTCATGCCCTGGACTTTCTATCAGCCCAAACTGTTTGCCTGAGAGGCCAAGACCATCCCTCATCATTTATATTTCTGCTAGGCTGCTTTTTATCTGAAGTTATGCTTTATTGTCTCCAGTTATACGTTATCATTCTAAAAGTATTTCATCTTCTTTCTATCACAGTCATTGCCTCACCTTTATTTTGCTATGCTCAAACTGTTCTGTGATGTTATTATATTTTTCTTTCTAAATACTTGTGTAGATCACATAAACTACATTGAATATTGATGGTGCATACATGTCCCCACACCACCCACTTCACACACACCTAAAACTCTTGTAAAAAGAAAATGAAATAACTGTATATCTTAGTATCAGTTTTAACCCTTTGAAGTTAACAGCCAGAATGCCAGGATTTGCATTCCAACTCATTCTTGCTAACTGTGTGACATTAGGCAAATTAAATAACTGATCTGTGCCTCATATTCATTATTTCAAAAAGAAAAATTATACTTTTAACGTTAGGTTATTGTGGGGACTACCACATTTAATCTGCATAGAGTTAGACCCTGAAATAGGATCTATCACATCCAAAGCATCATAATGGTATTTTATTTTATTATTAATATAAATTTTATTGTTATTGTTTTTCCCAACTTTTTTATTCTGTATTGTATAGCTCAGAATACACTAAATATTTAATTGTGTATACTGATTTATTTCTAAAGTTTCTCGAATAATTAAAATGGCTTTTCATTTATTGTAACTTAAGATTTTTTGAAGTGCTGTAACTTCATGATTGCTTTAAGATTTTCCTTTTGTAAGCTCTTTAGGGGTTCTTTTTTTAAAAAAATGAAATAATACTGCAATTATGTTTGCTCAAAATGTTTATAATTCAGAGTATTTCTTAAATGTAGATACAAATAAATTGATTACTAGGTTAAAAGACATTATATTTTGAAACACTTATTTAATACTTGATGTAGAAAAATATATTTAATGAACATCTAGGTTAAACAGAATAATAGTGCTGTCCAAAATAACTTTCTGCAATAATGGCAATGTATTTCTAGAATCAGCTCTCTCCAATGCAGGAACCACTAGCCACATGTATTATCAAACATTTACATGTGGTTAACATGACTGAAAAACTGAATTTAAGGAGCTAGATATTGGTAGTAGATACAGGCAAGACCGAATCCATATGTGTTAAAATTCTGTTCAAATTGCTCATATCGTTGAAGGAAACTCCGTGTTCCTCCCTGATAATATTTCCCTACCACCTGAAAACATTGTCCCAATAGATTATCCCAATTGATTATTATTCCTGTCTTTGTAAAATAGCTTACCACATATTTTTGAATGCCTAACAATACGGTGCTCAGTTTTGCTTGTTTTTGAACTTGTATAAAGTTTATCTTTATACACATTTATTATTTATAAAGAATAATCATCTTTAGTTTCTACAACTTTATTTTTCTTCAATTTATACAATTTTTCTAAGATTTGTCTATGCTGCCTTGTGTAGTAGTAGTTTATTCATTCTCAGTGCTTACGATATTCCATCTTGTAAGTTTATCGTAATTTATTTGTCTGTTATACAGTAAAAGGTCACTTACCCTGTTTAAATATTTGTTATTATTATGAATAATATTGCCATGAATTGTGTGCGTTTCTCCTGATGCACATTTTTCAAGAGTTGTAGTAGGATATAAAACTAGAGTTGAGACTGTTGGATCATAATATATTCATATGCTCCGCTTCACTATATCATCCTAAGTTGCATTACAGAAAGTTTGTGTGGATTGATACTTCCACAAGAAATGTATGCATAAACTTAAATAACTAAAGTTGTAGAAAGCTAAAGATGTTGAAGGCTTTCTTGATACTTTGAAGGCAATTTCTGTAGATAGAGGGATTGGAAAGGGCAAGCTCTTGAGAGGGGAGAAGACACTCTGAAACTCAGATATGTTGATTACATTTCCTTAGTCACATGGCTAGTAAGTGGGAATACTTACATTCAAACGCAAATCCATCTGACAAAAAATATAAAAATGTGATTACAAGGATAGCTTTTGTTTTTGTGTTTTTTTTTTAATGCTGCTATCACATTTTATCATTGGTTAGTGTGGTAGGCTGGATAATATCCCCTCAAAGATATCCATATCCTAATCCTTGCAACCTGTGATATAATTGGATTAAAGATCCTGAGATGAGAAGATATTCTGTGTTAACTGATGGGCTGGGTGTAGTCTAAAGGCCCTTATTGAGAGAGAGGAGATCAGAAGGTAGCAGTAGATGTAATGACGGAAGCAAGATACTGAAATGATTAAATGAGCTAAGGTTGCAGGTGGCCTCTAGAAGCCAAAAAGGGCGAGGACGCATATGCTCCCCTTAGAGCCTCTACACAGTCAGCTATGCCAAACCTTGAGGTTAGATCAATGAGACATAATTTGGACTTCAGATCTCCAGAAGAGTAAGATAATTTGTTAAGTTAATAAATTTATGACAATTTGTTACAGTAGCAATAGGAAATGAACACACTTTGCTTTACTTAAATAAACACACCAAAAATATAGCCTCAGGGGTCATGTCAGAGACACATTTTTGTGTCCTGAACTAACCTGTTAGAGAATTTACTGATGAACAACTGTTAATGGAATTATATTAGTTTGGGAAACTTATAGGGTGGTCTTAAACTATCAACAAGTCTATCACCTCCTGAAGTCTTTCTCCTTGGTTGATTTCCATTTTAAAAACACGGTGTTTTCCTTTCACAGCTGTCCAGTGTGTCGTGCTGGAGACTTCCCACAGCTTGCCTGCCACTACAGCTGAAGAATAGGAATTTGAGGACCAGTGGGAGCCAAGACTCTGTAAAATCTGCTTAAACTATTACATGGAAAAGAGCTGACACCTCACATGTCTGCACACAAACACAGACCTGTCAGCAGCGTCACTCCCAAGCGAGTAAAGTGAAGTCTTGTTTACATACTCTCAGTCATCAGACTATCTGCAACAAAAACGGGTCGTGGGAATTCTGTAGGGGCTAAATATTTCTGGGTCTTTTCTGTTATTTTATGGAGTCAATTTCTAATTGAAAACCAAATTATGACAGATATGTCAGGTGAAATAGGACAGGCAAGATGTTGGAAGTTCATAAATATATAAACCAAACATGGAAACACTGATATTTTGAGCATTTAATATAATTTTTTTAAACATTGAGCTTTTTTAAACCTATTGATTGCCAGTGCTATTTATAAATTCTAGCAGATTACTTAAGTAACGTAATTATAACTAAAATCAATACTTATTAGAAAATATGAAATATGTATATCAGGGTTGATTCTAATATATAATTCATATATGTAATATATATGAATTTGTATATTTGTACATGTAATTATATATAATTTTTATATACACACAGTCAGAGAAATATTTAAATCTCTTGTTTTTTTAAGCTCATGGTCTCCATTTTGCCTGGAAACTGAGTTATATGTATTTATTTATTTGTTTGTTAATTAATTAATTTATTAAAGACATGGTTTTGCTCTGTCACCCAGGCTGGAGTGCAGTGGCATGATCACGGATCACTGCAGCCTGCAACTCCTAGGGTCAAGTGATTCTCCTGCCTCAGCCTTCCTATTAGTTGGGACTACAGGCATATGCCACCATGCCCAGCTAATTTTTTATTTTTTATTTTTTGTAGAGATGAAGTCTTGCTATGTTGCCCAGGCTGGTCTTAAACTCCTGGGATCAAGCCTTGACCTCTCAAAGTACTGGGATCACAGGAGTGAGCAATCACACTCAGCTTCCCTTGTAGTTTTTAAATCTATAACTTTGTGTACCTCTTATTCGGAGTTGAAAAAAGGTCATTTCTTTCATGGTGGCAAAAAAAAAAGCTAAAACAAAAATTTTTACATGTGTTACTTTCATTTATTTCAGGTAGAGTAGCCATTGTTAAAGATAAATTGTGAAAATGTGTCATGACCCCATCCAAGACTTGCCCTTCCCAATACCTCTTTCCAAATTACCATCTTAAGTATCAGAAAAAGCATCATCATCTTCTTTATTTTCATAATCTTCACCAGGGAGTCAGAGAACTCCCTGTTCATTAGATTATATCTTGGGCCTACGCTGACCTTTACAAATATATCCCTCATCAATACTCTTGTCAGTATCTCCCTGTGATTAGAAAACATTCCCGGCTGAATCCATTCCATACTATCAACTGCAGGAAGAGACAAAGTTGTTTTGAAGCACCAGATGTTTGTTATAATACCTTACCATGACAAATGTGCAGCTTCAGTTATACACACTATTCTTGAGTTTAAACCATAGGAAAAAGGCATCAGTTACCATGTTCTCATAGTACTCTTCCAGCACCACCCTAAAGATGATTTTGACCCAGGATAGCAGAAATTCTCTGTACCTTATCCAAAACTTTTGAAGGAAAACTACGTTT
The DNA here is from genome assembly GCF_000001405.40 of Homo sapiens. NCBI lineage: Eukaryota > Metazoa > Chordata > Mammalia > Primates > Hominidae > Homo > Homo sapiens. The sequence continues at coordinate 45,666,765 of NC_000004.12, read as the reverse complement.
TGGAATCCAGAATTTGGGTGGTATTAAACAATACTCTTTAATCAAGCACACTACTATTTCTGCAAGGAAATGTATAAATGTTCATACCAAGTGGTTGTCAGAGCCCTTTGTATTTTGGAAGTGTGAATAAGAGACTGCATACTTGTAGTTGCTGAGCCTTTGCCCTTTATCTAATTTTCACATAAACTTCTCTTAGCACCTACAAGAGCTTACTCATTTTATATCTTATTTCTATGTAATTAGACCTGTTTCAGTCTTTCAAACTCTGGTTGATTTTTGCTTAAAGAAATTTGGGGCCAGGCATAGTGGCTCAAGCCTGTAATCCTAGCACCTTGGGAGGCTGAGGCGGGCGGATCACGAGGTCAGGAGTTCAAGACCAGCCTGGACAACATGGTGAAACCCCGTCTCTACTAAAAATATAAAAATTAGCTGGGAGTGGTGGCACGCGTATGTAATCTCAGCTACTCAGGAGGCTGAGGCAGGAGAGTCACTTGAACTCGGGAGGTGGAGGTTGCAGTGAGCCAAGATCGTGCCACTGCACTCCAGCTGGGGGACAAAGGAAGACTCTGTCTCAAAAAAAAAAAAAGAATCTGGTATTTGCAAACCAAAAGAACTTTTATTCAGGATATATGTTTGTATATGTGTGTGTGTGTGTTTATTTTGGTCTTAACTCTTTTGAAAATAAAAATAATAGATTGCGTGACTGTACACAACATCATTTTGGTAGTCACCTTTTCTCTGGTGACAAAGATTGTACATTTCTACCCTGCTGACCTCAAGCACAGTCATGTGACATGCTTTGGCCAATGAAATGTGAGACATTTCAAGGATAACTTTTGGGTGGAAATTTAGAAAGCTGTCTATCATACACTGTGTTCTTTTGCTGCTCCCCTGATCATGGAAGAATGTGTCAAAATAAAGCCTTACTCAACCTGTCTACCTACTTGAGCACAGCCCCTCTCTTAACTGAAATTAGTCTCTAAGTTATTTAGGTTTTTTATTTTTACTGTGGAATATCCTAAGCTTGACCAATTCACATAATTTAACAATGAGATTTTAAACACGTAAAATAAGTAAATTGCATAGCTAAAATCTGTGCATCTACATTGAGATTAAATGCATGACTAATTCAAAATTCTTATATCAGATATTTCTGAAATATAAATTACATGTGTATATTTAGAGTAATAGTATTTTACAGAGATAGCTGCTCCACATTATTTTTATTTCACGGATGTAGCTGATGCTTATAAATGGGGTATCCATTTATTGTTCATTGCTATATATTTATAACTTAGGACCTTTACAAGTACTATTATCTATATCACCTGTGATATATAATTGTCATCACAAAATCTTGCCTATTCCTAAACCTTATCATCCTCACTGAAGATATTGATCCCAGTTAATAGTGCATTTCCTACCCTTGATCCCACCTACACTACAGTGGACAACCACCAAAAAGGTTACTGACAATGATAGCGGTACCAGTACCTCCCCCATTGCCTTTGTGATCTCCTTGGGGGATCTCCCAGGGTTCCTATTTAGGTGGAAAGGCATCTACTACAAATACTAAACTAATAAACCCTTCCACAGTACTCCTCCAAGACAGTTATATCATTCCCACCTCATTAACTCTAGGCAATTTTGCACCCTAGTATTAATAATCCATTCCAGTGGTGTATCAGAAGTTCCAGTTATGCTTGCCAGAAGTTAATCCCTGAAACATGAGAAATTGCTCCATATTAATAAATTCTTCTCTATCCAGTTTTATATTCTAAACCCCTACCTTGGTTCATAAACCTCATGATTCAACCCATATGTCTTCCTTTAGTCTTTGCCTATACGTATAAAGTATAATTTACAAAATTTATAATTATGTTATCGTGTATAATAATGGTGAAGTCTTGCAATGATTTTGGAGTAATTACTGTTTTCCTCTGAAACACAGGTGGAATTATCCATCTCTTGCTGATGGTATAAAAACAACGAGTAGACGAAGCAGATGATTCAGAGGAGAACAGCAGCATGTTGGAAAGCATCTGCCTCAAGTATCATTTTTGCCAGGTCTCTGCATGAGTGAGGTTGTAATCATCTGACAAGTGTAAGAGGTCTTCTCTGTGTCAATAGTGCTCAAAGGAAACTGTGGTTTCAAGATTTTTAAAATCATCTAGAGTGCTTTCCTCATTCCAGAACACAAGTTTCCTCTCCATTCTCATTAAGACTTGGAGTTTTGCATAGGGGATCTATTGATGCTGCACAATAAATCTTTCTTGCCACTCTGCCACATGTACATTTAAATTCTGGGACTGATTTGCAGCACAAATTGCACTATAGCTGCAAGAGATTAGGGTAGTTTCAAAGTTACCCTAAAAGACTTCTGAATACTTTGAATTAATAGTTAACTGACCCGAGCCTGCCGTTTTATTTTTCCAAGACTTCAAAAGTAGTTAACAAAAATCAGCTAATTTCCCATGTTTAAATAACATACCACTACCTTAGTTATCTCATAGCCCACAGCTTTATCAGCTCTATCTTTCACCTAAAACTCATTCCATGTTCTCAACTGCGTGAGTTTTAGTAATTGTGACACTACCATATGCCAGGTGTTATCACCACTTCACTTACCACCAGAAATGGGGTCAGGTCCTTGTTTTTGTCTGCTCAGTATGTGTTTTATTTCCAGAGGCGCATCCTGAGGATCTGTTTCCAGGACTAGTACCAGTGCCAAGAGCCTTAACTTGAATTATTAGCACTACCTACCCCCTGCCTTTGCAAAAGCAACTGAAGGAGGGAAAACTGCTACAAGGGTACAATATTGAGGCCATAACTGCAGGCAGCTGGCACTGAGTTCCTCTCTAGGCCTGTAAAGGAGCCTGGAGAATGACTCTCAGAATTGCTCAACAATGGATTGACTGGGGAGGGCATTTATTCTTTAGCTCCCGCCTTCATCCCACATTAGTTGAGCATTGGCAATTGGGGCATTATTACCAGGCATCCTGGGCTATTGAAGTTCAAGCTGGCATATCTATGGTGAAAGAGACCTAGTGTTAGCTTAAGGCCAGACACTTGTAACATAAGCTATGTTGAATCCTGCACAGAGCTGTCAGCCACTTTTCAAATAAGTGGCTGATGCCAAGCAAAGAAGAGGTAGAACACAAAAAGTGTCAGATACAGAAACTTGCTTTGCTATATACGTCTTGCATAGTTTTTATAAAGCTTGCATTCAAATTTGAAGTTATTTAAATATATACATAAGTAAATAGGCTACTAGATAAATAAAAAACTAAATAAATGTAATTTTTGAAAATCTACACAATAGAGGTTTCTTACTGAATGGACTTAGGAATATAAATGTAAATGTCCTGATTAATTTCTCTGAATTTTTCACCCAGGTTGCATATTCTTGGTAAGAGACCGTATTTTTGATAGCACTGAAAGAATAATAACTTAAGGCTCTTTCTCTCTTTGTCTCTAATCTTGGTTAGACAGCTTGGTTCATTCCCTAGCACACTGTTGCTTTAATTAGTTGCTAGGTGATGAATATCATTCTAGAGTAGCTGGCTGCCTCTTCTATTGCAAGCAGCAGGATTCCTGGGACCAGGGCCAAACTGAGCTCTGGAATGTTTGATAATATGCCAACATCTAAACAATCCTTTAGCTATATGTATTACCTTGAACATGCTATTTATTCTTACTTAATTCAAAGAAAGTTCAGAGGTCTGATTATTTTAATTGCAGGAAAAACAAAGCAGTTTTGAAAAAACAGTACCTGAATAAAACTATATTAAATAGATAACATTTAAAATGACAATTTATTTTCCATTCTTACTCTCCAATAGAATTAATGCTGAAGGACTGTTAAACAGAATTTTGGTTTCATACTGTCTCTTTCTGTTTATGCTCATACCCCATTCTACTAAGCTTCCTCTCATTAGCTTCACATTTATATCACTTGTAATAGCAATAGCTGTAATTTCTACAGTTCCTATTATGAACTATGCACTGTGATTTATAAGAATAATTGAAAAATCAGAGTTAATTCATATTCAGCATTAAAACAAATCTTAAGTATAGTCACAGTCATATAATCCAATGAAATAAAATTGTTCATGTTGTAAGTCTATGTTTTTTATATGCCCCATGTATTTAAAAAACAATAATTTTGATACATATAAAGTTTTAAAAAAGATCAAATGCTTTATGTTGTCATTAGAATAATAACATAAATTAAAGGTTTGCATTTTAAAAAATTTTTTTTTCTGAAAGAAACTGAGACAAATATTGAGGCTAATTAACTTTTCTAATACCACTTTCCTAAAAGCCCATGCTATTAACCCAAACCTACATAATGACAAGCTTGTGCAATATCTAGATGGCATAAAGTCCTCAAAACGTTAATATTTATTACAGGAACCTCAATATTTATTACAGACATGTATCTCTGTCTACACACACACATGCACATACACACACACCTCAAGTCAAGTATTTAAAATATAAAACGTTTTTTAAAAAAGGAAAAAGAATTAAAGAGAATAAATTTTAGTATTTTGACATACCGGATAATTTCAAAGAGGAGGGAAAATAGTAGAAAATTTGAAAGAGCTTGACATGTTTGGCATTTAAAAAGCAGCTGGTTCAATAGATGGATGGATGGAAATGTGGATTATAGACAGCTATATGTAGATGTTTCTGAAATGAAGTTGTAGGCAGAAAGTGACATTGATTGGACAGGTTAATAAAACTGAGTGTACGTAGATTTCTGCTTTTAAAGAGGAATTCATGGTAGTGATATGCACAAGATGAAGGAATGATCTCATTGTAATGAACACAAGCAATCATTTTCTGATTATGTAATAATCAAGGGCATTTTGGAGGCACCACGCACAAGAAGCACAGAAGCAAGTAGGCTTTTCTAAAGGACATAACTGAGTGGGCCAAGAAGAAAACTATTGTCAACCTGTAGGATGATGAGATTTTAAATATATGCTGAGCCACCTGTTAATTATTGTCTTATATGAATATTTGTGTATTTTAGGGTGTTAAAGTATACTTACAAGGGCAGAAATAAAGAATGGGATGCATAAGATTGATGAAGTCTTGGTAAATGAGTATGAAACAAATGTGAGCATAATGAATAAAATAGTATGCTAATAATTAAAATAGAATATATTCGGAAGCTTATTTAATTATATTATTTTTGTTTCATTTTAGTCCACAGTCTCCATTTTGCTTTGAATTTCTTTTCCCCGTGGAATCTTTAAACTACATTTTTTTTCTATTTTACATAGATTCCTTAACTATGACATGGACAGTTAATAATTTTAAAAGTTTTAGTAATACTAAATATTTTGTGTACAGGTTCTACTGAGTGAAATAAAAATATATGGGTTAAAACCTAATTTTTAGTCGTATTAATAACCTAAACCCAAGGATGTATAATATAAGAGATGAAGCCCTGAGAACCAAATACCTATTTGGTTAAAGTATTCATATAATGAAAATTTTTATTGAAAATGTTGCTCACTTTTCTAATTTTATAAGCAGTACAAATGCATGGCCAAAATAATGATTGTGAACATATAAAGCACATGAATAAATTTGTTCTTTTTGGGTTTTTTTTAGACACAGTCTTGCTCTGTCACCCAGGCTGGAGTGCAGTGGTGTGTCCTCGGCTCACTGCAACCTCCACCTCCCAGGTTCATGTGATTCTCCTGCCTCAGACTCCCAAGTAGCTGGGATTACAGGCGCAAGCCACCATGCCTGGCTAATTTTTAGTAGAGACAAGGTTTCACTATGTTGGCCAGGCTGGAAAAAGTTTTTGATTTAAAACAAAAGTACCTGAAACTTACCCAGAAATTGCCATTATTAACACAAAATAACACAATTTAATTTTAATTTAATTTTACTTGGAAAGGACTGAATTAAAACTAGAAAAAATTTCAGTCTTTAGGAAAAAATATAATTACTTCATAAACAGAATTTGGTTTTTACAAAATGCCTTGGAAGTTTATATTATGTATCTAGAAATTAATATCATTATCTGTGTTTATTTTTAACCTATTTCTATAGAGGCTTAAGTAAAATTTGCTACATAAAGAAACTTAATTAGTGAGTTCATAAAAATAAGCTACATTGGTCACTGCCAATATGGCTTGAACTAAGTATTTGGGCCTCAGGGTTTCATCTAGACATTATACATCCTTGGGTTTAGAATATATACCTGTACACAATATATTTAATATTATTTAAACATTTTAACTATATTATTTAACTGTCCATGTCATAGTCATGTAATCCACGTAAAATATCAACAAAGAAAAAAATCAGTGTGGTTTAAATACTCACAGAAAAAAGAAATACAAAGCAAAATGGACACTGTAGCCTAAAATGAAACAATAATGTAGAGCCTCTGATTTTTTTTTTCCTAACTTTATGTTATAAAACATAAGCTGAGTTTTCTCATGATGTTCTAAGAGAAATTAGTAGGAAAAAATTAACTTGTAAACTTAATATCTTGTAGAAATCATAAGAAAACAAATCCAGATAATAGTAAAATTACTGTAACAAGTTAGTGTTATAAACTTAAAAGCATTATACATAAAGAAATTACTAATGAAACTATATAATCTTTGCTAAATTATTAAATCAATAAAGATCTGGCTTCCCTGTTGCAGAAACCACCATTTTTTACACTTGATCAATTTTAAATCATGCCACATTTCAGATTGTTTAATACTGAAAACATTATTTTCTTGCTTAACATTTGTTAATTGTCTCAGAGCATCTATTTCCCTTTCCTTATTCCAATTGAAGAAATACTTCGTTACTTTTACTTTTAAGCTCTTTCATATAATCACACTATGTATTTAATATACTGGCAAGATATAACCAGGTGGGACATTTAACACTTTGTCTGAAAATTTACTTAGCTAACTCAATCAGTTTTCGATGCACATTTTCTAATTTCCACATGTCTGCAGGTGATATTGTCGGTACTATTTATGTTTTCTATAGATAAAGGGTCACCCTTTCTCCAAGTTCCAATAATAATTTCCTTATTTCCTTTTGAGCATTCACCAGCAGCATCTTCAAATTCCAGATTTCTACCAATAATCTATTTAAGGCAATTTTTTCTTTCTATCCACAAAAAAATTCACACAGATTTCTGACCCATAGAAACTGAGAAATTAAATGTTAGTGGTATAACCTGCTAAGTTTTGGGGAATTTTGTCACACACTATAGGTAATGATGTAGATTTGGGTTCCAGAAGCAGGGTACTTTCTTAACAAATACATAAAAATATAAGGTTGGCTTTGGAACTGGGCAGTGGGTGTTTTCCAGAGGCATTTTTGAAGAACCTGTTATAGAAAGAAAATGAGAATGACTTGGAATAAAAGATAAATTTAAGAAATATCCGCATTCTTGTTAAACAAATGTTTTAATGTTAACACTTTTCATACTTATTTTTTCAGATATTTATATATATTTATCCTATTATTATAATTGATAAATAAAAATTAACACATAATATTTATGCACGTCTAAAGCTCAATACTGTAATAAACATGTGACATCATCATCACATACAAGGACTGGAACCCTGCCATCAACTCGTGTCCACCTAGGTATGTGTCTTTACCATCTACCTCTTGCCTTTCCCTCATCAGAGGTCATGCCAGCCTAAATTATGTCTTCATCATTACCTTGAGTGTTATGAAATATTTTTATACACATATGTTCCTAAACAAAGTGTTCTTGATATATGTTTATATTCAAGATTTATAGAAATGACATCACACTAATAGAGTCTTATGGGCCTATCTTTAACTGTCATCATCATTATTGTTTTGAAAATTATCTATGTTGCTTTGTGTGGTTGTAGTTTATTCACTTTGCTGCTGTATAAAATCCATTGAGATAATATACTTAGTCTACTTGGGCTACCATCACAAAATACCATAAACTGGGTGGTTATAAACAACAGAAATTTATTTCTCACAGTTCTGGAGGCCAGAAGTCCAAGATCAGGGTGTCTGCATAATTGGGTTCTGTTGAGGGATTCGTTTGAGGTTGCAAACTGCTGACTTTTCATTGTACACTCCCATGACAAAAGAGGTGAGGAAGCACTGACCCTCATTTCTAAGGCCATCAGTTCCATTCATGTGGGCTCCACTATCATAAATTAATCACCTCCAAAATTTCTACCACCTAATACCATCACATTGGGGTTAGGACTTCAAAATATGACTTTTTAAGAAAACAAACATTCAGTCTATAGCATATATATATATATATATATTTATTCATTCTCTTTCAAGTTGGCATTTGGATGATTTCTGATTTTTTGATATTATGAACAGAGATGATATAAACATTGTGTACACATCTCCTGAGGTATATGTGTATACATCTATCTGCAGTGCATACTTAAGTGATGGAATACTGTATCATGGGGTATGCACATGTCCAACATTAAAAAATAATGTCAGTATTATTTTTTAAAATGAATTATATATTAACTTAGTTCCTTTAAATATATATGAAATATTGCTCACTTTTTTATGCCTGCCTATTTTCATTTACCTTTCTTTCTCACAGAGATAGCCACTATGATTAATTTGTTTTCTAAATTCTCATGCATATTGTTACAATTTTAGTTTATAATTGAGTAATGATAATTAATATCAAACATGGTTGCACTTATGTATTAAACTTTACATCAATTTATTATCTCATTATTGTGAAATTTGCAGGTATGATTTTGAGAGCAGTGAGTGCCAATATAGATGTGATGATTCATTCATTTAAACTTCTATTCAATATGCTGTGATGTGAATAATGCATAATTTACTTATTCGCTACATGGTATTTGAGAACATTTAATTTTCTGTTTGGCTGTTACACAAAATGCTACCTCTAATGTTTTTCAAGATCTTATTTTTTACAAAACATTTGAAATATTATTTTATAGATAAATAGCTAAATGACAATTTTAAACTGTGGCTTACCGGTATTTTTCACTTTACTAGACATTATTTAGTTGTACCGCAATGTGGCAGAGCCAACCTACATTCCTACCCATAATTAGTGTTACCAGACTTCACTATTTTTGGCCACTCTAGTGGGTGTGGCAGCCCACTGTACACTTTTTAATTTCTTGATTATGAACAGAATTATGTATGTTTTTCACCTTTTAATATGTACAGTGATCATTCAGAATTAAAGTCTGTAAATCTTTTTCAGATAACTATTCCACTTTTTTTTACTGGCTTATCTGGATTTTTAAAAATTTATTTTAGGTTTTAAATACCTGAATATAATCTAGAAACGAATCCTTTTTCAGTTATGTGCATCATAATTTTCCCCATTCTGCTATTATTATTTTTAACTTTGATTTTAGGGAGGCTTCTTTTTTCTTTTTTTCTTTTTTTTTACTTATTATTATACTTTAAGTTTTAGGGTACATGTGCACAATGTGCAGGTTTGTTACATATTTATAAATGTGCCATGTTGGTGTGCTGCACCCATTAACTCGTCATTTAGCATTAGTTATATCTCCTAATGCTATCCCTCTCCTCTCCCCCCACCCCACAACAGGCCCCAGTGTGTGATGTTCCCCACCCCGTGTCCACGTGTTCTCATTGTTCAATTCCCACCTATGAGTGAGAACATGCAGTGTTTGGTTTTTTGTCCTTGCGACAGTTTGCTGAGAATGATGGTTTCCAGCTTCATCCATGTCCCTACAAAGGACATGAACTCATCATTTTTATGGCTGCATAGTATTCCATGGTGTATATGTGCCACATTTTCTTAATTCAATCTATCATTGTTGGACATTTGGGTTGGTTCCAAGTCTTTGCTATTGTGAATAGTGCCGCAATAAACATACGTGTGCATGTGTCTTTATAGCAGCATGATTTATAACCCTTTGGGTATATACCCAGTAATGGGATGGCTGGGTCAAATGGTATTTCTAGTTCTAGATCCCTGAGGAATTGCCACACCGACTTCCACAATGGTTGAACTAGTTTACAGACCCACCAACAGTGTAAAAGTGTTCCTATTTCTCCACATCCTCTCCAGCACCTGCTGTTTCCTGACTTTCTAATGATCATCATTCTCACTGGTGTGAGATGGTATCTCATTGTGATTTTGATTTGCATTTCTCTGATGGCCAGTGATGATGAGCATTTATTCAGGTGTTTTTTGCCTGCATAAATATCTTCTTTTGAGAAGTGTCTGTTCATATCCTTCGCCCACTTTTTGATGGGTTTGTCTTTTTCTTGTAAATTTGTTTGAGTTCATTGTAGATTCTGGATATTAGCCCTTGGTCAGATGAGTAGGTTGCAAAAATTTTTTCCCATTCTGTGGGTTGCCTGTTCAGTCTGATGGTAGTTTCTTTTGCTGTGCAGAAGCTCTTTAGTTTAATTAGATCCCATTTGTCAATTTTGTCTTTTGTTGCCATTGCTTTTGGTGTTTTAGACATGAAGTCATTGCCCATGCCTATGTCCTGAATGGTATTGCCTAGGTTTTCTTCTACGGTTTTTATGGTTTTACGTCTAACATGTAAGTCTTTAATCCATCTTTAATTAATTTTTGTATAAGGTATAAGGAAGGGATCCACTTTCAGCTTTCTGCATATGGCTACTCAGTTTTTCCAGCACCATTTATCAAATAGGGAATCCTTTCCCCATTGCTTGTTTTTCTCAGGTTTGTCATAGATCAGATAGTTGTATATATGTGGCATTATTTCTGAGGGCTCTTTTCTGTTCCATTGGTCTATATCTCTGTTTTGGTACCAGTACCATGTTGTTTTGGTTACTGTAGCCTTATAGTACAGTTTGAAGTCAGGTAGCGTGATGCCTCCAGCTTTGTTCTTTTGGCTTAGGATTGACTTGGCAATGCGGGCTGTTTTTTGGTTCCATATGAACTTTAAAGTAGTTTTTTCCAATTCTGTGAAGAAAGTCATTGGTAGCTTGATGGGGATGGCATTGAATCTATAAATTACCTTGGGCAGTATGGCCATTTTCACGATATTGATTCTTCCTACCCATGAGCATGGAATGTTCTTCCATTTGTTTGTATCCCCTTTTATTTCATTGAGCAGTGGTTTGTAGTTCTCCTTGAAGAGGTCCTTCACATCCCTTGTAAGTTGGATTCCTAGGTATTTTATTCTCTCTGAAGCAATTGTGAATGGGAGTTCACTCATGATTTGGCTCTCTGTTTGTCTGTTATTGTTGTATAAGAATGCTTGTGATTTTTGTATATTGATTTTGTATCCTGAGACTTTGCTGAAGTTGCTTATTGGCTTGGGGGGATTTTGGGCCGAGACGATGGGGTTTTCTAAATATACAATCATGTCATCTGCAAACAGGGACAATTTGACTTCCTCTTTTCCTAATTGAATGCCCTTTATTTCCTTCTTCTGCCTGATTGCCCTGGCCAGAACTTCCAACACTATGTTGAATAGGAGTGGTGAGAGAGGGCATCCCTGTCTTGTGCCCATTTTCAAAGGGAATGCTTCCAGTTTTTGCCCATTCAGTATGGTATTGGCTGTGGGTTTGTCATAGATAGCTCTTATTATTTTGAGATACGTCCCATCAATACCTAATTTATTGAGAGTTTTTAGCATGAAGGGTTGTTAAATTTTGTCAAAGGCCTTTTCTGCATCTATTGAGATAATCACGTGGTTTTTGTCTTTGGTTCTGTTTATATGTTGGATTACGTTTATTGATTTTCATATGTTGAACCAGCCTTGCATCCCAGGGATGAAGCCCACTTGAACATGGTGAATAAGATTTTGATGTGCTGCTGGATTCAGTGTGCCAGTATTTTATTGAGGATTTTTGCATCAATGTTCATCAAGGATATTGGTCTAAAATTCTCTATTTTTCTTGTGTCTCTGCCAGGCTTTGGTATCAGGATGATGCTGGCCTCATAAAATGAGTTAGGGAGGATTCCCTCTTTTTCTATTGATTGGAATAGTTTCAGAAGGAATGGTACCAGCTCCTCTTTGTACCTCTGGTAGAATTCGGCTGTGAATCCATCTGGTCCTGTACTTTTTTCGTTGGTAAGCTATTGATTATTGCCTCAATTTCAGAGCCTGTTATTGGTCTATTCAGAGATTCATCTTCTTCCTGGTTTAGTCTTGGGAGAGTGTATGTGTTGAGGAATTTATCCATTTCTTCTAGATTTTCTAGTTTATTTGCATAGAGGTGTTTATAGTATTCTCTGATGGTAGTTTGTATTTCTGTGGGATTGGTGGTGATATCCCCTTTATCATTTTTTATTGCATCTATTTGATTCTTCTCTCTTTTCTTCTTTGTTAGTTTTGCTAGCGGTCTATCGATTTTGTTGATCATTTGAAAAAACCAGCTCCTGGATTCATTAATTTTTTGAAGGGTTTTTTGTGTCTCTATTTCCTTCAGTTCTGCTCTGATCTTAGTTATTTCTTGCCTTCTGCTAGCTTTTGAATGTGTTTGCTCTTGCTTTTCGAGTTCTTTTAGTTGTGATGTTAGGGTGTCAATTTTAGATCTTTCCTGCTTTCTCTTATGGGAATTTATGGCTATAAATTTCCCTCTACACACTGCTTTGAATGTGTCCCAGAGATTCTGGTGTGTTGTGTCTTTTTTCTCGTTGGTTTCAAAGAAAATCTTTATTTCTGCCTTCATTTCATTATTTACCCAGTAGTCATTCAGGAGCAGGTTGTTCAGGTTCCATGTAGTTGAGTGGTTTTGAGTGAATTTCTTAATCCTCAGTTCTAGTTTGATTGCACTGTGGTCTGAGAGACAGTTTGTTATAATTTCTGTTCTTTTACATTTGCTGAGGAGAGCTTTACTTCCAACTATGTGGTCAATTTTGGAGTAGGTGTGGTGTGGTGCTGAAAAGAATGTATATTCTGTTGATTTGGGGTGGAGAGTTCTGTAGATGTCTATTAGGTCCACTTGGTGCAGAGCTGAGTTCAATTCCTGGATATCCTTCTTAACTTTCTGTCTCATTGATCTGTCTAATGTTGACAGTGGGGTGTTAAAGTCTCCCATTATTAATGTGTGGGAGTCTAAGTCTCTTTGTAGGTTACTCAGGACTTGCTTTATGAATCTGGGTGCTCCTGTATCGGGTGCATATATGTTTAGGATAGATAGCTCTTCTTGTTGAAATGATCCCTTTACCATTATGTAATGGCCTTCTTTGTCTCTTTTGATCTTTGTTGGTTTAAAGTCTGTTTTATCAGAGACTAGGATTGCAACCCCTGCCTATTTTTGTCTTCCATTTGCTTGGTAGATCTTCCTCCATCCCTTTATTTTGAGCCTATGTGTGTCTCTGCACGTGAGATGGGTTTCCTGAATACCGCACAGTGATGGGTCTTGACTCTTTATCCAATTTGCCAGTCTGTGTCTTTTAATTGGAGCATTTAGCCCATTTACATTTAAAGTTAATATTGTTACGTGTGAATTTGATCCTGTCATTATGATGTTAGCTCCTTATTTTGCTCGTTAGTTGATGCAGTTTCTTCCTAGCCTTGATGGTCTTTACAATTTGGCATGTTTTTGCAGTGGCTGGTACTGGTTGTTCCTTTCCATGTTTAGTGCTTCCTTCAGGAGCTCTTTTAGGGCAGGCCTGGTGGTGACAAAATCTCTCAGTATTTGCTTGTCTGTAAAGTATTTTATTTGTCCTTCACTTATGAAGCTTAGTTTGGCTGGATATGAAATTCTGGGTTGAAAATTCTTTTCTTTAAGAATGTTGAATATTGGTCTCCACTCTCCTCTGGCTTGTAGAGTTTCTGCCACGAGATCTGCTGTTAGTCTGATGGGCTTCCCTTTGTGGGTAACCCGACCTTTCTCTTTGGCTACCCTGAACATTTTTTCCTTCATTTCATCTTTGGTGAATCTGACAATTATGTGTCTTGGAGTTGCTCTTCTCGAGGAGTATCTTTGCGGCGTTCTCTGTATTTCCTGAATTTGAATGTTGGCCTGCCTTGCTAGATTGGGGAATTTCTCCTGGATAATATCCTACAGAGTGTTTTCCAACTTGGTTCCATTCTCCCCGTCACTTTCAGGTACACCAATTAGACATAGATTTGGTCTTTTCATGTAGTCCCATATTTCTTGGAGGCTTTGTTTGCTTCTTTTTATACTTTTTTCTCTAAACTTCTCTTCACGCTTCATTTCATTCATTTCATCTTCCATCCCTGATACCCTTTCTTCCAGTTGATCACATCGGTTACTGAGGCTTGTGCATTTGTCACGTAGTTCTCGTGCCATGGTTTTTAGCTCCATCAGGTCCTTTAAGGACTTCTCTGCATTGGTTATTGTAGTTATCCATTCATCTAATTTTTTTTCAGAGTTTTTAACTTCTTTGTTATTGGTTCGAACTTCCTCCTTTAGCTTGGAGTAGTTTGATCTTCTGAAGCCTTCCTCTCTCAACTCATCAAAGTCATTCTCCGTCCAGCTTTGTTCCATTGCTGGTGAGGAGCTGCATTCCTTTGGAGGAGGAGAAGCACTCTGATTTTTAGAGTTTCCGGTTTTTCTGCTCTGTTTTTTCCCCATCTTTGTGGTTTTATCTACCTTTGGTCTTTGATGATGGTGACATACAGATGGGTTTTTGGTGTGGATATCCTTTCTGTTTGTTAGTTTTCCTTCTAACAGTCAAGACCCTCAGCTGCAGGTCTGTTGGAGTTTACTGGAGGTCCACTCCAGACCCTGTTTGCCTGGGTATCAGCAGTGGTGGGTGCAGAACAGCGGATATTTGTGAGCTGCAAATGCTGCTGCCTGATCATTCCTCTGGAAGTTTTGTCTCAGAGGAGTACCCGGCCATGTGAGGTGTCAGTCCGCCCCTACTGGGGGGTGCCTCCCAGTTAGGCTACTCGGGAGTCAGGTACCCACTTGAGGAGGCAGTCTGCCCGTTCTTAGATCTCAAGCTGCATGTTGGGAGAAACTCTACTCTCTTCAAAGCTGTCAGACAGGGACATTTAAGTCTGCAGAGGTTATTGCTGTCTTTTGTTTGTCTGTGCCCTGCCCACAGAGTTGGAGCCTACAGATGCAGGCAGGCCTTTAGGCTTTTTTGTCTTTTGTAGATAATATTTTATTTTAAGAAATTTTACATAGATGTGTATGCACATATATTCTTTTTCCTTTATTGTCAGTGCTTTTTTCAATAAATAACAAGTCACATATATGTACTGCTTTACTATTATCAATAGTTTTAAAGTTTTCAATATATTTTGATTCAATTCACAAAGAATTGGTTGTTGTAAAGAGAATGCGTAAGAATCTATTTTCACTTGTTCTCTATATGGAAAGCCTATTTTTGAAGAAGAATGCATTAAGTGATAAATACATTGTGTTTCCTGTGAGTACTTAAAATATTTTTATCCTCTAAAAAACTTCCAACATAAACAATATTTGGCTCTATGTCTTCTATTCTGGTCAGTTTATCAACTTTGTCAATTAATAAATTTTCCTAAAAATTATCAAAAATTTCTTTTTTGAAAGTTTGTATAGTAATTAGTGAATATTGTATATAGTTTCATTTCTAGGTCTTACTCTTTTAACCAAATAGTGTTATTTAACAGTGCTCTCTACAATGGTCCAGCACATATATTGGGTTATTCCTATACTGATCACTTATTTCAATGCTTTTATAAATATTCTTTGTTTTCTCTTGTGCTATTAGTTATTGCTAATGCTTTGGCATATTATTGATTGTATTTTTTGATATACCATACTTAAACTATCACTTCATTTTGTCTAAACATCAGAATTACCTTTATACTAAAATATATATATATATATTTTAGTATATATTTTATATATATATATATCTCAAGGGAATATTTTTGTCTTTTATTTTTTCATTTTGTGAAGAATAGTGTCTCCCTATATTGCCAAGGCAGGTCTTGAACTCCTAGGCTCAAGTTATCTTCCTGCCTCTGCCGCCCTGAGTGCTGAAATTACAGGTGTGAGCCACTGTGCCTTGCCTTATATCAAAGTTTTAAAATTTGATTATCCTCTTTATGGCACATTATAGTTTATTGGAAAAATATGCCACAGTCTTTATGATCATCACCACCAACTCCTCCCACCCTTGTTCATGCAGGAGTTCAAAATCTAGACTCTCTGATTATTGTTTTATGATTCATTCACATAATATCCTTCATCAGAAATCTAATCTTATATAAAGGACTAGAAATTAAATAACCTAGTCAGACACAGACAGATGGCACAGCAAGATCTTTATTAAAATACTCTTCCAAATTATATCCTTATGAGAATATGAGAGATTACTAAGGTTGAACTTCAAAACATACACACATAAACACATAGATCTGGCGACAGAATAGTATGATGTATTATAATAGAAGGGTTTGCAAAGACAAAATAAAATACAACCTAACATACTGATATTTTTCTGTGCTCCACTGAATTAGTTTCTTTGACAAAATGATATTGAACGCTGGACACATATCTCTACAAGAACCTTCAGAGTTCATGACCATAATTTTTAATATCTATCACTATATGCCATTAATTCAAAAATCTCTAAAGATTAAAATTTTATGCAGCCACACACTTTTTATTAAGAAAAATAAATATTGTGCATGAGAGTTCTTAACGTTCTGCAGCAGGGACTTTCTCTACAGAGACAGTAATGGATAAAAATCTATATATTTAATTGCTGAATAATATTGTGTACAAAGCAATATTATTCTAGACAATACTTTTATGTGATGAAAATATATTTATTCCAAAAGGTCTCCTGAGAATAAAAGAAAGATAAAATATTTCAGTTACACAACATGGTTTAAAAAAGGTATTATATTTGAAATGATGAAAGCTATCATAGACTTTGGTGCCTAACTGATTACCATGACCCTGTTAGTTAGTGCTATTGGATTTCAGTTCCCTATGCTTTCAAACAGGAATTACGGTATTACTTATTTTATTTATTTAACAGTTTTGAACTGAAGAACCAACAAGCTATTGTATATTTGTGTGCTAAATAGTACTCTATTTGATATTGCAGCATGTATTATCATTCAAAATATTCATTATTCAATATCCAGAATTTACTTTTCTGAGCAGGACACAATTATGGTAGTTTAATCTAAACTACCTTAGGTAGGCAAACATAGGTAGCTTCTAGATAAAGATGATATACTTAACACCTACATCTAATTTTTCTCCCTCTCCAGCCCTAAAAAGGATTATAAAAAAGTCACAAAGATGGTGAAAAGGAATACAATAACAATCAAATTTTGAAAGCTAGGAAGCAGATACACTTGTAATACTAATTTACTAAGCCCCTGAAAGTCAAATCTTTAGCTAGGAGTCAAGAAAGCCAAGAGTTACATGATCTATCAACTCAGAAGCCTCAAAAGGTTCAGGAACCATCAGTGAAGGCATGCTAAAATAAGGGGAAGCAAGTTGAAAGATGTCTCAGAAGTAGTTAAATATCTAGATATATTAGCACCCCAGTGGAAGGGAGGTTTATTCTCTGTAAGGGGCCACATATACAGAGAGTCTCCAGACTGGGAGACACTAATAATATTTGAGGGCATGAGTGCTCTATGAAAATAATTAGGCCTACCTCTATTGAATGCTAAGACTTTCAGACATCTTTCCTCACTTACCTCTCAGATTTCTGGCTTCCCCAGCAGGAGATTGGCAGAGTGCCCTCTGAAGAAACTCACTGGCTCAAAAGACCTAAAGATGCCACCATCAGAGTTCCCCAACAAACTCTATAGGAAAATTCCAAGTTGACATACTCAATTAGGTGCCCAGAAGATTGCAGTCAGCAACTTCTTTCCCTTTCTTAAGCACTGGCAGACATCCAAATACTAAAATAAATATAATGAATAAAGGCATATTAGATGAAATAAAGATAGAGGAGAATAAAATATCAACAAGTTTATTATTAATCTCATAGAGATGAGACAATTTACTTTGCCCTTGAAGTAAGAAAAAATTTTTAAAGGAGTATTCAGAGAAACAAAAATTTGTAAGCAGAAATGAAAAAGTCAGTAGAAGAAAGGTAGAGTTGAGAAAATAATCTAGAAAGAGATTTCTTTAAAAGGCTTAAAAAGTAATGGGAGATAAAGAGTAAGAACAATAAAGGACCTGAGAGGAGGTTCAAATAAAGAACAGAGATATAAGGGAGCAAACAATTGACTGAATCATTCTAGAAAACTTGCCAGTACCAAGGACAAATATCCAGCACAGACAATGAAAACAAACTTCAATTATTTGTTCACTCATCTGGTGTATCCTTCAATAAATACAATATATTGGGCACCTCATCTCTACTAAGGACTCTTCTGAACAGTAGAGGTGTAGCAGTGGAAATAAACATAAAATAAAACTCTGCCTTCCAGGAACTTACCATTTAGAAAAGTTAAAAAAATGATAAGAAAGATAAATAATTAACATATACTGCATATTTCATGGTTTTCAATATTTGGGTGAAAAATAAAACCAGATAATTAGAATAGAGAGAGTTGAGTGGTTGTGGTTAAGATCTTCCGTAGTGTGGCCAGTGGGTGTTACCTAATTGAGGTTACTTATGATTGAGAATATGAAGAAGGTAATGGAGCAAAGCATGCCTTTCTGTAATAAAAAATATTCCAGAAAAAGGGAAAAAAACAGTGCAGAAGTGCTTTTGGCAATAATATGTATACTACCTTGGAGTACTGTCACCAATGCTAGTGTTGACAGTCCTTTAATCCCTTGGATAAACAAAAGGATCAATGCAGGCACACATTCAGAACTGCAATGTCTCAAAAGTATAACTATTTTCATCCTTTCCTAGAAAGTTTCTGGTAATTGTGCTCCAGAGACATGAAAGACTATACAGGCATACCTCATTTTCCTGTGCTTTGCTTTATTGTGCTTCACAGATATGATGCTTTTACAAATTGAAGGTTTGCAGCAACATTGCATCCAGCTGTTGGAGAAATTGGTGCCATTTGTCCAACAGCATGTGCCCACTTCACATCTCTGAGTCACGGTTTGATAATTCTTGCAATATTTCACACTTTTTTATTATCATATCTGTTATGGTGACAGACATCTTCGGTATTATTATTGTAAT
The DNA here is from genome assembly GCF_000001405.40 of Homo sapiens. Taxonomy (NCBI): domain Eukaryota; kingdom Metazoa; phylum Chordata; class Mammalia; order Primates; family Hominidae; genus Homo; species Homo sapiens. The sequence continues at coordinate 45,647,672 of NC_000004.12, read as the reverse complement.
TGTTTAGGAGCACCACTTACTTCATGTAAGATAGCAGACTTTATTGATAAATGTTGTGTGTGTTCTGATTGCTTCACCAACTGGCTGTTCCCCAGACTTCTTCCTCTATCAGGGCCTCCTTATTCCTTGAGACACACTAAGATTGAAATTAGACCAATTAACAACCCTGTAGCCACCTGTAAGTATTCAAGAGAATAGCATAGTTGGATATCTCTTACTTTAAATCAAAAGCTAGAAATAGTTAAGCTTAGTGAGAAAGGTGTGTCAGAAGCTGAGAGAGGTCAAAGTCTCTTGTGTCAAATAATTAACCAAGTTGTGAATGCAAAGGAAACGTTCTTGAAGGAAATTAAGAGTGTTACTTTAGTGAACATACGAATGATGAGAAAACAAAACAGCCTTATTCCTAATATGGTGAAAGTTTGAATGGTCTGGATAGATCAAACCAGACACAACATTCCCACATGCGAATGTTAAACACTATTCAGAGCATGGTTTTAACTCTCTTTAATTCTACAAAGGCTGAGAGAAATGAGGAAGCTACAGAAGAAAAGTTGGAAGCTAACAGAGACGGGTTCATGAAGTTTAAGAAAATATGCCGTCTCCTTTAACATAAAAGTGCGAGGTGAAGCCGAAAGTGCTGATACAGAAGCTGCAGCAAATCATCCAGAAGATCTAGCTAAGATAATTGATGAAGGTGGCTACACTAAACAACACATATTTAGAGTAGACATAACAGCCTTACATTGAAAGAAGATGCCATATAGGACTTTCGTAGCTAGAAAGGAAAAATCTATGTCTGGCTTCACAGCTTTAAAGGACAGATTGACTCTTCTTTGTGTTAGGGGCTAATGCAGCTGTTGACTTCAAGATGAAGCCAATGCTCTTTTACCATTTCAAAAATCTGAAGATCCTTAAGAATTATGCTAAATCTAGTCTTTCCATGTTCTAAAGATGAAACAACAATGCCTTGATAACAGCACATCTGTTTACAGCACAGTTTACTGAATATTTTAAGCCCACTGTTGAAATCTACTCCTCAGGAAAAAAAAAAAAAGACTCCTTTCAAAATATTACTGCTCATGGACATTGCACCTTTTCACCTAACAGTTATACTGGAGATGTAAAAGGAGATTAATGTTGTTTTCACACCTGCTAATACAGTGTCCATTCTGCCACCCATGGATTAAGGAGTAATTTTGAGTTTAAAGTTTTAAGGTTCTAGCTCACATATACAGTTATTCCTGTGATGGATCAAGGCAAAGTAAGTTGAAAATCTTCTGGAAGATGCCATTAAAAACATTTGTGATTAATGGGAGGAGGTCAAAACATCAATGTTAAGGGAGTTTGGAGGAAGGTGATTCCAACCCTAATGGATGACTTTGAAGGGGTCGAGATTTTAGTGGAGGAAATAACTGAAAATGTGGTGAAAATTACAAGATAAATAGAGTTAGAAGTGGAGCCTGAAGGTGTGACTGAATTGCTGAAATCTCAGGATACAATTTGAATGGATGAGGAATTGCTTCTTATGGCCCTACTCAGGGAAAAACAAATGTAATTCCTGAGATTAAAAAGAAGTCCTAGATGCTAACCAGACTACAGAGAATAATGGAGATCTCAAGTCCTGTTATCTCTAAGGGTGATAAAAAGACAACTGATTGAGTACATTATATAACAGCCCTTGTGAAAACACATACTGAGATCTAATCGGAAAGTGTGAGATAAATAGAAAAAAATTTCAAAGAACTTACAAATAATGCAGACAAAAGACAAGCATTAACTCAAGGAAGAACAAAGAAGACATGGAACGTGCTCATATTACACTTCAATGTTCAGTTGTGAGTATTTTAATAAACATAATAGTGTAATTGCTAAATGCAGATTTAGCCTCAAAATGTACTATGACTCTTTTGGAAGAAGAGTCGTGGTGTGCAGCAAGGTGAACTAAAGAGCAGAGACCTAAAATATTCTTCATTAATATAGGAAGTCAGTAGATAATGTATGAAATGGGTTAATCAGAGAATACCAGTGTATACATTTTTTAAGAAAAATATATGGATGAAGCTGAAGGCCATAATCCTAAGCAAATTAATGTAGGAACAGAAAACCAAATACCTCATGTTCTCACTTATAAGTGGCAACTAAACATTGAACACACATGAACATAAATATGGGAACAAACGACACTGTGGACTAGATGGTGGGAGGAGTGGGTTAAAAAGCTACCTAACAGGTACTATGCTCACTACCCAGGTGATGGGATCCATGCTCCAAACCTCAGCATCATGCAATATTACTATGTAACAAATCTGAAGATGAAACCCCTGCATCTAAAATAAGAGTTGAAAAAAAAGTTCAAATAAAAGCATTAATAGTTGAGAGGGAGACAGGGAGGGAAGGGAAAGTCGTGGTAAGGAATGACTGTATTATAAGATTTAATATTATTTCAATTATAAAATAATGTACATTGTTTAAGAATGTAAAAGTTAATTTAAATTACACATTTTGTGTCATCAGTTTAGTTGACAAGATACAGCTGTAGGAGGAAAGATGTTTAATGAAGTGTTTTACTATTAATAAATATTTACAGTTATATTGTAATGCCTGGCCCAATAGTAGTTTAGAATACTAAGATACAAATAAGCAGCCTCAGCATTGTGAACTCCATTTGTTAAATAATACATCACTTCAAATTTCAGTGCCTGTTTTACATTCATAAACACACAAAATAGTTCCTACTTTTCATATTTTAATCAAACTGAACTGTTTTAATTTTAAACATATTATTTAGAAAAAAACTAAATTCAGATTTTTACTGAAAGAAATGTAAAAATGTTCTAAAAGCACTGAACTACAAAAAAAAAAATAAAGATACTAGGCCAATCTCAATCTCATGGCATTCAAAATACACTAAAAAGTGAGAAGCAGGCCAATATCATTTTTAAATACCTCATTTCTAATGCATAGAGAAATGTGAACCTTTTGCTATAACTCAAATCATTTTAGAAATCATGGCTCCTAATCAAAAGTACTTTACTTTGAAGGCAGACTTTTGTTTAGTTAGATGCTATATAATGGGGTTGACTTAAAAATATTTTTTTTCTGGCTGCAGTTAAACTTTGTGAAAGTTGAGTTGCCATGGTGATGTATTGTTTTAGTCTAAGAGATTCTGTGATAGAAATATAGATGGTTATAATAAGATGTTTCATCTAAAAATATAATTCATTTCCATTTATGATAATTTAATTAGCAAAGCTATGAATTAAACAATGGCAGTAGTCTAGTAAAAATCTTAGCTGATTTTTGTCCATTCAAAAAGAGTTTAATAAAATAAACATATTACATTTTATCCATTCAAATATGAACCCATATTCATAATGAATATGGAAAAGAATATCAGTGTTGGTTATTTATATCCAAATGAAAAGCAAAAGGTTGGGACTCCTGTAACTCGATAATGAATGAATATTAGTAAAAACAGCAGCTGCTGCAAAAAAATTAGTGCAGGAGAAAGAAAATAGGTGTGATTGATAATATTTAATTCAATTATATAATAGAAGATTCTATGCCATGGATTACTTTGGTATTGGGATTTGTTTCAGGGGTACATAAATGAGAAGAAAGTTTTATCAAAGAAAATTTCCTCCTCTCACCACATTCCTCTAAAGTCTTGGTTAGCAGCCTTTTTTATATGCAAGTCAAAGTCTTTTATCTTTGCACTTATTATATTTTATTATAGATGTTCTGCTTATATCTCCCACAAGAATATAAATTCCTTGGGTACAAGAACATAATGTCTGTTTATTCCGAAAGTGCACATTCAATCCTCTTCACATTTCCTTGCACATATCAGCAAACAATAAATGTTTTTATAGTGAACAAATGACAAATATTCTTAGAATGACAGCACCTAGGGCTGCTGTCATTTAACATTTTTCTCACACAAGTTCTGTATTCTAAAGAAAGGTTAAATAATAGCAGGTAGTCTGGTTTTCATTGCAGTTATTAAAATTTATTAGAGTGATTATAGAGGAAGAATTTGAAGAAGCATATGGCATCCAGATAATTCAGAACAGAGTTTCTGCTAAAAAAATAAGAAAGCCAAGCAATATTTAAAATTTGTTTGAAGGTGTTGGAGAAATAACAAGAAATAACAAGATGTATTCTCAAAATGGTATCTGAAATGTTTGGTAGCCTAAATTTGATTGACTTAGAAAACTAGGAGACTAATATTTAAAGCCGGAGACTATGGTTAGGCAGCAAAGTAATACAAACTATATGTTGGAACAAAAGAGTTGAAACTTAAGAGCAAAGCTGAACTGGAAGAAAATGGCCACTTCAGGGACTAAATCTTAATTTGGAATAATTTCAAGTCATGAATTTGAATTAAGATAATTTTGGCTTCCTTTGGGCTGAAACCACCATCTTCTAGTAATTCACCAAAATGTTGAACACAAAGGGAAGGAGGAGAGGCATGAAGAGCGAGTGCCCAAAGCTTCCTGTCAAAAACCAAACACAAATTATCTATGAAAGAGATAATACCATATTTCTTCTCACTCAATTTTTTTATTTTATATATATACATATATATAATATACAGCATTTAATTAAAAAGTATACAGAAAGACAATGAGACAAGGTGCTATCAGTGAAAATAAAGTAAGAAATAGAAAAAAAGTAAAAACAGATAGATGCTCATATCATGAACTTATCATAAACAAAGATTAAAATAATTATCTTACATATATTTAAGATTGAGAAATTTAGTCACAGACTTAAAAGAAAAAATAAACCACACGGAAATTCTACATATTATGTACAATAATGTAAATAAAGAATGCAATAGATATTTTTAATACAACTAAACACAGTTGAATAGAAAATTTGTGAACTAAAAGATGAGTCAGAAAAAAAATTCCAGGTGAAGCATAGACATAAAGTAACAGAAAAAATAGAAGGAAGAGTAAGAGATACAAGAGGTAAGTGTGAAGGTGTCAAATATGTAAATGGAAGCCCAGAAAAGAGGAGAAAGAGAAGGGGGAAGAGGTAATATTTGAAAATGTATAGCTGAGAAATTTTCCAATATAACAAAGTCATAAATGTAAAAAATAGTAATACTGGCCAGGTTCAGTGGCTCACACCTGTAATCCCAGCACTTTGGGAGTCCAAGGCAGGCAGATCACAAGGTCAAGAGATCAAGAGTACCCTGGCCAACATGGTGAAACCCCGTCTCTACTAAAAATACAAAAATTAGCTGGGCATGGTGACGCCAGCTACTCAGGAGGCTAGTCCCAGCTACTCGGGAGGCTGAGGCAGGAGAATCACTTGAACCCGGGAGGCAGAGTTTGCAGTGAGCGGAGATAGTGCCACTGCACTCCAGCCTGGTGGCAAAGCAAGACTCCATCTAAAAAAAAAAAAGTAGTACCAAGCCAGAATATTTAAACCAAATATACACATCATGCTAAAATTGTTGAAAACAAAGACAAAGATAAATTTTAAACTCTGGTAAAGAAAATACTTTCTTCATAATAATAGTATGACTGGTAACTCTGGTCTCAATAGAAATAATTAAATCCAGAGCACATTTGATGGTATCTTAAAATGTAGAGAGAAAATAACTTGCAATTTAGAAAACTGTGGATACTCATTAAAATTATTATCAAAAATGATAGATGACCATATAGTGAAAAAAATTGTAGTGAAAGGAAGGAAGGAAGGAGGGAAAGAAGGAAGGAGGGAAGGAAGGCAGGCCATCAACTCTTAGGAGTAATATCTCATGCTTTACTGAAGACTGGGGCATTTCAAGAAAACTGCAGAGAAGAGGGAAGGAGGTAACTACTAGTAGGTTCATTTATTTATTTATTTATTTATTTATTTATTTATTTATTTAATTTATTTTTGGGACAGAGTCTCACTCTGTTGCTCAGGATGGAGGGCAATGGTGTGACCTCAGCTCACTGCAACCTCTGCCTCCCAAGTTCAAGCTATTCTCCTGCCTCAGCTTCCCAAGTAGCGGGGATTACAGGCATATACTGCCACTCCCAGCTAATTTTTTTGTATTTTGGTAGATATGGGGTTTCACCATTTTGCCCAGGCTACTCTCGAACTTCTGAGCTCAGACAATCCACCTGTCACAGCCTCCCAAAGTGCTAGGATTACAGGCGTGAGCCACTGCCTCCAGCATAGGTATAAATTTTACCTTAAGCACTGCTAGAAAAAGAAGATATTTTTGTAAACAAAAGTTTACAAATACTGAAAACACATCCTGGCATATCAGAGCACTAACCACAGGAAAGTTTCTCAGAAAGTTTACTGTAGCAATCTGAAAAGCATGGCATCTGTTAAGGAAAGGCAGAAAAGAAGGGGGCAGTTTCCCTTAACAACTGGATAGCAAAGGAAAAATAATTTGACAATAATAATTAGCATCCTAAAAGGCCAAAAAATACCTCACCCACCAACCCACACATATCCACCTTATCAGGAAATAGTTATTAAATACATTTCAGTGTAATAGAGCACCACCTATCAAGGCAACGTATAAGTCACCATAGAGCAAAACCAAGGCAACAGAAATGAAAAATATTATGACAAAATTCAGAAGGTAATATTTATTACACTTCAGTTGATGAAAATAAACTCCCTAGCACACACAAAGAATCAGAAAGAAAACCATAAGACAACAAGCTAAATTGAAATAAATATACAGAAACAAAAATGTGAGAATATTTTAAAAAATTATTGAAAGGAAAAGAAAGTTAATTGAACTTAGCATGGAAAATGTTGGAGCGATCAGGGTCAATGCCAGGCCGTGGGGGCTAGAAAGTCCGGCGGGGTCAAAGGAATGAGAAAAGACAAGAGTGCATAAAGTGGGTCCACGGGACCTACGCTAGATTGGAGGCTGCAAAGGCCCCAAGCTCTGGGAGCCCACACTATTTATTGGTGATCAAACAAAGAAGCAGGTGGTGAGGACATGAGGACAGGGGGGTAAATAGGTGAGGATGTGAGGACATGGGGGTAGAAAAGTAGTGGTGCATCAAGCGTGGCTGTGATGGTTTAGCATTTTCTTTGACGCATATAGAACATGCTCTGCTGCTTGAGATAATAGAGAGCATGTTCATGAGCGTGGGGGAGCAACCAACAAGTCTGTGCACATTCCAGAGGCTATGAGGGGTTTTATGCCCTGAGCCCTGGATTCCGTCCAAGCCATGAGGGGTTTTACACCCTAGGCTTAGATTGTGGTGTGGCAGGGCAGCCTTCCACACTTTGGCACAGAGCTTAGTGTTCCAAAGTCCACGAGGGGTTTTAGACCCTGGATCCCGCACATCTTCTAAGACTCTTTTATATTATGACAGACAAGCCAGTCCTGCCTCAGCTCTTCTACCAACAGAAAAGAATAAAATCATATTCTAAATGAATATTAAATTTTAGATTATATACAAGAAGAATATAAACAAATGAAATTTTAATAAGGTAAATTTAAAAATGGCAGGCAAACAACCCAGAAAAGAAAAATCAGATAAAACAATTTCGAGAAAAAATGGTGGCTAAAAACAGGAAAATCAATTATAATCTTACTGTAATTGGAATCCCTGAATAAGAAAAATAAAATGTGCTAAGAGTAATTTTTATGCTGCAATTTTTAAAATAGTCCCCTAATTAAAAGAAAATACCACTTACTGAAAAGGTCTATTCCTTGTGTTCCTGAGAGAATTAATGCAAGTAGATCAACTTGAAATTCAACATAGTAAATCTATTAGATTTTAAAAACAAACAAAAGTAATTTAGATCTCTAAACAAAAAGTAAAACAATTTACAAAGGCAAAAGGAAGACACTGATATCAAATTTCTTAAATTCAACATACAAAATGAGGCAATAGAACTGTAATTTTTTTGTTTTCTTTTTTTATCAGTGATTTTAAAAAAGCTTTAATTCACTCGGATTATAACATAATTTACCGTTGCATAAACCTCATAAAGTTCAAAATACATAAACAGAAACTTCTAGGACTGAAAAGAGTAGGATATTTTAACATAGAAGTCTCTGGAACTGAGAGAAGCAGCAGAAAATATCAGTAAAGATAGAGACATTTAATTAATGTGTTCAAAGCAATTTACTTAAGTGATCTATTAATAAGATTACACCCATGATCTGAAGAATATCCATTCTTTTCAAGGGCATATGTACAGTCATTACACAAGTTGGATAATTAAAACAACTCACAAGCTTCCACAGATTAAGCTCACATAAGATTTCATTGAAGGTAAAGTATATAGGACAAAAGTAGAAAGTAAATGTGGGTAAACAACTAAGCAATTGAGGGCTCTATTATCCCAAAATCAACCATCACTTATTCAAAGATGTAGATTAGAGAAAAAAAAATTGCTTGTGTTGTCAATATTTCAGCACTTCAGAAGAACATTCCATTTAATATCTCAGGTACAGTTGTGAGTGTACCTCTTTGGGGGTATGAGATTCATACATCTGTCATTATTCTTAAATTGGGAGTTTGCCCCTCTATCTCAGAAAATGCAGAATATGACTGCACCTTATGTGTATGATACGGTCAAAGGTCACTTCAATATTGTGATAACATTGTTACTTGCACAATTGGGTAATTGAAAAGATTTATAAGGCTCTACAGAGAATAGTCCTGTAAGGATATCAACCAGAAAAAGATAATCCAGAAGGAGAAAGAAAGCACAAGTAGGCCTCACGAGCCTGAGAACTTACAAGCACAACTCCTTACAGTACTTTCTTAGTTGCTCTTTTTGTGCTTTGTTGCCAGGTTGTTAATCAGCAATATAAGTGTGAGAAACCTTTGTTACATGAGATTTCAGGCAAAATTTCCGGTGAGGTCTTTTATCCTTAAATGGTAAATGGCTTAACCATTTAAGCTGATTAGGAAGCCAAGTCAGCTTATATGGCTAAGCCAGGCGCAAACCATCAATCTACACATCCTTAAACAGTGTAAACTAGCAGGTTGTTGATATTGTTGGGGGAGTTTTGACCTTAAACAATATATTATACATGATTAGCTTTCGTATTTCAGCTACATCTTGTTTAAGAGTGAATACCTGACTTACGGTTGTCCTAATCTAGCTGTAAAATAACTCATTAAATTTTAATTCAATGAAAATAAAATATGACATAATAAAAATTGAAAGGCGTAGATGACTTAGGACTTTAGGAAAATTATAGACTTGAATTGATACATTAGAAAATAAAAGAGGCTGAAAATCAATAAATCAAGTATTCATATCAAAAATTTAGAAAAACAACATTAAAAACAGCTAATTGCAAAAAATAAAATAATAGACATAAAGACAGAAATTAAAGAAATAGCAAGTGAACATAGAGGATTATCACAGGCAGATAATTGATCTTCGTAAAAAGTGATAAAATGGCAAAGCTCTTTGAAGGCTAATGAAGTAAAGCAAATGGAAATACACAAATTACAAATACTAGGAGTAAGAAAAGATATCATAAATGACTTTATGCAAATGAAAGTTAAGATAAAACAGACCATAGAAAATAAAATTCACTAAAATTGATATAAGAAGAAAAGAAAAATTTGAAGCTTTCTACATCTATTTGTACAGTTTCCTAGAGCTGCTATAATGAATTACGACAAGTGCAGTGGCTTAAAACAACAGAAATTTATTATATCACTGTTCTGGAGTTCAGATGTTTTATTTTAATGTTTATAGATTTAGGGGTACAAGTGCAGTTGTGTTACATGGATATATTGTGTAGTAAGGAAGTCTGGGTTTTTAGTGTATCACCTGAATGGTGTACATTGTACTCAATAGGTAGCGTTTAATCCCTCACCCCAGTCCGCCCTTTCACTTTTGCTGTCTCTAATGTCTATTATTCCACTCTGTATGTGCTTGTGGACCCATTGCTTAGCTCTCACTTACAAGTGAGAACTTGTGGTTTTTGACTTTGTTTATAAGTTATTTTACTTAGGATAATAGCCTGCAGTTCCCTTCATGTTTTTGCAAAAATCATGATTTCATTCTTTTTTATTACTGAGTAGTATTTTATGGTATATATACTACAGAAGTGTTAAATCAAAGTGTTGGCAGGACTATGCTCCTGTCAAAAGCTGTAGGGTAGAATTTTTTTTTAACCTCCTCAAGCTTCTAGTGACTCCATGTCTTTTGCTTGTAGCTGCCTAACTCCAATCTCTGTCTCTGTCTACATGTGGCCTTCTCCTTCTTCCCGTGTGTATATCTCTGCATCTCTTTTAAAGGCACATCACTGGATTTAGCACTCATCCAGTGACCCACCCACCAATTAAATCAGGATGATCTGTTTCATCTCAAGATCTTTAAATTAAATCTGCACAGAACCTTTTTCTAAATAAGGTCATGTTCACAGGTTCTAGGACATGAACATATATTTTTAGGTACCACCATTTAATCTAATAAACTGTTCAATAAATTTAAGCCATAATTACAAGTTTTTCCACAAAAAATAACTCCAAACCCCATTGGCATTATGGTTATATTCCATCACATATTTACTTATGATGAATATAATTAAAATTTAAATTTTAAACAATGATTACATTCTTTCAAAGTATAAAGGGTAATACCCCTCAACTCATTTTATGAGGCAAGCATATTTTCCACAAAATAACTCCAAACCCCCATGGTATCATGGCTATATTCATCACATATTTACTTAAGATAACATAATTAAAATTTAAATTTTAAACAATGATTACATTCTTTCCAAGAATAAAGGGTAATACTCTCCAACTCATTTTATGAGGCAAGCATTTCAGATATAAAAATATACCAAGGAACATATAAAAAATAGACATTTCAAATCAGTCTCACATACATAATTGAGAATCACCTTTACTAATTATGACTAAAGGGATCCAACAGCATTCTAAGGAGGTAATATGGAATGTTTAGGGTGACTCAGGAATAAAATGTTGTCTAAGTATGAGAAAATCCATTAAATTAATTTCTCAGATTAACAGAATAAAAGAGAACATTTATCTGATCAGAACGTTGGAGGAGAAAAATCCACTTATGTTTTAAAAATAAATAAAACATTTATCAAAGTAGAAAAATAAGGGATATTTTAAAGCAATAACAAGTAATGTCATTATGTAATGGTGAAGGCTATTTCTTTCAGAATGTGAAGAGATAAAAGTGTATGCTATCAACACTTCTGTTTGACACGCTAAAAGTTCTATCTTATAAGCAATACCAAAAAAAAAAAAAAAACAAATAAAAGATGTAAGAATTTGGAAGAAGCAATAAAACTCTGCCTGGGTACATATGCCATAATTATGTATGATGCAATATTATAGAAAATCTCTATATAAACTATTAGAACTAATGCCTTTTGCAAGGTGCCTGAATATTATGTAACATGTAAAACTCAACCTAATGTCTAAATAAGAGCAAATGAATTCCATTTTTAAAGTTTAAGTTCAATAGCAACAAAAAAAGCAAACATTTGGGATTAAATCCAATGTAATACGTAGAGAACATAATCATCTACAATGCACACACAAAAATTAGAAATGAACATTACTGAAAGAAATTAAAGAAGGCATTTGCATGTTTTCTTTTGAGAAATGTCAACTCAGGCCTTTTGCCAATTTTTAATTGGATTATTTGTTTAGTTTTCTTCTTTGCTATTGAGTGCTTTAGCTCCTTATTATTGATTTTTTCTGACAGTAATTAATTTTTTTATTTTTTATTTTTGTGGGTACATAGTATGTGTACATATTTATGGGTTGCATGAGATATTCTGATACAAGAATGTGATGCATAATGATGCCATCAGGGTAAATGGCTTATCTATCACCTCAAAAAGTTATCCTTTGTGTTTCAAGCAATCCAATTACACTCTTTTAGTTATTTTAAAATGTACAATTAAATTATTTTTTACTAGAGTTACCCTGTTATCCTAGCAAATCCTGGGTCTTATTCATTCTTTCTAGTTTTTGTGCACATTAAGCATCCGTGCTTCCTCACCACTCCTCCACAGCACTTTCCAGGGTCTGGTAACCATCCTTTTACTCTCTATTCTCCTAAGTTCAATTGCTTTAATTTTTAGCTCCCACAAATATGTGAGAACATATAGTTTGTCTTTCTGGGCCTGCCTCATTTCAGTTATAATGACCTCCAGTTCCATCCATGTTGTTGCAAATGACAGGACCTCATTCTTTTTATGGCTGAATAGTACCCCATTATGTACACATGCCACATTTTCTTTATTCATTTATCTTTTGATGGACACTTACATTGCTTCCAATTCGTGGCTATTGACAGCAGTGTTCCAATAAACATGGGAGTAGAGATATCTCTTTGATATAATAATTTCCTTTTGGGAGGCGTATATACCTTGAAGTGGAATGGCTGGATCATTTGGTAGCTTTGACTTTACTTTTCTGAGAATCCTCCAATCTGTTCTCCATAGCAGTTGTACTAATTTATATTCCCACCGACTGTGTAGGAGGGTTCCCTTTTCTCCACATCCTCACCAGCATTTGTTATTGAGTCTTTTAAATAAAAGCCATTTTAACTGGGGTGACATATCTCATTGTAGTTTTGATTTGATTTATCTGATGATCGGTGATATTGAGTACCTTTTCATACACCTGTTGGCCATTTGTACATCTTTTTTTGAGAAATACCTATTCGTATCTTTTGCCAAGTTTTTAAATTAGGTTACTAGATTTTTTCCTGTAAGTTATTTGATCTCCTTATATATTCTGGTTATTAATCTCTTGTTATTCTGTGGAGTGTGTCTTTAGTTTGTTGATTGTCTCCTTAGCTGTGTAGAAGCTTTTTAACTTGATGAGATCCCATTCATTCATTTTCGTTTTGGTTGCCTGTGCTTGTGGGGTATTGTTCAACAAATCTTTGCCTAGTCCAATGTCCTTGAGAGTTTCCCAAATGTTTTCTTGTAGTACTTTCATAGTTTGAGATCTTAGATTTAAATCTTTAATTTGTTTTGATTTGTTTTTTGTATATGGCTAGAGATAGGGGTCTAGTTTCATTCTTCTGCATATGGATACCCAGTTTTCCCATGACAATTTATTGAAGAGACTGTCCTTTCAATGTATGTTCTTGGCACCATTGTGGAAAATTAGTTTACTGTAGATATAAGAATTTATTTCTGCTTTCTCTATTCTGTTCCACTGGTCTGTGTGTCTTTTTATGCTAGTACCATGCCATTTTGGATACTATAGCTCTGTAGTATAATTTGAAGTCAAGTAATGTGATTCCTCCAGTTTTGTTCTTTTTGCTCGAGATGACTTTGGCTATTATGGATCTTTTGTGGTTCCATATAAATTTTAGTTTTTTTAATTTCTGTGAAAAATGTCATTGGTATTTTGATAAGGATTGAAATGAATCTGTAGATTGCTCTGCATAGTATGGACATTTTAACAACAGTAATTTTTCCAATTTGTGAATATGGAATGTCTTTTCATTTTTTGTGTCCTCTTCTATTTCTTCCACCAATGTTTTATAGTATTCATTGTAAAGATCTTTCATTTATTTGGTTAAATTAATCCCTAGGTATTTAATTTTATTTGTAGCTATTGTAAATAGGATTACTTTCTTCCTTTATTTTTCAGATTGTTCACTGTTGACATATGGAAATGCTACTGATTTTTGTATATTGACTTTATATCCTGCAACTTTACTGAATTGTTTATCAGTTCTAAGTGTTTTGTATTAGAGTTTTTAGGTTTTTCCAAATATAAGATTTTATCATCTGCATACAAGGATAAGTTGATTTCTTCCTTCCCAATTCAAATGCCCTTTTTTCCTTTCTCTTGTTTAATTACTTTGATAGGACTTCATGTACTATGTTGAATAAGTCATAAAAGTGGGCATACGTGTCCCCTTCCAAATCTTAGAGAAAAGGTTTTCAGTTTTTCCCCATAATTGTTGGTCTGTCATATATGGCTTTTATTATGTTGAGGTATGTTCCTTCTGCACCCATTTTTTGAGGGTTTTTATTATAAAAGCATGCTGAAACTTATCAAATGCTTTTTCAGTAACAGTTGAAGTCATCATATGATTTTTGTTCTTCATTCTGCTTATATGATAATCACATTGATCGGTTTATGTATGTAAAGCTATCCTCGTATACCTACAATTAATCCTACTTGGTTATAATGAATAATCTTTTTAATGCATTGTTGAATTCGGTTTGCTAGTATTTTTGAGGATATTTGCATCAGTATTAATCAGTGATATTATTCCATAGGTTTTTTTTTTTAAATCTGTATTTGTCTGGTTCTGGTAACAAGGTAATACTGGCCTCATATAATGAGTTTGGAAGTATTCCATTCTCTTTTTTTTGGAGTAGCTTGAATATGACTGGTATTAGTTTTTCTTAAATGTTTGGTGGAATTCAGCAGTGAAGCCACTGGGACTCAGACTTTGCTTTTTTGGGAGGCTTCATATTATGGCTTTGATCATGCTACTTGTAATTGCTCTGTTCAGGTTTTGAATTCCTTTATGGTTCGGTTTCAATCTTATTAGGTTTTATGTGTCTAGAAATTTATACATTTCTTCTAGATTTTCTTATTTCTTGGCATATTGTTGGTTATAGTGGTCATTAATGATCTTTTGAATTTCTGCAATATTAATTGTAATGTCTTCTTTTCATTTCTGATTTTATTTATTTGAGTCTTGTCTCTTTTTTTCTTATTCTGGTTAATGGTTTGTCAATTTTGCTTATCTTTTGAAAAAACTAGCTTTTTGTTTCATTGCTCTATTGTGTTGTTTTCTTCATTGCAATTTCATTTATCTTTGCTCTGGTCTTTATTATTTATTTTCTTCTACTAAATTTGGGTTTGGTTTGCTCTTACTTTTCTAGTTATTTAAGATTCATCATCAGATTTTTATTTGAAGTTTTTCTTCTTTTTTGATGTAGGCGCTTATAGCAATAAACTTCCCTCTTGGTAATGCTTTCTCTGTATCCCATAGGTTTTGGTATGTCATGTTTCCATTATCATTTGTTTCAAGAAAATCTTAAATTTCCTTTCCTGTTTCTTTATTGACCCACTGATTATTGAGAGGCATATTGCTTCATTTCCATGTGTTTGCATAGTTACCAAAATTCCTCTTGTTATTAATTTCTAGTTTTGTTCCATTGAGGTCAGAGAAGATGCTTGATATTATTTCAGTTTTTTAATGTTTTAAGATTGGTTTTGTTGATTAACATATGTTCTTTCCTTGAGAATGATCCATGTGCTGAGGAAAAGAGTGTATTGTGCAGCCATTGTGTGAAATGTTCTGTAAATGTATACTAGGTCCTTTTAGTCTGCAGTGCAATTTACATATAATGTTTCTTTGTTGATTTTCTGTCTAGGAGTTAAGTCCAAATTCAAAGTGGAGAGCTGAATTCTCCAGAGATTATTTTATTGGGTTCTGCCTCTTTCTTGATCTCTAATAATATTTGCTTTTTATATCTAGTGCTTTTGTGTCGGGTGAATATATATTTTATATTTTAAATTGTTACATCTTCTTGTTTTAATGACCCCTTAATCATTATATAATGACCTTCTTTGTCTCTTATGAGAGTTTTGGTCTTGAAATCTACTTTTTCTGATATAAGTATAACTACTCCTGCTTTTTTTTTTTTTTTTTTGGTTTCCATTGGTATGACATATCTTTTTCCATCCCTTTCTTTTCAGTCTATATGTAGCTTTATAGGTGAAATGTGTTTATTTTAGGCAACAGATCTTTGGGTCTTGTTTCATTATCAATTTGGCCACTCTATCTTTTTATTAAAGATTTTAGTCCATTCACATTCAATGTTATTATTAATAAGTAAGGACTTACTCCTGCCATTTTGTTTTCTGGTTCTTTTGTGGTCTTGTATTCCTTCTTTCTTTCCTTCCTGTCTTTGTTTTAATGAAGGTTCTTTTCTCTGGTGGTATGATTTAATTCCTTGCTTTTTCTTTTTTGTGTATCCATTGTATGTTTTTGATTTGAGGTTACCTTCAGGCTTTCGAACTTCTCATAATCAACTATTTTAAGCTAATAGTAACTTAGCACTCTGCGTAAATAAACAAGCAAAAGAAAAATAATAAAAATGTACACTTTAAATTTTTCCCCCATTTTTCAACTTTTTGTCTATTTGCAGTCTTCACAATCTGGGCCTGTTTGTTTCTATCCTTCTTGGCAGTGCTTTCCACGTACTCTGAAGAACTTGGGTATTGTAATATAAGCCTTATCAGCATTAGGGAACACCCCAAGCCCAATAATGCTGTGACTTTTGCAAACTTGTGGAGATACTGCCTTGGTAGTCTTGCATAAGAGCTAGAAGAATTCTCTGAATTCCCTCAAAGGCAGGGACTCTGTTATTTTCCCTTATTTTCCCCAGACATACAGAGTCTCTCTCTCTCTCTCTCTCTCTGTACTGAGCTGCCTGGGGCTGGGGAAGGTGTGACATAAGCAACTCTGTGGCCACCACAACTGGGACTGTGCTGGGTCATACCTAAAGACAGTACAGTAATGAGTCTCACCCAAAGCTCATTATAACCACTACCTGGCTACCACCTATGTTCACTCAAGTACCGAGGGTTCTACAATCAGCAGGTGGTGAAGACAGCCAAGCTTGTGTCCTTTCCTTTGGATGACAAGTTCCTCCAGGATCCAAGAGGGTCCAGAGATGCTGTCCAGGAGCTAGGGGCCAAAGTGAAACAACTTAGAACTCTACTTGATGCTCTACTTTACTGTGGATGAGGTGGCCCTCAAACAATTAGAAAGTTCTTCCCACTCTTCCTTCCCCTTTCCATAGGCAGAAGAACCTCACTCCATTGCCACCACCACCATAGGCCCACAGAGAGTACTACCAGACTACTGCAATGTAGCTACTGTGAGACAGTGGGGGAGTGGTGGCATTAGCACTTCAAGACTATCTTTCCTACCCTATTCAGTGCCTCTTTCAGTAATATGAAGTTAAAACCAGGTACTGTGTGTGCTCTTGAGCATTAAGTGAATATCAGCAGTAGTCTGGTAGTGAATGCTACCAGACCTGGGACTCATCCTTCAGGACAGCAGGCTCACCTCAGTGCCAGAGAATGTCCAGCAATGCTTCACAAGGCCCAAAGTTGGGAATAGTGAACCCAAAGGGTCTGCTTGGTGTTCTACCCCACTGTGGCTGATCTGGTACATAGGGTGAAAGACAAAGTCCCCTTTACTTTTCCCTTTGCTTTTCTCAAACAGAAGGAGTCTCTCACTATAGACACAACAGCTGGGAATACTCTGGGTCTTAACTAAGTTAGTATGCCTCAGAATCTCACCCAAGGCCCATGGCATACTATCTGGACTGCCAGTGACTATTCAGGGCCAAAGGGCTCATTAGTAAACAGCTGATGCATCCTAGCAGGACTGTGTCACCCTCCATTAAAGACAATAACTTCTGGCCTTCTGGCCCAGGGTATGTCTTGAAATGTTGTTCAGGAGCTAGTGCCTAGAATAGGGGCCTCACAACTGTGAGTGGTGCACTATCCTACTATGGCTGAGCTGGTATCCAATATGCAAGACAAAAGTCCTCTATACTCTTCCCTATCCTCTCCTCAAGTGGAAGTAAGAGGTCTGTTTTGGTGCCATGAGCTGTGTTGCCTGGGGTTTGGGGTGGGTTGGTGCAAGCACTCCTTTAGCTGCCCCAGCTTATGTCTCAGTGAATTGCATAACCCCCAAGTCCACTGGCTCCAAGCCTAGCTCAGCACCAGAATTTGCAATCCTTGTGGCCTACATTGCCTTTCAAGTTTATTTAGGGCCGCAGAGCACTTCAGCCCATGAGGGTGAGACTTGCCAGAATGAAAATTCTGACCACGGGGATGCATGATTCCCTTCTGGCTGGTCTGAATGCTCCCTCTGTGGGTGGACATCAGCTGAGTTCAGCCCAGTTTTGCTTTCTGCTGTGACAGGGCAGTACTGAGTTCCATGCTAAGTCTCACAATTGCTGAGCTCTCCCCCTCCCAAGTGCAAGAATTTCTCTGTGCCATGTAGCTACTGTGGGAAAGTTGGGGAGCGATGCCATTAGCATGTCAAGGCTATCTTTCCTACCCTATTCAGTGCCTCTTTCAGTAATATGAAGTTAAAACCAGGTACTGTGAGTGCTCACCTGATTTTTGATTCTTAAGGTGTTTTTTTTTGTGTGTGTGTAGTCATTGAATTGAGTTTTCCTGTGTTGGGGGGACGATTGGTGGGGCTTTCTATTCTGCCATCTTACTCGGCCTCTTTGCTCTATATTCTGGTTATTAATCCTTTGTCAAATGAGTAGTTTGCAAATATTTTCTCTTGTTCTGTGGGTTGTCCCTTCATTTTGTCAATTGTTTCCTTTGCTCTACAGAAACGTTTTCAGCTTGATGTGATCTTATTTGTCCATTTTTGCTTTGTTTGCCTATGCTTCCGAGGTCTTACTCAATAAATATTTTCCCAGACTGATGTCCTGTAGCATGTCCCTGACATTTTTTTCTAGTAGTTTTATAGTTTCATATCTTATATTTAAGTCTTTACTTCAATTTTTATTTGATTTTTATAAGTTATTTCTCAAAGGAAGATATACAAATGGCCAAAATGTATATTAATAAATATTCAAATCACCAGTCATCAGAGAAAAGCAAATCAAAACTATAATGAGATATCATATCACTCAGTAAAGATAGCTTTTATAATAAAGTCAGGCAATTATCGACACTTGCAAGGATATGGAGGGAGGGGAACCCTGCTACATTACTTGTGGGAATGTAAATTGGTACAGCCAGTATGGAGAACAGTATGGATATTCCTTAAAAAACTAAAAATAGAACTATCATATGATCCAGCAATCCTACTACCGGGCATTTAACCATGGGAAAGGAAATCAGTATATTGAAGAGATTTTTAAACTCCTATGTTTATGGCAGCACTATTCACAATAGTGAAGATTTGGAATCAACCAAAGTGCCCATCAGTGGATAAAAGGGTAAATAAAATGTGGTACGTATACACAGTGAAATATTATTCAGCCATAAAAAAGAATAAAATACTGCCATTTGCAACAACAGGGATGGAACTCAAGGATATAATGTTAAGTAAAATAAGCCAGGCACAGAAAGACAAATATTGCATGTTCTCACTCATATGTGGGAGCTTAAAAAGTTGATCTCATGGAGATGGAGAGTAGAATGGTGGTTACCAGAGGCTGTGAAGGGTAGAGAGAAGGGCAGAATAAACAGAGGTTGGTTAATGGGTACAAAAATACAGATAAAAGGAATAAGATCTTGTATTAGGTAGCACAATAGGGTTGCTATAGTTAACAATTTAATGTGTATTTCAAAATAACTACAAAAGTGGAATTGGAATGTTCCTAACAAAAAGAAATAAAAATACCTCAGGTGATGGATATCTCAATTTATCTATTTTAATCATTCCACATTGTCTGGCTGTATTAAAATTTCACATGTACCCTAGAAATATGTTCAACTATTATATATCCATACAGTTAAAAATAAAAAAGTTTAAAAAATAAAAAAACATAGTGAAAAGTACATCTAGTAAACAATTAACCAAAACTACATATATTATCAAGTAGTAATATTATAAAATAAGGTTATGACAAAAATAATTTGCTGAAAGATACACTTATAGGTGGCTCTTTAGTATATTGTGGTGTGATTTTAATTTTATCAAGGAACTGATGAATCCTAAGTTTGTTGGCTTTCTTCAATATGGAAAGTATGGAAGTAATGTATAGACATCAATGAGTTAACAACTTTTATGAGAACTTTGGTAAGAAGTGCTGAATTTATAATGTTAAATATTTAGATAGTTGAAGCCATGTTTATAAAGTTGGATTTCAAGTTTATAAGTATGCAGTAAAAGACAACACTGAAAGATAAGGTTTTGGTTATACTCCCATGTATGAGAGGGTATTATACTCCCATGTATGAGAGGGTATTTGGTTATACTCCCAGCATGAGAGGGTATTAATTGTTAAGTGGAGAAGACTGGGAGATGACGAGGCAGGAAAAATATGACATCAAGTTACATGAAATTATTTAAGGCAGTTGATGAGATAACATCTGTAAGGATAACTGATTTTCAAAGTTTTTGTCAAATGCTGACAACTGTGATGAATATTTGTGATTAGGATCTATGAAGAGGGCCATTACTAGATGATCACATTGCTATGAAAATATGTTATGTGAGTTCTCTGAGTATTCTTCATTATAGAAAAGACAAATCTATTTAATGCTCCAATTGCATATTAATATATGCTTTGGTATAATCACATGAAATATATTCTAATTTATATTTCAAATGTAAAATGTATGGCAGTTAAGAATAGCATAATCTGGCCCGGCACGGTGGCTCACGCCTGTAATCCCAGCACTTTGGGAGGCTGAGGAGGGTGGATCATGAGGTCAAGAGTTCGAGACCAGCCTGGCCAACATGGTGAAACTCGTCTCTATGAAAAATACAAAAATTAGCCGGCTGTGGTGGTGCGTGACTGTAGTTCCAGCTCCTTGGGAAGGTGAGGCAGAAGAATCGCTTGAACCTGGGAGGCTAAGTTTGCAGTAAGCCAAGATCACACCACTGCACTCCAGCCTAGGTGACAGAGCAAGACTTAGTCTCAGAAAAAAAAAAAAAAAAAAAGAATAGCATAACCTTATTATATACCTGGCCTTTTTGCCATGTTACAAATATTAATCTTATTTATTATCAAAACAATACCATGAATTAATTAGCATTACTAACCTCATTTTACAGATAAGGAAAGTGGGACAGAGAGTGATTAAGTGACCTGCTCAAGGTCACACAATTAAAAAGTGGCAAACATTGCATTTAAATTTACAGATTCCAGTTTGCTGATAGAAAGAGTAGTCATGAAGCCAGAGTTTATAAGAACATGTTTCAAGAAGACTTTCATAAACCCCACATTCACAAGGAATTCAAAATCTGAGGGTTAGATATCAAATTCCAGGTTAGACAGGATCAAAACAAAGACAAGGCTTGCTGAGTCCAGACACAAGCCTACTTGAGGTCATGAGAGTTTGTAGTGACATAGAAAACAAATGAACAGCATATGGGTTGTGGCTTACTACCTTTTAAAACTGATTGTTCAGTTTGCAGAGCCATACTTCGTAAACTTGATTAATAGTATTCATGAGCCATAGTCCTAAATGAATATTTTTCAATGGGTCTCTAGTAAATATAGGTTAGTGTTGTAGACTATACTACTGATGATCAAAACTATAATTTACTTTCTATAAGACCACTCTTTGTGAGGAAAATATATATTTCTATTGTGTTGAACTCAGAAATGGCCATATAATTTGCTGTGACCAATCATGTGGGTGAAAGCTTCTGTGCTGAATATTTAAGAGTGAACTTATAGTTTGCTATGTCACTTTTTACTCTGTCACAAGATTGGAAATTTTTTATTTAGAGGCTTCTTCTTCATCCAAGGTCCCAGAGAAATGATGACATGCAGTAGGGAAATAGCTGCTTAGGAACATGTTGCATTAACGAGAATTGAATCTTTATTATAATAAGCCAGGAAGTTTTATGTGGTCACTTATTACTATCATAACTTAGTTTATACTGACAGATGAAGTTAAGACAGTAATAAATATGCACCTGAGTGCTAGTGATACCACAGGAAACAAACAAACAATAAAAACACAGTCACTGTCCTCACAAGGCTAACATTTCAATAGTGTTACAGAATCGAATGAAGTGATAGTTTTGTTGAACATCAGGGAAAGAATTGGGGCATTGAACATCTAGTAATGATGACATCAAAAAAGGAAACAAAAATTTCAAACAAACAAATAAAAGTAGAGCAGATCCCAGGAAATTTCATTTCATCCTTGTTAAATTAGGTCAGCTCAGGTAACAATGAAGTGCATGAAGAAGCAACCTCTAAATAAAACTACCTCTGGGACCATATATTGAACATTAAAGTCAAACCATTGTAGAAACCTTCACTTTCACACAATATGAATAACTCTCTTGTGATATTGAATGCAATACAAGAAATAATACTCTTAAAGCTGTTAAGCATCATGTGTAATAAAAATAAATTTTAATATATTTACGTTTCTGTTCCCAGTCCATTTTATTTATTATGCTTCCAATATACCAATGCTCACTTACAAGTCAGACAGCATCCTAGACACCTTTTAAAAATAGGCACATGCAAAGTGGCTTACGTGATATGCATCTTGTCCTGATATATTCACCCAGCAAATGATATAGGGTGATATGATCTGTTATATTTTTTCCGTTTATTAGGGATTTCTCTTTAAAGCACAAAACTAGTTTATAACTCAACCAAAATAACATAAGAAAGCGAATCTTTTTATTCCATATCACTTTGTGTTTTTGTCATATCTGTAGGGCTTTACTAGATTTTGAATAATTTTATAGCATCTTAAAATTTCAGGCAACTAATCATAAAGTATTATTTATATCCAAACTACTCAATGTTTTAGCACTTAGAATTTGGCCTGCTCACGAGTTATGTACTCCTGAAGTTTTTTATTTTTCATTATTATGTAGGTGGATTCCTATTATAAATGGTATATTGTAAGTTATTTGGTATAGAAGGACTGAATTGTTCATCTGAATAATATCAAATATTAGCTTGCTAAAAGTCATCTATGTGCTTTAATGATATTTAAGGGCTCCTGACGTTTACATCCAGGCACAACACCATCTGTCTCATGAATTTTTATTCAAGAACTATTTGACATTGTCATTTTGAATGTGTCTAGAGAGATGTTGTTGAAAATGCCCAACGTAGATGTATAAATATTTGGTTTGTGTTAAAATTATATGTAAATTTATATTTAATATGCCAAAAATTGAGTCAATGTAAATGTATATAAATGAGATGCATTGCTTTTTGCTTTTAAATTTAATTAAAAAGTAAAATCTATGGGTCATAATTTAATTGATAGCGATGTTGACTCTTTCTGTTATGATATTTATACAGCTGACTTTCTTAACTTTTAACAACAGCCAAGTCTTGTTTCTGGAGTTCAGATCTGAAAACTTTCAACAGCTGGCTGGACAGCCTCTAGAATATCCTAAGCTCAGAAGGACATGGATCATGACTGCCTTGTTCTCTGATGTATTCCTAGTGCCAGGCACAACACACTGGAGATGCTTAATTAATATATTATTTTATTCATTTAAAAACGATTACTATATACTTTACACACCCAAGATTTCTGGAAACAAAATGAGTTGAAGATCAATTTGCACATGGCCCCTAGAACAATTTTATAAACATACACTAAATAGCATTATTTGATTTCTCATTATATCACTAGCACACCATCGCTCCGAGGCAAAACACAAACTCTTCAATGGCTTGGGTGGACCTTCATTATTGTCTTTTTGCTTACCATCTGTATGAATCTCTTGGAAGTTCCTTCTTGGCTACCAAGCTCAAACCATGTTTAAATACATAATTTCATTTCTTACCAGGACACTTTCCTTCTCACACACTCCTCTTTTTAACTCCCCCATCTTCAGCATAATAACTCTTAATTATTATTTGTCTAGGCTGCACTTTGAAAACCATTTTCTTCTGAAAACATCACTTGCCTCTACTGTATACTCTTAAAACATCAACTTTTATGAGACCAATCATTTTGTGTTGTAATTGCTTCCTATGTTGGTCCAACTATGTTACAAAACCATGGATTTCGTGAAGGTATTTAGCATATTATTGTCAGAACCACATTGACTAGTAAAGTGCCTGACTAGTGCATAGTATGTTCTTAGTAAATGAGTTTTGGGAGAAAATGAGTACATTTGTGCCTTACATTATACTTAATTAGTG